>NC_000003.12:45767575-46070606 GCF_000001405.40 Homo sapiens | reverse complement strand
AAACCAAAAGGAAGCAGGAGTAGCTATAGTTGTATCAGATAAAACACACCTTAAAAAAACCCAAGGGTCATTATATATAATGATAAAGGGATCAATTCAACAAAAGAATATAACAATCCTAAATATATATGCAGCCAACACCACAGCACTCAGATTAATAAAACAAATATTACTAGATCTAAAGAAAGAGATGGACAATAACACAATAATAGTGAGGGACTTCAGCATCCCACCTACAGCATTAGATAGATCATTGAGACAGAAAATTAACAAAGAAACATTGGACTTAAATTGGACTTTAGACCAAATGGACCTAATAGACATTTACAGAACATTCCACTCAAAACTATAGAATATACCTTCTTCTCATCAGCATATGGAACATTCTCCAAGATAGATCATCTGTGAGGCTGCAAACCAAGTCTCAATGCATTTTTAAAGATCAAAATCATATCAAGTATATTCTCAGATCATAGTGGAATAAAACTAGAAATCAATAACAAGAACTCTGGAAACTATAAAAATACATGAAATTAAGTAACATGCTCCTGAATAATCTTGGGTCAATGATGAAAATTTAAAAATTTTTTGAGATGAATGAAAATGGAAACACAACATACCAAAACCTCTGGGATACAACAAAAGCAGTGCTAAGAGAGAAGTTTATAGCATTAAACTTCTACATCCAAAAAAAAAAATAGATCGCAAATTAACAACCTAACATCACACCTCAAGGAACTAGAAAAAGAAGAAAAAAACAAACCCAAAACTAGCAGAAGAAAAGAAATAAAGATGAGAGCAGAACTAAATGAAATTAAAACAAAAGAAAACAATACAAATTATCAATAGCACAGAAAGTTGGTTATTTGAAAAAATAAAATTAATAAATTGCTAGCTAGACTTACCAAGAGAGGTTATTTTCTTAATATTTTCTTTTCTCTAGCTTACTTTATTGTAAGAATACAGCATGTAATACATATAACATACAAAATATGTATTAATCCACTATTTATGTTATGGTAAAGCTTTGGTCAATAGTAGGCTATTAATAGTTAAGTTTTGGGAGAGTCAAATGTTATATGCAGATTTTCAACTGCATGGAGATAGAGGAGGTTACCATGTCTAACCCCCCCGTACAAGGGTTAGCTGTCAACTGTATTTGATTATTATCCTTTGATGTCTGCAGGGTCTGTAGTGATACTCCCTGTTTCATTCCTGATATTGCTAATTTGTGTCTTTCTTTTTTTATTTGGTGGGTCTTTCTAAAGGTTTATCACTTTTATTGATCTTTTCAAAGAACAATCTTTTTGTGTCATTTCTTTTTTATGTTTTCAGTTTTATTAATTTTGCTCCTTATTTTTTTCCTTTTTTTCTACTTACTTTGGGTTTATTTTGCTCTTCTTTTTGTAGATTCTTGAGATAAGAGCTTAGATTATTTATGTGAGACATTTTCTCTTTTTTAATGTAAGCATTTAGTGATATAAATTGTTTTCTCAGCAATACTTTAGCTGTGTCTCACAAAGTTTGATATTTTGTATTTTCATTTTTATTTCATTCCATGTATATTTTTATTGCCCTTGAGACTTCTTTGACCTTTGGATTATTTAAACATATGATATTCATTTTTCAATAACTCACTTGGTACAGATTTTCAGCATGGTACATTGGTTTAGTATTTTTACTATACTGTTCTTTTCAGCTGTTGATTTCATGCTGGAAGGAAAACCACAACTTTGTTATTGAAAGAGGCTAGAATTTTGTCAGCTAAATTGTGTTGACATGAAAATATATAAGAAACCATACACACACACACACACACACACACGTCCATGATGTTGACACCCGCAGCTAACAGCAGAGAACAAATTCTGATTTTGGAAAAAAACAAGGCTGATGGCAGATAGCATGGTAAACAAGAAACAGGAAAAGGAAGCTGTTTAGGAAGAAAAAATATCAGGTTGGCTCGGCATCTTTAAAAGAATCAGGCCAAACCAGAAACCTCCAGCGGAAATATCAGAGACAATATTTCAATGTCTGGGTTGACTATAGACAAACTGCATTTATTGTAAGTTGACAACACTTCCCCAACTTCCCACCATCACTGCTCTATCATAATAACAAGATCAATCAAAGTAATTCTCCTTTGAAAAACTGAAAGGGAAAAAAGACACTGCATTTAACATAACAATGGAAAGGAAAATTCCAGGAACTAAAGATATATCAAGAAGAAAGCAAGCAAGCCTGTACTTACTAGATGCCAGCAGCTGCTCCCAAGTTGTGATAACCAAAAATGCTTTCAGACGTGGCAAAATTGCACCCAATGAGAGCCACCGGTATAGATATGTGTATCCTTGTTTCCTGTTTTGCATGCTGTAATAAAGCCATGATGCTTGGAGCCATAGCAGCTACCTTGTAATTATGAGGAATGATGCCACAGAGGTGCTGAGGCTGGTAGAATTTGCTGCATCAGCCCTAGAACTACCTTCCTAACAGAAATTATCAGCCTCCCTCTATGTAAGCCACTTTAGTCATGTGCTCTGTTACTGGCAGCCAAGAGCATCCTAGTGAATCCACCAATGACCTTATTCCCCTGCTTAAAATCTTTCATTATTTCTGCATTCAACACTAATTTCAAATTCTATAGCTTAACACACAAAGACCTTTGCCTCCCTCCTCTGCCTTTCCCACCACCCATCTTAGCACACACTTTCCCCTCTTGAGCCAGAGTCCTTTGAATCAGACCTGAGATTTTCTGCCTCCTGAGTTTCTCGTTTGCTGGCCCCTCCACAGCATGTCCTCTTTCCTCTTCTCTCCCTGTTCTCACCCCTATGCACTTTTCAAAACTTAGCCAAGCCACTTCTTCCAGGAGGTTTTCCCTAAATCTCCATGTGACAGTTTTGAAATATGGTCCCCAAGTTAGTTAACAGTCCTCTAATAGAAAGTGATCATGTGTTCCCTGGGGCAGGAATTTGGGCCTCTGTGACCTTTCATAGCTCTGGGCACCAAAGCAGTGTATAATTGACTAATCCAGGGAGGAGTGTTATTCAAGGACACACAGGTGACCTTTGTGGTAAGAATGTGCTATGGGTGACATGAGCTGGCCAGAACTGAAGGCATGGAACCCAATTTAGCCCAACTCATCTCAATCCAACCAGCTAATGCTGCTTATCTTTCCAGTCTCAAACCTTGATGTTCCTGCCTCTTACACCATGCACCTCACCCACACTGAACCCCCTGATGGCCCAGAATATCCACTAGTGCATGAATATTCCCCTAGATCTGGCATTCAGCCCCCTCTCCCTGGATAACTCCTACTTGTCCTTCTGATCCCCCTTTGACATCACCTCCTCCAGGAAGCCTAACCTGCCTCTTCAAAGCTGCTATGCTCAGAGCCTGCCCCTCACATAGAACTTACCACACTGCCTCCTAATCATCCATTTCCATATCTGTGACCTCACAAGTATCTTCACAGGTATTCCTTTTTGAACCCCCAGCACCTAGAGGTATGCTATGCCCAGCTGTGAAAACAAATGTTCACAGCCTGATTGTGCCAATGGCCTGGCTGAATATGCTATGCTCCTGTCCTCCCTTCAGCAAGCATGTATTGAGGTCTGACTCTGTACTGCAGGTATATGGCTTCCTCATTGCACTACTGTCATCATTCAGGTTGCTGGAAAAATCAGCTATTGAGGACCCACCATCTATGTAGTAAGTATCTAACTCATATTAATTTATTTAATCCTCACACCAACTCAGTAAAGTCGGTGTTATAATTATCTGCAATTCAGATAATAAAACTGAGGTGCCAAAATTGCATAGGCACTGAATGCTAGAACCTGGGTTTAAACCCCCGTGGTCTAACTCCAGACCCATGGAATTAACCTCTACTCTGCCTGGCTTCCTTCTTCATGACTGCTTAGACACTTGTTACAAATGCAGAGGCCTGGGCCCCATCCAAAGAGCTTCTGTTTCTACAGGTCTGGGTGGAGCCTGGGAACCTATATATGCCAGGAGCCTCACCTAGTGTAGTCCACACCAACTTCCCACTAAGAAATGATGGCTGTGGCTGGGCGGGATGGCCGACGCCTATAATTGCAGCACTTTGGGAGGCCCAAGTGGGTGGATCAAGAGGTCAAGAGATTGAGACCATCCTGGCCAACATGGTGAAACCCCGTCTCTACTAAAAATATAAAAATTAGCCGGGCGTGGTGGTGCGTGCCTGTAGTCTCAGCTACTCAGAAGGCTGAAGCAGGAGAATCGCTTGAACCCGGGAGGTGGAGGTTGCAGTGAGCTGAGATTGCACTGCTGCACTCCAGCCTGGTGACAGAGTGAGACTCCGAAGAAAAGAAAGAAAAAGAAAGAAAAGAAAAGAAGCAGAGAGAGAGCGAGGGAGGGAGGGAGGGAGGAAGGAAGGAAGGAAGGCAGGCTGTGCCCAAGAGCACCAAGGAGTATGTCTGAGACTACATGGTCTGGTCCTAGTGAGCCTGTCTTGCTGCATCACAACACACTCTGTGCTTACTACCCTCGCTCCCTCCACCAGGAATGCTGTCGCTAGCCTCCCTCCTTCCACCCACCCTTATGTGCTTGAGCAGCAAAGGAGTGAGACAAGGGAGTGAATATATTTTCCTCGGATCTTCCTCTGAGAATGAGTTAGCAAATGCCCCAGGGACATCCCTACGTGGCCTCTTCCGGAGGCCCTGGAGCAGGCAAAGACGCCTCAAGCTTCTCAAATGCCTGTTTAGTCTTTGGTGCTACCAGAAATATCCAAAAGCCTTCATCTAGGACCCTACACACATTTAGAGCACACCGCCCAGGGCTCAGTCCTCTAAGTGCTAACCTTGGTCATTCTCTGAAGCTCCTCACAGCCCTGGTGATTCCAGCAGTAATTTGCTCTGCTTGAGACAGATCTGACCCAGAGAGCAAGGCAGCAGTGGAGCTTGGTGTAGCCCGGGGCCACCACCTGCATTTCCCCAACTCTAATTGGTGATGCCGTGTAAGTGGGCTGTGTGTGGTTGGGTGAGCAGAGCAGGCTTCAAAGAAAAGGGCCTCCACCCAGGAGTCGGTGAATTTTACTGTCACCCGACATCAAGGGAGTATCATATGATATTTGGCAGGTGGCCCAGAACAGCTCAGCTGCCGGAGCTTGTTGTAGAGTGGACAGGTTAGCATTTGGGGGATTCCCCAGAGTGTGGCAAATGGAAGCTCAGGCACCTCTCTTAAAGCCACATCAAAGTTAAGTTGCTAGAAAGCTAGCAAGACTCCTGCAGGTAACAGTCCCTAAGGGGAGCCTGAAAGTGCGGGATGGGTGAAGGTGGGAAGGAAAAGCAGGTTGGGGATTTTCCCCTAACCAATATTACTTGTTTTGACTATTGCTACATAACAAAGTGCCCCAAAATGTAGAGGCTTAAAAGAACCATTTTATTAGATCTTATAATTTTGTGACCCAGAAAGTTGAGTAGAGCTTGGCTGGGTAACTCTATTTTTTTTTCCTTTTTTTTTATTTCTTTATTTTTTTGAGACAGGGTTTTTCTCTTGTTGCCCAGGCTGGAGTGCAATGGCGGGATCTTGGCTCACCACAACCTGCACCTTGCTGGTTCAAGCAATTCTCCTGCCTCAGCCTCCCGAGTAGCTGGGATTACAGGCATGCGCCACCACACCCGGCTAATCTTGTATTTTTAGTAGAGACGGGGTTTCTCCATGTTGGTCAGGCTGTTCTTGAACTCCCAACCTCAGGTGATCCACCCACCTCAGCCTCCCACAGTGCTGGGATTACAGGCGTGAGCCACTGCACCCGCCCTGGGTAACTCTTCCAAGTGGCATCAGTGGGGGTCCCTTGGTGCTGTTGAGCTGGTGGATACCTGGGGCTGAGCAGAGAAGGCTGGAGAGCTAGGCGCAGCTGGAACCATCTACCATTCCTGCATGTGGCCTCACCAGCATGGTGGCTTCATGTGTCGCACTTCGAAAGTGGTGGTCAGAGCACCAAGTGAGAATGTTCCAAGAGACCCAGGTGGAAGCTGCAAGGCTTCTTATGAGCTACAAGTCCAAGAATGTCACTCCAGCCACATTCTATCAGTCAAGCAAGTCAATGAGGGATTTCAAGGGAGTGGAATTGGACTTCATCTCTCAGTGGGAGGAGCAGTAAAGAATTTGCAGCCATATTTAACCTCCCATGATACAAGAGAGCTAGGAAAAACTTGCAAGGCTCATTGTGGGATTTTTTTACTCCATACATGTTTGTTGAGTTCCTGGTATGTGCCAGCTACTGCCCTAGGCACTGGAGAGACAGACCAATGAACAATACAGAGACATGATCCCTGCCCTTATGGAGACTGTAGTCTAAAAGAGTCTAACAAATAATTACGCAGTGCCTGGCACATGATATGTGTTCAGTCAATGTTGAATACTGGTATTATTATTGTTAAATAATCATTAGGGGCCAGACACATTGGCTTACACATGTAATCCCAGCACTTTGGGAGGCCAAGGTGGGAGGATCACTTGAGGCCAGGAGTTTGAGACCAGGATGGGCAACACAGCAAGACTTTGTCTCTACTAAAAATAAAAAAATTATCCTGGCATGGTAACATCCACCTTTAGTCCCAGCTACTAGGGAGGTTGAGGTGGGAGGATTGCTCAAGCCTGGGAGGAGGTCAAGGCTGTAGTGAGCCATAATTGCACCTCTGCACTCCAGCCTGGGTGGCAGAGCGAGGCCCTGTCTCAAAAAATATTAGTAATAACCATTGGGAAAAAAGATTTGCCATAAGCAGATAAACAACAGTGTGCCAAAGGGTACAATCAACAAAGAGGATTACATGTTTAGGAGGTTAACATTTAAGCCAAAGATGAGAAGTAATGAACTAGGGGAAGGGGGACGTGAGAGAGTTTTCAGGCAGAGGAAACAGTGTGTGCCCCACAGTGCAGTGGGCAAGGGCAGTGGGCATCGAGTTAGGCTGGGCAGGTGGCATAAGGACAGATCACCCGAGGCTCTGCCCTTGGGTGTTCATGTAGATCCACCTTCCACCTTTTCCACCTGCCTTGTGCTTCTGAGGACTGATGTGTATGAGCTGCACCCACAGTTCCCTTTTCTCCTGGTTGGCGACAGTGGAGGCACCAGCAGGAGTTTAGACAGGGGAACTCAGGGGTCGGGGGAAAAAGAAAGTGGAGTATGTATTTTTCTGGTTTCGTCTCTGCTGGACTGGGGTGAAAGTAACCATGTTCCTCTGCCCACGGCTGTGTGCCCTGCCAAGCAGCCCTCTCCTAAGGCTTTAGGTCTTACTAGGTTCTCCAATGGCTCTTTCTCCTATGTGCTCAGGCCTAGGATTAGTAGCAGCTTCCCACTATTGTTAGATCAGGGATACTTTACCATCCCTTCTTGCATTCCCTATATCCTGCCACACCTTTGTAAATGGTCTCTTCCTTGAATTGTCATCAATTACCTTTTTGAGAGAGCCACTTGATTCCTACTGGGACCCTGAATGATAGAGCTATAGCAGCTAGGATAATAATTCGGAACTTTATCCCAATAGCAATTCTAAGAAAATGATAACCTTCCATTCAGTGGTGTGCTAGTAAATTTTAACAACCAGGTCTCTAAAGGAAAAAGCTCTGATTTGCAGTGTTTGTCTTGAGGTCCAAATACTTCCACTTTGGCTGATTTCAAGCTTGCAACTTTCCTAAAAATAGAACACAAACTGGTATGAGCCAGCTCCTGCATACTTCTGCCCAGATCCAAAACCAACTCTCCTATCTTCCACCACTAGAGCCACCCCAGCCCAGAGATAGGCTAGGAGTTCCATCGGAGACGACAGGCCCTCTGGATGCTGCCAACCTCCTTTCTGCTCCTTTCCACAAGGCCCTGTTGCCTCCTGGGGAAAGGATGGCCCATGTTAGGCTTGAGAAGCCAGAATGGCCCTGAGCTCCTGTTCTGTTGGAATTTCAAAAGTGAACCCCAAGAGGGAATTAGAGATACAAGAGAACTATTGGGGAAAATTCCCAAAAGAGTAACGGGAGAAGGAGCAAAAGTAGGCAGGGAGAGCCTTTAGACAGAGATGCAGATCCAGCACCTATAAAAGGAAGGGGGAAGGAAAAAGGATCCAGGAGGTTGAACCTTAGACCGTAACATAGAAAGTTCTGAGGAAGTCTTGGCAAGGCCAATGGGGAGACCCAGGGCAAAAGTTGCCCTTAGAGGAGTTCTGCTCCAGGCAAGAATGGGAGGGCTCCAAGTTCAGTCATTAGCCAGAAGTAGTGGGGGGTGTGGGGAGACTGGCATGTGGCCTCAGTGTTCATGGTGGAAGTAGCTGAGGCCATCATTCCACCATGCATCCTGCAGCAGGGTCTCCTGAAGGACAGCTGAGCGGGCATGTCCATGGCTGCTGCAGGGACTCACATCCACTGGTCCTGCTTCCAGGAGGCCTGCATCTCCCCAAGGAGTTCAGAAACCATCTATTTTCTCCTGAACCCTAACCACTCACTGAAAAAGCCCCAAAGTCCCAGAGGTGCCCTGGGCCCAATTCTGCTGACTCAACGTCTTCTGTATGTAATGGGCACTGTCCAAATTGGAGTCTGGCTGACACCTCCAAAAGCTTATGGCACTCCCTTCATGATCCTTTGCCACACAAAACCCTTCCCTTAGGGGTTCCGGGGATGGAATCCATCCCAGAGAAGATACCTTCTATGCCAGACTCTTCAAATCCAGCTTTGCCCACAGTGCTGGACCTAGCTGGGCCTCTGAATTCAAGCCCCCATTCCAATGCTTTACACTCACCTGGGGCTTTCTCAGTCACCATGCCCAGATGCCCAGGAGACCAGGGAAAGAAGCCCAGGCCTGGCACCCCCATGACTCCTTCTGGCATCAGCCGCCTAACCCCCATCCTCTGTACCTCTAACTCCCCATATTCCTTTCCCCTCGCAGGACCCCAGGCTCCAGCTTCACTGAGATATGGCTGTATCTTCTGATTTTAAAAGGACTGTCCTAAGGAGTCCTTGGAAGCCATGCTTCAGCCCAAAGGTTCTCAGCAAGGAAGTTGAGCAACATCCCATAAGAGAGAAGGGAATGCAGGGGAATGTCCCACGTGAATGTTCACCAAAGGGTGAACTCAGTAGAGGAAATTTTTAATAATCAAGTGGTTTGGATGATCCACTCTGTGAGTCAGTTAGCTTCTTTCTCCAGACACTCCTGTCATCTCCCAACAGATTCATGGACAAAGTGGCCATGGTGGCAGGAATTGAAGTTATGCATGGGCTCAGCAACATGGACTTACACTCACCAAGGCTGACCTGGCTGCAGCCTCTGCTGAGCATTCAGTTGGCCAGAAGCAAAGATCAACACTGAGTCTCTGATAGGGACAATTCCCCAGAGTGATCAGCCAGCTTATTTAGTGGTAAGCTGACTACACGGGACTGTTTCCATCATGGAAGAGGCAGTGTTTTGTTCTTACTGGAATAGACACTTACTCTGGACACAGATTTGCTTTCCTCCCATTCCCCCCACCAAAAAGGATTTGCTTTTTCTGAATGCAATGCTTCTGCAAAAAATAAAAAATAAAATAGTAATAATACCATCTGTGGACTTGAAGAATACTTTTTCCACCATCATGGTATTCCCACATAACATTACTTCTGAGTAAGGAACTCACTTCACACCAAATGAAGTGTGGCAGTGGGCTTATGCCTATTCAATTTACTGGACTAACCATATTCCCCATCATCCTGAAGCAGCAGGCTTGATAGAATAGTGGAATGGCCTGTGAAGACTCAATTATGGTGGCAGCCAGATGGCAATATCTTGTAGTACTGGGGAAGCGTCCTCCAGGAGGATGTGTGTGCTGTAAATCAGCATCCAATATACATACTGTTTCTCCATAGCCAGGAGTCACCGGTCCAGGAATCAGGAGATAGAAATGGGAGTGGCACCACTCACTATTACCATAGGTAATCCCCTAGCAAAATGTTTGCTTCTGTTCCTGTGACCTTATGCTCAGCTGGTCTACAGGTCTTAGTTACAAAGGGAGGAATGCTTCCACCAGGAGATTCAACAATGATTCCATTGAATTACAAGTTAAAACTGCCACCCTGCCACTTTGGGCTCCTCTTACCTATGAATTAACAGGCAAATAAGGGAGTGCTGTGTTGGTTGGGATGATTGATCCTGATTACCAAAGGGAAATTGGGCTGCTACTACACAATAGAAGAAGACAAAGTATATTTGTAATACAAGAGATTCCTTAGGGCACCTATTAGTACTACCATGTCCTGTGATTAAAGTCAATGGAGAACTACAACCGAGTTCAGGAAGAACTGCTAATGGCCCAGGTTTCAGAAATGAAGATTGGGGTCACCCACCAAGCAAAGAACCATGGCAAGCTTAGGTGCTTACTGAGGGCAAAAGGAATAAGTCATGGGTAGTGGAAGAAGGTATCTATAAATAGATACAGCTATGTTATATAAACAGCTATGACCATATGACCAGATGCAGAAATGAGGACTATATATGAGTATTTCTTTCTATTTTGTTATATGTTTGTACGGATAGATATGCATTAAGCAAATATTTTTGAGTTTTTCCCTCTTTATACTCTTATCATCTAACATAAGATGTATTAACAGTGATTGACTTTACGTCCTAGTATTTAAGTTACAAGGTATCTAGGGAAAGAACTACTATCACTCAAGGACACTGCAACCTGTTCCAGGGAAAAGGTTAGCACAATTTCAGTTGTATCATGTTAATAGAAAGTATGACTTTCTTATTGTAAAGATAGATATAGATATAAATATAGACGATAGCTGTAGATATCCATTCTTCTGGTTTTGTTTCTTTGGTGGAACGTTTATTTACACACACCTCAATAAAGGTGTATACACAAACACAAAAACTTTGTCAGGGACATTGGTCATGAGTATTCAGTCCTCAGCCAAGTGGAAGTGAAAAGTAGCCAGGCACCATTTCCTCTTTTTTGCTAAAAGTGGGAAATGGAATACGTATACTGCATGTTATATAGAAGTAAGAGTGAAAGTTTTTTTTTTAACATCATTGTCACTGAAATTAGAAATTGGGAACTAAGAT
The DNA here is from genome assembly GCF_000001405.40 of Homo sapiens. NCBI lineage: Eukaryota > Metazoa > Chordata > Mammalia > Primates > Hominidae > Homo > Homo sapiens. The sequence continues at coordinate 46,059,541 of NC_000003.12, read as the reverse complement.
TTTCTTTCTGAAATCAACTAGCAAATTCAAATGTTCACAGGCTGCAATTTGTGGGACTGAACCCTGAGACTGTCTATAAATAATGTGATTGAGAGTTTAAGTACCTATTTTTCCTTCCAAGCAAAATGAACAACCAAGTGCAATGCTCCAAGTTCTGCCTACTGGGAGTATTTCTTCTCATCACTGTGGTTTAGGAATGACCCAGAGAGAAGATGTATTGCTACACCTGAACATCTTGGGTGATGCCTGCATATTGTGCACAACCAACTATAAGCAAACTTGAGTTTTTCTCTTCCTCATTCAGCTAATCACAGGGAATTCTTCATGAGGCCATAGGTACAGGCTGAGACAGAGAAGGCAGTGTAGGAAGAATCAGCTCTATAGGTATATGGGCCACTTCCTCAGCTAACTTTCTTGTGCCTTCAAGGCTGGCTCGGGCCTGTCTCATATTTACCATTTCCATTTGATGATGGAGTGCTATTGTGCACACCCCACCTTAGGATTTAGTGGGTCAGACAGCAGTAAAAGGGCTGCTTCTGCTGGCAAAGAAGACTCAACAATATTTAGGGATGTAATGACCCCACCTTCCTTAGGATCTTTTCATATGTCCCCACTCTGATTTTGAAGAGCCCATTACTTCCCAATCAATGCCTTCACTCTAACAGAAGACACCCTATGGCCGGTCATCATGGCTCACACTTGTAATCCCAGCACTTTGGGAGGCCAAGGTGGGTGGATCCCTTGACCTCAGGAGTTCAAGACCAGCCTAGGCAACATGGTAAAACCCTGTTTCTACAAAAATACAGGAAAACTAGCTGGGCATGGTGGCACCCGTCTATAGTCCCAGCTATTCAGGACTACAACTACTCAGGAGGCTGAGGTGGGAGGATCGCTTGAGCCCAGGAGGTAGAAGCTGCACTAAGCCATGATCTCACCACTGCACTCCAGCCCTGGTGACAGAGTAAGACCTTGTCTAAAATAAAATAAAATCAGAAGATGCCCTGCAACGTTGTGAATTCAATTTGCATTGTAATACAGCCACTTGCAGGATAAGACTCAGGATTTGGTTTTCAGAAATTCCAGTCCTGCATCTACAGAGACAGGGTTTCTTTAAGGACAGACATAGAAGCTTTTGGATCATATATGTGGAGCTCAGCTGGCAATTTGAAGCCCTGAGTTCATCCTTTTCCTTCTCCACTTTCTCTAACATAGTCAGGAGCAACCAGCCAATCTCACTATACACCTTATTTTGACTAAATGCCCCAAAGGTATCAAATACATGATCACCAGAACCTTACCTTTAATAAGCATTTGATCAGGAATATCCAGGAATATTTTGCCACCTCATTCCATGCCCTCTTTACCAATGGAAATAGAGTCATTACTGGCCTTAAATTGAATCATACGAGAGAGGCAATTCAGAAAATTCATCCTTAAGATTTTGTTCTTTTAGAACCACTTCCATTACCTAAATCCATATGAGTCAGGCTTTCACTAGAGAAACAGAACCAGTAGGATATCCAGTAGGATGTAGGAGATAGGTAGCAAGATAGATGATCGATAGATGATAGATACATAGATGGCAGATAGATAGATAGATGGATGCGTAGATAGATAGATAGATAGATAGATAGATAGATAGATAGATAGATAGATAGACAGACAGATAAGATGATAATAGGTACTAGATAGAGATTTATTGCAAGAAATTGTCTTACACAATTGTAGGGACTGATTAGGGAAATCCAAACTCTGCAGGGCAGCCATCGGGAAGAGCAGGCTGGAACTCTCAGGTAAAGGCTAACTGCAATCCACAGGCAGAATTTCTTCTTCAGGGAAACCAGTTCTGCATTCACGCCTTTCAACTCTAGGAGGAATCGGGCCTCCTAGAGTATTAGGAATAATTTCCTTTCCATAAAGTAAACCGATTGTAGATGTTAATCACATCTACAACACCTAGAATCATGTCTGATTGAATAGCTGTGGAATACAGCCTAGCCTAGATGGCACATAAAACTGGCTATCACAAGGTATAATTAAAGTACAATAAACTGCACCTATTTAAAGTGTGTCTTCTGATTTATTTTAACATATGTGGAAACCCATGAAATTATCACCAAAATCAAGACGCCAATTTTTTCATCATCCCCAACAGTTGCTTTGCGCCCCTTTATAATCCATCTTTCCCTCATCCCAAACCCCAGGCAACCACTGATCTGATCTGTTTCAGTCACTATAAATTAGTTGGCATTTTCTAGAACTTTACATAAATGGAATCAAGCCAGGTGCAGTAGCATATGCCTATGGTCCCAGCTACTTGGCTAGCTGAGGCAGTTGACTCTCTTGAGCTCAAGAATTTAAGTCCAGCCTAGAAAACATAGCAGGACTCACCTCTAAAAACTAAAAACGGAAAACAATGGAATCATACATTATGTACTCTTTCTTGCTTCTTGCATTTAGCATCATTATTTTGAGGTTCACTCACATTGTAGGGTGATGATGAATCTGTTTCTTTTTAATGCTGAGAGTATTTCACTGTGTGGATATTCCACAGTTGATTTATCCTTTCACCCACTGATGGACACTAGGGCTGCTTTAAGTTTTGCTTTATTACAAGTAAAGCTGCTACGGTCTTTTGTGAGCAAATGTTTGCACGGAAATTGTTTTTGGCTTTCTCTAGTAAATACCTAGGAGCCAGATGACTCCTAGGTAAACAAACACATGGGTGTTTGTTTAACTTTCAAAGAAGCTGCCAGCCAGGTACAGGGGCTCCAAGCCTGTAATCCCACCACTTTGGGAAGCCAAGGTGGGCAGATCACTTGAGTTCAGGAGTTGGAGACCAGCCTGAGCAAGATGGCGAAACCCCATCTCTACAAAAAAAAAAATAAATAAATACAAAAATTAGCCAGGTGTGGTGGCATGCGCCTGTAGTCCCAGTTATTTGAGGGGCTGAGGCAGGAGAATTGCTTGAGTCCAGGAGGTTGAGGCTGCAGCGAGCTGTGATTGCACCACTGCACTCTAGCCTGGGCAACAGTGTGAGACCCTGTCTCAAAAAAAATAAAAGAAAGAAAAACTGCCAAACTGCTTTCTAGAATAATTGTACCATCCCCCCAAGTTTTAAATTTGTCACCCAAAAGTCCTTGATTGGTATGTGGGTCATAAATTTTGTGTTAAAAGAAGTATTGAAATGAAAACTTGAGGCTGGTTGCAGTGGCTCACGCCTGTAATCCCAACACTTAGGGAGGCTGAGGCAGGTGGATCACCTGAGGTCAGGAATTTGAGGCCAGCCTGGCCAACATGGTGAAACCCCATCTCTACTAAAAATAAAAAGAAAAAAAACGAACTCTTGAAATGCTAGTCTGACCCCTATATAACAAGCACTGCACCTACACCACACATTTCTGAGAGCAGTAGGAAGAAGAGTGGAGGAAGACAGTCCCAGCCAGCCTAAGGAGTCAAGAGACTGCTTAACAACCAATCCCAACCCCAAGCCCAATCTTGGAAACAAGTGTGGCTCCCCTTAAACCAAGCCCTAGAAACCTGAGACTTTGGAGCCAGACAAGTTGGACTGAATCCCACTCAACCACCATTTTCTTGCTGATTAACTGTGAGTGACTTTAACCTCTGAGCACCTCTGCTGGCTTATCTGCAAATTTCAAATATTGATTGTCTCTTCTTCATAGTGTTGTTAAGAGATCTGATTAAGTTGATGCTTGGCAGAGTGGTGGTGGCTCCCTTAACTCCATGTTTCCACATGGGCCCTACTGCTGGACAAGCAGGGATCCTTCAAGGTACCTTGAAATTACGGAATCCAGGTCTCCAGAGGACCCTCTGAGGTACTGTAACTGTAATAGGTTCATTGCCTGATGCACAGAGCAAGTCAGTACACCAAGACACCGGGTTGCAGCAGAGAAAGAGGTTTAATCATAGGGCCACTGAATGAGGAGATGGGAAGAAACTTCAAATCTGTCTCACTGAGGAGTTTGTGGCTAGGGTTTTTAAGGGTTTTGGAGTGAGCCAAAGTGTGGAGACTGTTGACTGGTCAAAGAGTGCAGGGTGAAGTCATGGGACAAGAGGATGAAGAAACTGTATTTTCATTATGATCCATTCGTCTGGAGGGGTCTTCAAACTAGTTGGCAACAGCTGTTTGGCTGGAATTTGGGATCTGGAAAACATCTTAGAAATTCTTAAACAAAAACCTTCTGATTTTGTTTATGATTGTTTTGTTCATGTACATGACTCAGATCTTATCTATCTTAAATAAAAGCCTTATGATTCTAACATCAGAAATCCTATCTATAGGAACAACAGGGATGCCAATGGTCAGTATCAAGTGCTACGTGACTTTTGGTTACAAAGAAGTGAGTGGAAGTGTACCCTGATTAATGCTTCATTATATGTATTTCTGTCCAAAATTCTTGTTAACTCTGCAAGGATGGCTTCAGCACTCTGTCTACTTCTTCCTGGCCTGAACTCAATACACTGCAGAGGGCAACAAGGGATATAACTTAAGAGAGACCTTCTTCCTCCCACCCTGAGTTACATATGCCTTTTCTGCTAAGGATTCCACCAGTGATCGATTTCCTTAGGTCAGTTTTTCCTGATCTTGGCTGACCATTGGCTCCTAGGTGCATTTGACTGATCATCCGTGTCTGTGGACCACTTCTTATTCAGGTGGCAATGCTTCCCAGCACAAACCAATGAGATGCCTGACCCCCTCATTCATCATGATTGCTTCCTTGCCCCTCCCTAGTTCCTGTTTTTTTACACATTGTTACATTTCTTTCCTGCTATATAAACCTCTAGTTTTAGTTGGTCAGGGAGATGGATTTGAGACTGAGCTCCCATCTCCTCAGCTGCAGCACCTGATTAAAGCTTTCTTCCTTGGTAATACTCGTCATCTCAGTCACTGATTTTCTGTGCAGCCAGCAGCAGTACCTACACCAAACCCCTGGTGTTTCGGTAACAGTAATCCATCACACTCGCCCCCCCCTCGTCCTTTTGAGTGTCCATTGTCTACCATTCCACACTCTACACTCTTGTGTACACATTATTTAGTTCCCACTTTGCAGGGAGCCGAACGCCCGTGGGACTGACCAACTCAGCATTCCACTGGATGCTATATGATCAAACAACAAACTGTTTATCATGAACGCAGGATCTGGGCAAACTCACGACTGCTCCCACTGCCAGAAGGTTTGCTGAGGGCAATCGCTTCCTGGCCTCAAGCTCCTTGAGGTTATCTACTGGGACATCTAGAGAATGCAGTCTTGCAAGCCTACTCTGGACCAAGCAGCTGACCCCTTCTTCCACACCCACCTTCTCGCTATCTCTTTTGCCTAATAAATATGGAGGGCTGTGTAAAGCTCAGGGCCCTTGTCCACTAGAGGCAAGGTGCTCCCTGACCCCTTCTTCCAAATATGCTCTTTTGTCTTTGTCTTTTATTCCCGCGTTTGCCCCCCTTTGTTCAGTCCCCCTAGGTCCATGTGGGTTACATAGTGGCACCCCAGAAAAGGGACTTTGAGGACGTGAATGAAGAAGATCTGCTGGAGCAGAGGAACTGAAACTGACAAGGCGAACAGGGAGCCCGGGATGAGTCTGCCAGCAGCGGATATAATTATGGTCAGTGCCCTAAAGAGCTACTGGGAGCAGTGCCTTAAAGTAGTACTGGGAATGGGAAGTTTTCTGAATCAGGGTAACATGGGGCAGAATTGGTCTGTTGAAGAAAAACATTATGTGCAGTTGCTTAAAGTTTTGTTGAAACAAACTGGTGCTCAGGTTAGTTCTCACATTAACTAAGATGCTATGGGAGGTTATTATGCATAACCCATGGTTTCCACAGGCAGGCACTCTTGATGTGGAAAATTGGGACAGAGCAGGAGAAGGATTAAAACAGGTTCATCAAAAAGGTTTTAAAGTTATTCTTCAGTTTTCTCCTCTTGGAGTTTAGTTCGTACTGTACTTCTGCCATTATCTCCTTATTATTCTGCGGGACAGCAGGCTGAATCTAAAAATCTGAAAGAATCTGTTGTCCCACCCACAGCTCCAATTGAAAATAAAAAACAGGAGAGGGAGGATAAAAATTGGCCTATACCGCCCCCTCCAGTTGCAGAAACATCTGTACCGCCTCCTTCGGTGGCAGAAACAGAGACCCCAATACAAAGAATTTTACGTTCTGCTGCCATGGCTGGAGAGCCCTTAGGACCTCGTGCTTTTCCTATTTCCGTAAGTCCTGATCCAAATAATCCACAGCAGCTTAATCATGAACACACTCCACTAGAGTTTAAGTTGTTAAAGGAATTAAAAGCGAGTGTGGTAAATAATGGCGTACAGAGCCCATTCACTTTAGGATTGCTAGAATCTGTGTTTGGTGCTATGTGTCTTCTACCCTTTGATGTGAAACACTTGGCGCAAACTTGCTTGTCTGCTAGCGCATATCTGACATGGAATTTAAACTGGCAAGAACTGGGTGCAGACCAGGCTGGATAGAACCATGCTGCTGGAAACGGAGACATTATAAAGGATATGCTATTGGGTAATGGCCCTTATTCAGACCTGGAACATGAAATGATACTCACAAATGCTGCTTATCAGCAGTGCACACAGGCCACTAAATGCGCCTGGGCCACAATTCCTTAAGAGGGAGTCCCAGTATAATCCTTTTTACATATCACGCAAGGGTCGCAAGAAACCTAGGCACAATTTCTTGCAAGATTACAAGATGCAGTGAAGCGTCAGATTCCTCATACCTTGGCTGCAGAAATGCTAACCTTTACTCTAGCTTTTGAGAATGCAAACGCAGATTATGAACGCGCACTGGCACCGGTGAGGTGTACAAAGAACTTGGGAAATTTTCTCAGAGCTTGTCAGGATGTAAGAACTGAACTTCATTGCTCTTCAATGCTAGCTGAAGTAATAGCTAATTTAGTAGTTGACAAATCTAAAAGGAGCCAAGGGTCAGGCTCTAAAATGGGAAAGTGTTATAATTGTGGAAAAACTGGATATTGTAAAAAGGAATGCCACCAGATCTCAGGACAGAAAGGATCTTACAATGCAGTGCCCCACCCAGGGGAAAAAATACCAGGACTGTCCTCCCTATAACAAAGGAAATCACTGGGCTAATCAGTGCCACTCAAAATTTCATCAGAATGGCACCCCCCTGTTGGGAAATGAGACGGGGGCCTGGACCCGGGCCCCACAAACAATCAGGGCATCCCCAGCCCAGACCTCAACCCCGTTTCAGGCATGGGTTCCCAGAGGCATATTGATTCCCTCACCCCAGGAACACCAGGAAGTGCAGGATTAGATCTCCCAGCCAGACAAAGGGTTACATTAGTTGGGGGAGACAAACCCATCAAAGTTCCCACCGGTATTTGGGGACATTTACCAGCAGGATATATGGGACTAATTTTAGGCAAAAGCCGCCTTAACTTGCAAGGCATTACTGTAGTCCCAGGAGTTGTTGACTCTGGTTATGAAGGAGAAATTCAAGTTTTTTTTTTGTTTTTGTTTTTTTGAGATGGAGTCTCACTTTGTTGCCCAGACTGAAGTGCAGTGGCGCAATCTTGTCTCACTGCAAGCTCCGCCTCCCGGGTCCATGCCATTCTCCTGCCTCAGCCTCCCAAGTAGCTGGGACTACAGGCGCCCGCCACCACACCTGGCTAATTTTTTGTATTTTTAGTAGAGACACAGTTTCACCGTATTAGCCAGGATGGTCTCAATCTCCTGACCTCGTGATCCGCCTGCCTCAGCCTCACAAAGTGCTGGGATTACAGGCGTGAGCCACCGCTCCCAGCCAATTCAAGTAGTTTTAATGTCACAAGATCTTTGGGTTTTTGAACTGAGAGAATACATAGTGCAATTATTACTTATTCCCTGCAAATTACACCCTTCTCCACAAAAGGAGAAACAAGGAAATAAAGGGTTTGGGAGCACAACTACGCGGGAAATCTATCTACCCCAACCCATAGCCTCTAATAGACCCACCTGTGTAGTACAAATTAAAGGAAAGAAATTTTATGGGCTTATGGATATGGGAGCTGATGTGTCAGTAATATCTAAAGACAATTGGCCCCCATCCTGGCCCTTGCAATTAACTTCTACGTCCTTAGTGGGAGCAAGAACAGCTCAAAGTGTTCAACAGAGTGCTGAGATTTTACCTTGTCTTGGTCTGGATGGACAGTCATGTACTTTTCAGCCTTATGTCACAAATATAGCTATCAATTTATGGGGTCAAGACTGACTTACAGCATGGGATATGAGACTTACAAATAAAAACTTTGATAACCCAGGATTTAAAATGTTGAAGAACATGAGATATCAGAGTGGAAAAGGTTTGGGGAGGTTTCTACAAGAAAACCCTAATCTGTTATCAGTAACTGGAAAAACAGATAGAAAAGCAGCTAGAGCGTCAGAATTTCTGACGGGGGTCATTGATATTTCTCCTCCGCCTAAGCCCTTACCATTAGAATGGCTTAGTGACAAACCTGTGTGGGTGGATCAATGACCCCTAACACAGGAGAAGCTAGATCAACTTCATCTGTTGGTAAAAGAGCAATTGAATGCAGGACATACAGAAAAGTCAGCCCCTGGAATTCACCGGTATTTGTTATTCCAAAAAAAGTCCAGAAGATGGTGATTGCTGCATAATTTGAGAGCTATTAATGCACAAATTAAACCGATGGGCGCATTACAGCAAGGTTTACCTTCCCCAGTGGCCATTTCAAGAGACTGGCCTCTTGTAATTATAGATCTTAAGGATAGTTTCTTTACTATACCCTCCTTACACGAGAAGGATGAGCCTCTATTTGCCTTCTCTGTGCCTTCTGTTAATCAAAGAGAACGTGTCTCACTATCAATGGGAAGTTTTACCTCAAGGCATGCTTAACAGTCCCACATTACCTCAGCATTTTGTGGGAGGAGCATTAAAGGAGCCTCAAAATATGTTTCCCACTGCGTATATCATTCATTTTATGGATGATATTCTTTTGGCCCCTCCTACAGATCAAATTTTACATAAATTATTCAGAGAAGTAAAGCGAGCTCTTGTCAAATGGAATCTCAAAATTGCTCCAGAGAAAGTGCAAACAACTTCCCCATACCAATACTTAGGAAGTATTGTTAATGGAGAGGAGTGTACGGCTTCAGAAAGTAGTTCTCTGTAAAGACAGGTTACAGACTTTAAATGATTTTCAACAATTAGGAGATATTAACTGGCTACGACCGATGTTAAGTATTGCTGCTACCTATCAACTTACACATCTTTACCAAACCCTGCAAGGAGACTGTTCTTTAAATTCGCTGCAGCAATTAACTAAAGAGGCAGAAGCCGAATTACGGCTTGTAGAGCAAATGTCACAGCAGAGACATGCCTCACCGCTACAACTGCAAAAACCTTTGCTTTTGTTTATTCTTCCTACCCCCAACTCTCCAAGAGGACTTTTGGGCCAGTTCATAGACAAGTCTGTAACAGTAATAGAATGGCTCTTTCTACCTAATCAAACAGTCAAAACCTTGCAAGTTTATCTTTCTTTAATTACACAAATTGTGACTATGGGCAGGCATAGGTCAAGAATGCTTATGGGATATGATCCTGACAAAATTATTGTTCCTGTAGACTCCCAGCAACAAGCCACAGCTTGGGAAATGTCAACTGCCTGGCAGACTACTTTTGCAGACTTCGTGGGTGCTATAGATAACCACTACCCTTCAGACAAAATTTTACAATTTTATAAAATCCATTCTTTCATTCTTCCTGTGATTATTCATTATTCATCACAAGCCTACTCCAGGTGGACAGACTTATTTTACTGATGGTTCTTCCAAAGGTCATGCAGCTATCTATGGACCAAAACATACTCAAACAATAATGACCTCTGGGGTTTCAGCTCAATCCTCAGAGCTAATTGCAGTCATTCAGGTGTTAGAGCTCACAGCTTCAGATCCTATCAAAATTGTCTGTGATTCAGCTTACGTTGTAAATGTAGCCAGTCACATAGAAACTGCTACAATTAAAAATACACTAGACCCAGAACTGCTTATTTTTAAGACTTCAACAAGTTATTCGCTCTCATGCAGCTTCTTTTCATATTTCTCATATTTATTCTCACACACAACTTCCTGGGCCACTATCTCTAGGTAATGAGAAAGCAGACAAACTGATTGGTTCTGTGTTTCAGCAAGCTCAAGCATCTCATGCGCTTCTGCACCAAAATACTTCCGCCCTTACTCACATGTTCCATTTATCTCACAGGCATATTAGGGCTATAACACAAACCTGTCCTACTTGCCAGCATGCCCCTGGAGCCACACCTGTAGAAGGATGTAATCCACGAGGTTTGGCTCCAAATGAAATTTGGCAAATGGATGTTACACACACAGCAACCTTTGGTAAGCTATGTTCATGTGACTATAGACACTTATTTTCATACGCTGCATGTTATGTGCCAAACAGGTGAGACAGCTGGTCATGTACAGTGACATTGCCTATCACCATTTGCTCATATGGGGATACCTAAACAATTAAAAACTGGCAATGGACCCGCTTATACTAGTCACGCTTTTAAAAATTTCTTGCAGCTTTGGGCTATAACCCATAAAACAGGAATTCCTTATAATCCTAGAGGACAAGGCATTATAGAGCAGGCACATCAAACATTACAATGCATGTTGAAAAGACAAAAAGTGGGTATAGGAGGCCAACTACCACCTCAATCAAAACTATATTTAGCCTTATTTACTTTAAATTTTTTGACTCCTGGTATGGATGGTAAGACTCCGGCAAAAAGACATTGGCAAGTGTTAGAGGAAAAGAGGAAAGTTTATCCAAAAATGTTACGGAAATCCCTGGAAGAAGGACAATGAAAAGGTCTGGTGGGTTTACTGAAGTGGGGAAGAGGATATGCTTGTGTTTTCACAGGAGATGGACAAGCCGTGTGGGTGCCCTCAAGGTGCATGCGACCACATAATGGGAGACTAGAGGAACCCAGGGTGGCCAACCATGGGCCCAGTCCCTCCGGTACGAGCCATGAGCCAGCTGAGCCTGAGTGCAAAGAGGGAGAGAAGGCCGACCAGAATCACAATGACATCAACCCCCGTAACCTGGGGACAACTCAAGAAAGCCACACAGGAAACTGAGAAACTACTGGAGTGTCAGGGACAGGCAAAAACCCCTGATTCCATGTTCTTGGCCATGTTAGCCATAATGTCCTGTGCGGTATGTTTTCCTGTGCAGAAGCAAAAACATATTAGGCATATGTTCCCAATCCCCCAGCAGTACGACCTGTACTTTGGAGTGACACTCCTCCTGAGATTTATCACAATCAGGGAGAGTGGGCTCCAGGATCCCAAACTCCCCCTGACATAGAACAGTTAGACTCTCAGAATAATGTCATTAATTATACCGCTCCACTGGAAGGGCTCCCTTTGTGTATCACCACAAAAACGTCACTCAGCCATAGCTGTCTTACAATTCAAGCTCAAACATGGTTGAGTCACTATGGTAAAATCATGTACTTATTAAGTCTTGGTTCTATTAACGTAACTGGTGTGCTAATCAACCATTCCCGGCCCAGTCGCCCTAATTGTGCTGACTATACAGAATGGATTCCCTTCAATAGTTCCTACCCCCGTCCATGGACCCCCTGTCCTGGCCCACTGGCTAGAAAACAATCTATGTTAACTGGAGACATTGCGGACCTAAAGGTCAATTAGATGGAAAAGACAAAAATCAGAAATCATGGCACAAACTGTGCTGGCATTGGTGGCAAGCTTTTAATTCTTCTTCTTTATACAACACTGGCATCCAATCCCAGTCTGCCACCCAGATTGCTTGGCATGGAGCAGGCTTTAGCCCACCTCTTCCTCAGTGGCATTATCTAGGAAGGAAAGGACCAATTCAAGAGACAATATGGAATGCAGCACTCCCATTTATGAATAGCAACATCTGGGTTGGAATACTATCCAATAATAGCAATAGTAAGCCACACAGTCTTAATGTTACATTTGTAAAGAATATCACCACTCAATTTACAGTTTGTGTTTTTAATCCTTATGTCTTTTTGGCAGCTAAGAAGGACCAGCTCCAGGTAAACAATACCAAATTGACCTGTAAATCTTGCCAGTTATATCACTGCATTAATCATAGCACATTGCAAACACGTAGTATCTCTACTTTGATGATTTTAGGTTGCATCCCTTGGCTATGGATTCCTGTTAATCTGTCCGAGCCTTGGGCTGCCACACCTGCTTTGCATTTTGTGAAACTTCTTCTAACTTAGCTTACTCATCGTGTCTGTAGAGCCTTGGGCCTGATAATTTTTGCTATTGTTTCCTTGGTCACACTAATAACTTCTGTTGTGATGTCTTCTGTAGCTTTGCATAATTCTATTCAAACAGCTCAGTATGTGGAGAAATGGATGCACACAGCCTACCAAGTGTGGCTACTTCAGAATAAAATTAACACTGAGTTACAAACTGAAGTGGCAATGTTGAAATCCACGGTTCTATGGTTAGGGGAAAAGCACAAAGCTTGCAATTGCAGCAGCAATTGCGTTGTCATTTTAATCACACTCATATTTGTGTAACCAACTTAAAATATAACCAAAGTGAGTATCCATGGGACCTTGTGAAAGCCCATTTGCAGGGAGCTTTCACATCCAACATCACCTTTGATATTGGTGAATTATAAAACAAAATTCTTGATTTAAATAGGCAAACTCAAGAGTTTCAGCCTTCTTTAGAAGACTGGACCAAATTCCAGGAAGGCCTGGAGAGCCTCAACCCTTGGACCTATCTAAAGCACCACATTAACATCTTATATGTAGTTCTTGGAATAATGTTTTTTTGTCTCTGTCTTCTGTTTATAGTCTGTAAACTCAGATGGACTGCCAATCAAAAAATGAGAGCTGCTCAGCCTGGCCTTACATTCTTTCAATTAATACATAAACAGAAAGGGGGATATGCAGGGAGCCAAAGGCCCATGGGACATGACCAACTCAGCATTCCACTGGAGGCTATATGATCAAACAGCAAACTGTTTATCATGAATGCAGGATGTGGGCAAACTCACGACTGCTCTCACTGCCAGATGGTTTGCTGAAGGCAGTCACTTCCTGGCACTGAGTTCCTTAAGGTTATCTACTGGGACATCTAGAGAATGCAGTCTTGCAAGCCTACTCTGGACCGAGCAGCCGACCCCTTTTCCACGCCACCCTTCTCGCTATCTCTTTTGCCTAATAAATATGGAGGGCTGTGTAAAGCTCAGGGCCCTTGTCCACTAGAGGCAAGGTGCCCCCTGACCCCTTCTTCCAAATATACTCTTTCATCTTTGTCTTTTATTCCTGCGTTCGCCCCCTTTGTTCAGTCCCCCTAGGTCCATGCAGGTTATACCACTTGTAAGTGAGAACGTGCAATATTTATCTTTCTGTGTCTCACTTGTTTCACTTAAGATAATGGCCTCCAGTTCTCTCCATGTTGCTGCAAAAGACATGATTTTATTCTTTTTAACAGCTGAATGGTATTCCATTGTGCTTATATACTACATTTTCTTTATCCAATCACCTGTTGATGGACACTTAGATTGATTCCATATCTTTGCCTTTGTGAATAGTACTTCAATAAACATATGAGTTTAGGTGCTTTTTGATATAATAATTTCTTTCCTTTTGGGTACATACCTAGGAGTGGGATTGCAGGATCCAACGGTAGCTTTATGTTTGGTTCTTTAAGAAATCTCCATACTATTTTCTATAGAGGTTGTACTAATTTACATTCCCATCAACAGTGTTTAGGAGTTCCCTTTTCTCCACATCCTCACCAACATCTGCTATTTTTAACCTTTTAACTAATAGCCATTCTGACTGGTGTAAGATGATATTTTATTGTGGCTTTAGGTTTTTAAAAAAAGTTTTTTTTATCATGTTGAGGAAGTTCTCATATATTTCTAGTTTGCTGAGAGTGTTTATCATGAATGAGTGTTGAATTATGTTGAATGCTTTTTTCTGTATCTATATTGATATGATCATATGATTTCTCTCCTTTACTCTGCTGATGTGATGGATTACATTAATTGATTTTCAAATTTTCAACCAGACTTGTATATCTGGAATGTATCCCAGTTGGTGGTGGTATTTAATTCTTTCTTTTTTTTTTTCCCAAGATGGAGTCTCACTCTGGCGCGATCTCGGCTCACTGCAACCTCTGCCTCCTGAGTTCAAGCAATTCTCTGCCTCAGCCTCCCGAGTAGTTGGGATTACAGGCACCCACCAATTTTTTTTTGTATTTTTGGTAGAGACGAGGTTTCACCATCTGGGCCAGGCTGGTATTGAACTCCTGACCTCATGATCCACCCAATTCAGCCTCCCAAAGTGCTGGGATTACAGGTGTGGGCCACCCCACCCAGCCTAATTCTTTTAATACATTTAGGGGTTTTTTTTGACAATATTTTTGAGGCTTTTTGCGTCTATGTTTATGAGAGATACTGGTTTGTATTTTTCCTTTCTTGTAATGTGTTTATCTGGTTTGGTATTAGGGTAATGCTGGCCTCATAGAATGAGTTCATAAATGTTCCTTCTGCTTTTATTTTCTAGGAGAAAGTGTAGAAAATTAAGAAAGCTTAATAACTTCACTGATTAAGTAGTGTCTCCCTCTGTCACCCAGGCTGGATACCTTTTGGACAGGTTATTAATTATTGATTTAATTTGTTTAATAGCTATAGGCCTACCCATATTCTGTATTTCTCCTTGTGTGAGTTTTGGTAGTTTGTATTTTTCAAGGAATTGGTCTATTTCATCTAAGTTATCGGATTTGCAGGCATAGAGTTGTTCATTATTTCTTTATCATATTTCTAATATCCATGGGATTAGTAGTAATGACTCCTCTTTTCATTTCTGCTATAAGTAATCTGTGTCTTTTTTTCTGTGTAAGCTGGTCTAGAGATTAATCAATTTTATTGATTTGTTTCAAAGAACTAGATTTTAGTTTCATTTATTTTCTCTATTGATTTCTTGTTTTCAATTTTATTGACAATGTACAGAATGGGAGAAAATATTTGCAAATTATACACATAATACCAGAGTATATTAAAAAAACTGCTACAACTCAACAATAATAAAACTGACAACCTAATTAAAAGTGGGCAAAGGACTTGTATAGACTTTTCTCCAAATATATATTATACAAATAGCTAACAAGCACATAAAAAGGTACTCAATATAATAAGTCACCAGAGAAACACAAAATCAAAACCACAATGAGGGCCAGGCATGGTGGCTCATCCCTGTAATCCCAGCACTTTGGGAGGCCAAAGAGAGCAGATCACCTGAGGTCAGGTGTTTGAGACCAACATGGTGAAACCCCATCTCTACTAAAAATACAAAAATTAGCTGGGTGTGGTGGCTCACACCTATAATCCCAGCTACCTGGGAGGCTGAGGCAGGGGAATTGCTTGAACATGGGAGGTGGAGTTTGCAGTGAGCTGAGATTGCACCACTGCACTCTAGCCTGGGTGACAGAGCAAGACTCTGTCTCAAAAAACAAAAACAAAACAAACAAAAAAAACCACAATGGGGTACCACTTCATACCCACTAGGATGGCTACTATAAAAAAGTGGAAAACAACAAGTGTTGGCAAGAATGTGTAGAAATTGGAACCATCATGTTAACACACATAATTTTACTTCTTTGTTTTCAATTTGTATGCTTTAAAAAAACATTCTCTAATTTTTCTGGCTAGACCTTTTAGTATTATGTTGAATAGAAGTAGTGTAAGTAGGCATTCTTGTGTGTGTGTGTGTGTGTGTGTGTGTGTGTGTGTGTGTGTGTGTAGAGATGAGGTCTCACTATGTTGCCCAGGCTGGTCTCAAACTCCTGAGCTCAAGCAATCCTCCTGCCTTGGCCTCCAAAAGTGCTGAGATCACAGGAGTAAGCCATCACACCTGGCCTGTAAGTAGGCATTCTTATTTTATTCCTGATCTTAGGGCAAACGTTTTCAATCTTTTACCAGTGAGTATAAGATCAGCTGTTGGTTTTTCATATATGGACTTTATCATGTTGAAGTATTTCTTAGTCATACTTTTTTGTTTTGGTTTGGTTTGGTTTTTTGAGATGGGGTCTCGCTCTGTTGCCCAGGCTGGAATGCAGTGGTGTGATCTCGGCTCACTGCAACCTCTGCCTCCTGGGTTCAAGCAATTCTCCTACCTCAGCCTGCCGAGTAGCTGGGATTATAGGATATAGACCACCGTGTTGGCTAATTTTTGTATTTTTAGTAGAGACGGGGTTTCTCCATGTTGGCCAGGCTGGTCTTAAACTCCTGACCTCAGGTGATCTGCCTGCCTCAGCCTCCCAAAGTGCTGGGGTTACAGGCATAAGCCACCACACCTGGCCCTGGTGATAATTTACTGAGTGTTTTTATCATGAAAGGGTATTTAATTTTGTCAAGTGCTTTCTGTGCATCAATTGAGATGATCACATGATTTTATCCTTATATTCTATTAAAGTGATGCATTACATTATTGATTTTTTTATATTGAACCACCACTCTTGCATTCAGGGATAAATCTCTCTTAATCCAAGTATATAGCTCTTTTAATATGTTGTTGAATTCAGCTTGCTAGTATTTTGTTGAGGATTTTTGCATCTATATTCATGAAGGATATTGGACTTCAGTTTTCTTTTCTTGTAGTGTCTTTGGCTTTGGTATCACAGTAATGCTGGCCTCACAGATATAGATTAAGAACTGTTCCCTTCTCTTCAATTTTTTGGAAGGGCTTGAGAAGGACTGGAGTTAATTCTTCTTTAAATGTTTGGTAGAATTCACCAACAAAGCCAACTAGTCTTGGACTTTTCTTTATTGGGAAGTTTTTGATTACTGATTCAATATCTTTTCTTGTTATAGGTCCATTCAGGTTTTCTATTTCTTCTTCAGTCAGTTTTGGTAGATTGCATCTTCTTAAGAATCGGTCCATTTTATCAGTTACCCAATTTGTTGGCCTTCAATTGTTCATCATATTCTCTCATAATCTTTTCTATTTCTATAAAATCAGTAGTAATGTCCCCACTTTCCTTTCTGATATTAGTAATTGGAGTTCTCTCTCTATATATCTCTAACTGTCTCTTTACTCAATATAGCTAAATATTTGTCAATTTTTTTTAAAGAGCAAACTTTGATTCTGTTTATTTTCTCTATTGTTTTCTATTCTCTCATTTGATTATTTCTACTCTACTCTTTTTTGTTCCTTCCTTCTGCTAGCATTGGGTTAGTTTGCTCTTCTTTTTCTAGTTCCTTAGAGTATAAAGTTAGGTTGTTGATTTGAGATATTTCTTCTTTATAAAGTATAGGCATTTACAGTATAAATTTCCCTCTGAGCACTGCTTTAAAAGCAGCATCACATAAGTTTTGACATGCGTTTTTCTTTTCACTCACCTAAAGATATCTCCTATTTTCCCTTATGATTTCTTATCTGCCATAATAGTTGTGTTACTGAAACACCAGTGGTTCACTCTGGGTTCCACTGCTTACCTCACAGAAAGCCAGTCACGGAGACAATGAATATTGCCAAGGAAGAAGGTGTTAATTGGGTGCTGAAGCTGAGGAAATGGGAGCTCAGTCTCAAATCCATCTCCCTGACCAACTAAAACTAGGGGGTTTATATAGCAGGGAAGACATATAACAATGTACAAGAAAACAGGAACTAGGGAGTAGCAAGGAAGCAAGTATGATAAATGAGAAGGCTGGTGTTTCATTGTCTGAATACTATGATCTGGTGAGCTTCAGTTATTTGATACTTTTTGGGAGACCAGGGGATCCTTTCCTGGGGAAGGAACTCAGCTAAAACAAATGTAAGTTTCAAGCTTTAAGACCAGAAGGATCAATTTCTATGTTTATCCAAAAACAACTGTCTATGCGATCACTGGGTCGGCTTCAGTCCCCCCTTTCTATTTATAAATTCCTCAATCATGGGGAATCTGGTCATTGATCTTTCTGGCTGCTTCATGCTAAGGAGGGGCTTCGTGGGAAGGTCTATACCATGGGTGGCCTTGCAGCCACCCAGAAATCAAAGATTAATCTACTATAGAGTTTTCATCTGAAACACAATCTTTCTCTCTCCAGGCCCTCAGTTCCACCAAAGACAAATCATAGCAGGACCAATTTACCAGCAAAATAAGCTCCAGACCCTTCTACTTGGCCTGATTACTCACACAAAGTGCAACAAGAATCATTGTCCACATAGGCTCTCCTAAATTGGCTTTGCTGGAACCTCTCGCAAGGCCATTTCAGTCAAAGCCCTTAGAAAATAACCAATTCCTCCAACTGTGTCCCATTATAAGAGAAAACAGCTTCTTATTGAACTTATGCAAATAAACACATTGCCATGAATCAGGAATATTCACAAATAGTTTACAAATTCTGGAGAAATTAGGCAGAGAGAGAAATATGCCTCAAATTCTGTTTATAAAACTATACGCTGCTCAATATACAAAGCATATTTAAAGGCTATAAATGGCTCAAAAGAAAAAAATTCTGCAGACTCTGAAAAACAAACAAAAAAGAATCGGCAATATTTCAAACAAAAAAAGCCATAAAAAATATTTTAGTCCTCCATTAGTTTGATCCATGCAATCAACTCCTGCTCTGCTTCACACTGGGCTAGCAATCTTTATGAACACATCAGCCTTTCAATTAGTGTCCTACAAATTTTCTCTCTAATCTAATTCTTCAGAGTTATCAGACACATGCATTCAAGAGTCCTTTTCATGAACTCTTCCAAAGAATCAAGCCCTAGACTGAAGCTGATTATAAGTCACTTTTTGAGGAGCATCAAGGCAAAATAACAATTACAGATGACAAAAGTCTTAGGAGCCATAGCCAAAGACACAGTTGACAAGGAAATTTGGTTATTTCTGTGGCATACAACAATTTAACATAATAATCGTAATTATTACTGACAACATATATTAAGACATATCAGAATTTCAGGAATATCATATAATCCTGGAACACACATTAGCAACATATCTATATAACTATAACCCAAAGAAAGTTAAATACCACTTCACATTTGACAATGCTTGCTGTATAATTCTAACTTATAAAATAAGCCTAATAAGCCTAATAGATCTCTCTTGGACTTCAGGGAATTTAACATCCAAAAAAGTTAGTTTGAGGTCAAAAAGACTGAATTTGGAACTTGAAATTTTGCTATTGTAAAGTCTGTCAAATATCAAAGGCTTACAACACTTAATATAACAAAATAGGATCACAAATTACTATAAAATAATCATTTATTTAGCCAAAATTATAATATAAAATGTTTACTCTTTGATAAAGAGGAGTCCGTTTCCTATACAGTAAGACCTAATAAAAAAGGCATGAGGTCAATAAACCTGTCTCCCTTCCTTTATTTTGTTCTTCTGTGGTTTTACTCAAAAGGTAAACAAAAGTCTCTTATTATCTCTTGCATGAAAATTGTGTTCAAAAGAGAAAACCATATTTTACCTTTGTATGGGGTATTATTAACGTTAAAGCTAACTTTAATAAAACCTTATAAACAAATCTAATTTTAATCAGTTTTACCATAAGGTAAGATTTCCATAAACCTTTTGTAACCTTTTATAATTTTCTATTGAAAAACAGATCAATGCTCCTAGAAAACCCTGTTATTCTGACACACTGGCCCAGACACTGGCCTTGCGTAAGTGTGATTTTGATATTGTTTAATTTATAGAAAAACTCTATACTAATCTTATCCCTCAAAATTGATCCTTGCAATATCATGGACCTACCTCTTCTACAATAGTCCCTGGGCCTAGAGGGATGGAATAGTTTTAATTTCTGAACCTGCGTCTTAGGAAAACCGTTCATTTTGATTGTCACCTTCTCTTGGGTCTGAAAATAAGGCTTCAAATGGTGTTAATGCTCAAGATTTTGCAGGGGTCAGTGCCTTTTTCAGACTCAGGAGTCAAAGGCCTGTAACTTAACAGCACAAGGATTACTTAATAGATTATTTATACTACAGAAAGTCCTATCATTCTAACATGTCACAAATTAAAACATTGTGATTTGGTGTCTAGGAGTGACTGCCTGCAGTACTTCAAACCACCGGATTAAAGTAGTTAGGTTACGCATTGCACATGTCTAATTGCTAGCATTCTAGTGACAGAACTATGGCTAAAAGCATTAAAAAATGTGATAGGTCCTATGCCAAACTTATCAAAGTAAGACAATTAACTTTCCATCATTAAAGAAATGGTAAATGCAAGTATCAGTTTTGCAAATTCAGTATGAGAATATCTCCTTTCACTTAAATACCGTACAACAAAACAAGAACAAAGTAAAGCACACAATAATTTCTTTTCAGCTATTTAAAAGAGCATCATCACACATTTCCAAGATTGGTTTCTAGATACAGTACTGACAGCTGATTAGGTAACTTTCACCACAAAAATCTTCAAACCAGTGAAACACTTGCACATATGTTGTTTTCAAGTACACACATGAGGACCCATCAGTGATAAATGGCTTTGGGTCAAAGATAACTGGAAAGTCTCACTTTTTTTTTTTTAACCACTTAATCAAAGTGAATATCACTTAATTGTAATTAATTTGAAAAAAATTCCAATCAATATAATTTACTTAAGGATAAGGCCAATCTTTCCTTAGCATTAAGTTTATAGCCGTATCACAGTTTTCCCTCATTACAGGAAAAGATGTAAAACCAACTCAAATTGTTGATTGAATTGAATTACCTTGGAAATTATTCTCACCTACTTTTTCCAGTAAAATAAATAGTATACTATTTCTGCTTAGAACTTGTAAAAATAAGTCTTGTATTTTTTGGCCAGGATCTTTAAATCTCTCATAGTTCTCAAGATCATCAGGGGTAAGCAAAACCAATCAAATGTTAAATGGCTGGTGTTTATTAATTTTTGGAGGCTTGACAAAGGTAGCCTAGGAATTCTGGATAAACAGAACAAATGATGACTCGTTAGAAATGCATAGGAAACAAAATGTCTATTCAAAGAACCAAATAAAAGCCTTCAATTGCAAACTAAAAACATCAATAGTTTTATAGAGATGTATACATAAGTAAAACCCAAAAGAGAATAAACAACAATAATTGAAAATTAGAAGCAAAAATAAACAGGAAACCAACCCCAAATTTTTATCCTACTCAGTTTACCTTGGAGGCTAAAGTGTTACCTAGAGGTTAAAAAAACACACACACGGCCAGGCACGGTGGTTCATGCCTGTAATCCCAGCACTTTGGGAGACCAAGCCTGGCAGATCACCTGAGGTCAGGAATTCCAGACAAGCCTGGCCAACATAGTGAAACCCCACCTCTCAGAAAAATACAAGGCATGGTGGCACGTGCCTGTAATCTCAGCTACTTGGGAGGCTGAGGCAGAAAAATTGCTTGAACCTGGGAGGCAGAGTTTGCAGTGAGCCAAGATTGCACCATTGCACTCCAGCCTGGGTGACAGAGCAAGACTCCCTCTCAAAAAAAAAAAAAAACAAAAAACAAACCCGTGCACACAACATATATTTTATTCCTGGTGCACAGATTAACGTCTTCAAGTCAACTGATAGCACTATACATTTTTTGAAATTAAGAAATTCATCTAGGTACATGACCCGTACAAGTACCTTAGTACCAGTACTATCTATGCAAAATAGCAAATATACTGTGAAGCAATGCAAGCATGTATGTGAAATTTGGCTCCATGCTAAATCTGGCTTCACAGTTAATTGTATTAAAAAAGAATTGCCAAACTGACAGTATATTTCTTTATAATATTTATTTTATCTTCATCAAAACTAAGAGCTTTAACTATGAGCAATGTTAATCAGTCAAATTTTTCCAATTTTCTATCAGGTTTTAAGGGATATTTTACTATCTAAACTTTTTCAACTTTCTATTTTCTCTGTGTGTGCATAAAGATAGAAACACAGAGAACCAGGAAAAAGCAACATATGACTTACATAGACCATCTATGATACTTTTGGACTTCTTATTTTGTCCTAAATTTTATTTTCTTTTTTAAATAACTAGTCATTTTATTTTAGGACAAAAATTCACCATACAAGATCTTTCTCATACAATATTTTTCTCTTTTCTTTATAACCTTTCTCACACAATATTTTTCTCTTTTCTTTATAACCTTTCTCACCAAAAATACGTTGTCACATTCATAACTTTCTTCATATCTCTCTCCCCTATTTACTGGTTCCTTTCTACCTTGTTTCATAAATAACATTTTCAAGTCCATAGTTTGAATTAACATTCAGATAACTCCTGAATTAGACAAAATTATTCTTTTTCTCACTAAGAACACACATTTTTGGGTAGCTTTTATATACAGAATTAATATAATTCTTATACTTAGTAACCCTAAATTTTAGTGAAATACTATGAGGCAAGAAACCCTCAACTGCCTACCAGATATTAGCATTTTATAAATGAGAACAATTCTATAATTTTTAGAAATATATTTCCCGATATCATAACCCTTCCTTAATTGGAAATGACTCAGGCATCCAATAAGCATTGAAAATAACTTTTAAGATTATAAGTTACACAAAAACTTCACCTATAGCACTTACTCACATTTTTTATTTATTTTTGGCAGTTTATCTCGATTACTTATGCATTATTTATTTCCTTGTTAACCATTTTATAACCTGTGAATATCAGGTGTTTACCTAAATAAGAACTTTAAGTTAACTACAAGGGCATTTTCACCAGTAACTCAGAAGATTCAGCTGTTTTCATTAAACCAATAACATTAAATTAGTCTTACTTATTAAAAAATTCCTACAAAGATCATTTTGTTCTGGCTAGGTTTATCATTTTATAACCTGTGCCAAACCCTGATACCTCAAAATATCTAGCAGAGACAAATATAAAGCCCAAACAAAAATATATGTTAACAATTCTTAAGACATTCCTATTTTTATTTTATTAATATTTTTAAAGCCAGTTCATTTATTAAAGATTTACTTAAGTCATGTGAACTTGAAAAATACTTTGGGCTTACTTAATTTATGAGTTCTGTTTTGTTTACAAGCCAATTTGTTAGACAAAAAGACATAGCATAATAAATGTACATACATAAACACATCTAGACATGCATATGCACACATACAAAGTCATTGGTTTACGTGGTTACACTTTATTTGCCCCATATGTAATCCAACATAGGGTGTGAACCAAAATTTTGGGTAAAGCAGTTTCCATAGCAGTTTGATTTTTAAAGGCCAAACCTCCTCAGACTCCAAGGAACACTGGGGCCAAACAGCACCACAGAAAACCACCTGGAACCTATTAACCAGGCCCAACCTGCTCAGAACAGCAACATAAAAGCCTGGATACAGGAAACTCCATCCCACTTTCTCATTCAACAGCAAACTCCGATTCCAAACAATATTGGGGACAAGCATTATTACAAAAGAATATCAGTTTATGTAATTCTAATTTCCCATGATACACACACAATCACCAAAACACAGTCTGACCACTGCAGCAATAAACAAGCCCCAAGAGTGTCCAAATTGAAACAGCCGGGGTCCTTCCTCTCTCCACTGGTTGGGCTTAATCAACCTGCAAACAAAAATTCCTTAGGAATTTCCCAAATTGAGAGGAGCACATCCTGCTATCTGGTACCCACAAAAGACACTCACTTGCCTGGACACACACACAAACAATTACAAACAAGCCCCCAAGAGTGTCCGTAGTGAAACAGGGTGCTTCCCTCACTGTCAGTTGGGCTTGTTCAACCTGCAAATGGAAATTCTTTCAAAAATTTCCCAAATTGAGAGGAGCATCTCCTGCTGTCTGGGCCCACAAAGGACACTCACCTATCGGGATGCAGATGTCAAATTTCAAAGACAGTTCTTCATAGGCAATCAGGAACACAGTTGAGACCAGCTGTAGTGGGGCCAGAGACAGACTGAAACTTATCTCCAACCAAAACTGAGTGGGCAGCTGCTTAGGAGGGCTTTTGAGACTCCTGGCCCATGGCAGCTGAGCAATGAGCAACTGTGGCAACACGTTGCTGGTTAGGGAACCAAAATCTGTTACTGAAATACCAGGAGTTTCGTCTAGGTCCCGTTGCTCATGGCACAGAAAACCAATGACTGAGACAATTATTGCCAATGAAGAAGGCTTTAATCAGGTGCTGCAACTGAGGAGATAGGAGCTTAGTCTCAAATCCATCTCCCTGACTGACTAAAAGGAGATGTTTACATAGCAGAGAAGAAATGTAACAATGTGTAAGAAAACAGGAACTATGGGGCCAGGCATGGTGGCTCACGCCTGTAATCCCGACACTTTGGGAGGCCTAGGTGGGCAGATCAGGAGGTCAGGAGTTTGAGACCAGCCTGACCAACATGGTGAAACCCCATCTCTACCAAAAACACAAAAATTAGCGGGCTGTGGTGGTGAGCACCTGTAATCCCAGCTACTCAGGAGGCTGAGGCGGGAGAATCACTTGAACCTGGGAGGAAGAGGTTGCAGTGAGCCGAGATCACACCACTGCACTCCAGCCTGTCGACAGAGTGAGACTCCGTCTCAAAAGAAAAAGAAAACAGGAACTATGGAGGGGCAAGGAGGCAATCATGATGAATGAAGGGTCTGGCATCTCATTATCTGGATGCGGTGATATGGTGAGTTTCTGGTGGTTGATAATTTTTTTGAGAGGCCTGAAGGTCTTTCCTGAGGAAGAAACTCAGGTAAAACAAATACAAGTTTTAAGCTTTAAAACCAGAAGCTTTTTTCATCAAAAAAGCTCTCTATGGGACTATTGGGTCAGTTTCATTATGAGAAATTAGTTAGTGGGTACCATGTATATTATTCAGGTGGTATATATCATAAAAACCCTGACTTCACCATTATGCAATATATGCACGTAACAAAACTATACTTGTACACATACATTTATATAATTTTTTAAAGAAAACCTAAACCTAACATTCTTAAGGGTAAGAAACTGGATGTGTTTCCCCTAAGAATAGGAGCACGTCAAGGATGTCCTCTGTCACCATTCCTATTCAACATTGTACTGAACATCCAGCTGTTGCAATAAAACAAAAAAAAAAGGAAATAAAAGGTATAAAGATTGGGAAAGAAGAGATAAAAATATCTTTGCAGATGACATGGTTCTCACAGTATAAAATCTCAAAGAATGCACAAAAAAACTCCTATAATTTATATAGCAAGCCTGCAGAAGGCAAGGCTAATATACAAAAGACTTGGCTCTTCTAAATACCAGCAATGGCCAGGTGCAGTGGCTCACACCTGTAATCCCAGCACTTTGGGAGGCCAAGTAGGGTGGATCACCTGATGTCAGGAGTTCGAGACCATCCTGACCAACGTGGTGAAACCCCGTCTACTAAAAATACAAAAAATTAGCTGGGCATGAGGGCAGGCACCTGTAATCCCAGCTACTCCAGAGGCTGATACAGGAGAATCACTTGAACCCAGGAGGCAGAGGTTGCAGTGAGCCAGGATCACGCCACTGCACTCCAGCCTGGCAACAGAGTGAGACTCTGTCTAAAAGAAAAAGAAAAAAAAAACAGCAATGAACACTTGAAATTTGAAATTGAAAACAAGACCATTTACATTAGCACCAAAAAATTTTAAATGCCTGAGCATCAATTTCATAAAATATATACAGAATTTATCTAAGGAAAACTATAAAACTCTATAAAAGAAATCAACGAAGACCTAAATGAATGGAGCAATATTCCATGTTTAAGGATAAGAAGACTCAATATTGTCAAGATGGCAATTCTTAACTTGATCTATAGCTATAATGCAATCCCAATCAAAACCCAGCAATTTATTTTGTGAATATCAACAAACTGATTCTAAAGCTTATTTGGAAAGACAAAAGACCTAGAATAACCAACAAAAAACTGAAGAAGAACAAAGTCAGGGGCCTAGCATTACCAAACTTTAAGACTTTATATAAAGTTACAGTAATCAAGATAGTGTGACACTGGTGAAAGTATACTAGCAGAACATAACAGAGAGCCCAGAAATAGACTTGCACTAATATAGTCAACTGATTTTTGTCAAAGACGTATAGGTAATTAAATGGATAAAGGATATTTTCAACAAGTGGTGCTAGAACAATTGTACATCTACATGCAAAAGAGGAATCTATACACAGATCTTACACCTTTCACAAAAAACTCAAAATGCATCTTAAATCTAAATGCAAAATGCAAATGTACAAAACTTCTAGCAAGTAACACCGGAGAAAATCTAGATGGCCTTGGATTTTTTATGAGTTTTTATTATTTTTGTTTTTCTTTAATTTTTGCCTTCTTTTTCTGATACCTAGGTAGGACCCCAAACTGAGGAGTTTTTGATACAATACTGTGAAAGAAAAAAGTAATAAATTAGACTTTATTACAATTTAAAACTTTTGCGCTACAAAAAAAAACCTTGTTAAAAGAATGAATAGACAAGCCAGATACAGGGAGAAAATATTTGAAAAAAATTTTGGATATAGGACTTATATCCAAAATATACAAAGAACTCTTAGAACTCAATGATAAGAAAACAATCCAATTTAGAAAATGGACAAAATATCTAAACAGACACTTCACCACAGATGATAGACAGATTCGAAATTGCATATGAAAAGATGCTCAACATCATATGTCATTATAGAATTACAAATTAAAATGTCAATGAGGTACCCCATGCACGTATTAGAATGGATACATTTTTTAGAACCTGACATCAAATGCTAACGTGAATGTGGATGTCTAGCAATGAGAATGCTCATTCATTGATGATGGAAGTGCAAAATGATCCAGCCACTTTGGAAGACAGTTTTACAGTTTATTACAAAGCTAAACATAGTCTTATTGTTACAAGATCTTTGGGGGGTCTCTTTTCTGGCTGGAAACCTGTGGCCAGTGGTGCCTTTGCCCAAGTTTTCCTCAGGCCCACTGGGCTTATCCTGCTCACTCAGCCTGGTAGGCTGCACTAGGCTCACACTACCAGCCTGTATCCCATGCCTCCAAGGGAGACTGTGAGTCAGGCATGAAGTGGCAAGGGCTGTGTGAGCAAGTGTGGGGTCCAGCATTGCATAGTGAGACATGCCAGCTATGCTGTGGGGTGGGCAGCTCCAGGTGCCAGCCTGGATGCTGGCTCTCTGTGAAGCTATGGCTGGACCAGATGCACCACAAGCAGCTTCCCCTGCTAGCGTAAGGGAATGCAGTGGTACACGGAGACTTAGAGATGCTAGGAACCACAAGGCCCCAAAGAGGAAGTCACGGTCCTAGCTTGGGGAGCACCCCAGGTCTGGGATCCCCAAAGGACCACAGCTTTTCTCTCCTCTTCGCCCATATGGCAAGCAGGGGGCATGTTTCAGCACTGTTTGTGTTACAGTTCTTTTAGCGTCACCATTTGGTGGGTCCAAAGTTCTTGTCCTGCAAACCAGAAGAATGAAGTATGCAGAGAAGTGCAGCATGAACAAGATGAAGAGCTTTATCAAGCAATAGAACAGCTCAGAGAAGACTCACAGTGCATAGCTCCTTTCTGCAGCCAGGGTGTCCCAATGAGTGTTCAGCTCCTACCAGAGAGGAGATGCTGGAGTGGGAAGCTCCTCTCTGCAGGCAGGTTATCCCATTGTCTCTGCGGCTCTCAGCAGAGAGGAGGCCCTAGAGTGGGTAGCCTCTCTTAGACAGGTCATCCCATTGTCTCTTCATCATCTCTCCATCCTCTTCCCAAATCTGGCTGAGTCCAGGGTTTTTATGGGCAGCAGAGGGGAGAAAGTCCATGGGTGGCCATGGGCCAGAACAAGGAAAGGCACCAAAAGGTCCCCCTGTGGTTCGTGGGACTGTCAGCCCAGCCACCTGGCTTCAGGCCTTCCCCAGCTTGAAGGTGGGGCTTCACCAGGGACCTGGCCCTTTCTGCCCAGGAGCTTGTTCACCACCCACCACTGTTTATGGGACTCAGGCTGTTCATGCCAAGGGTTGCCTGCAGGCCAGGAATGAGCTGCCCTCAGCGCCCCCCTCCTCAGCCTTCCTCCTGTGCTCATCGGTGCACAAAGTCCAGAGGGGGCCAAGGTGACAGGGCCTAGCATGTCAGCACTGCCCCAAGCATGCACACATCTGGCCAGGTTGCAACAGCACCCAAGCTTGGCCCCAACCTTACTCCAAGATCAGAGCAGGCAGTGACAGTGGGGAGAAGCCAAACAGCAGGAGCAGGTACTTCCAAGCCTGTGGGCAGCGGGGGACCTTCCCAGGCCCCCGACAGTGCAGAGATGCCTGGATCCATAGCTACAGCAGGGTGGCTGTAGCAGTGCCTTGGAGGGCGGGGCTCCTGCCTGTTCCTAGCTCCCAAGAGCACAGGGGTGCCCAAGTCACAGCCATGGCTTCAGCAGCTGCAGTTGTGCCTGGGGAGTTCCGTGTCCCACCAACTTCTAAGGGGCAGGGCTCCCATTTGTCCCCAGCTCCTGCCGGCTGTGTGGAGCATGCAGCCCCAGCCACACCTCCTCTCCGCATTTTCCCCACAGTGGTTCTGGGCAAGGTGCAGGTGGCGTGGTGGCCCTGGCCAACCCCGCACAAATGAACCTGACACTCCCAGGGCTAGCCCTGAAAGTCCCAGCTACACCTTTGGCCAGATACTCACAGGCTCCCAGAACACGGCAGGGAATGAGTTGAGGCTGCGGCAGAGGCTCCAGGCCTGAGAGTAGGTCCTGCCCGGCCATGCAAGGGTAGGGGTGGTGTGCAGTAAGCTGCCTCAGGGATGCAGGGCATGGGGATGCAGGGCACAGAGGTCCCACCACCCCCACTGCTGCTCCTGCAGCTGCTCCTGCCACCACCGCTCATGCCTCCCTGCTGCAGCTGGCATGATGGTAGCAGCTGCTCTGGATGGCCCACCACTGCCATTATTATCATATAATCCAATCACACTCCTAGTTATAATCGAGCTCAAAACTATGTGTAAACAAAAACCTGCATTCAAATACATATCGTGTATAAAATACTTTTTTATACATAGTGTATAGTGCATAAAGTATTTTTCATAATTTCAAAGAAATAGGATTAACCAAGATGTCCTTCAATAGGTGAAGGAATAAAAAAATCTGTGGTATTTCCATACAATAAACTCAAGAGATGCAGAATAAGCATTTAACAAAACCCAACATCATTTCATGATAAAAACACTCAACAAATTAGAAATAGAGGGGAATTTCCTAATCTGATAAAAGGCATGTATTAAAAACCCACAATTAACATCATACTTGTAGTGAAAGACTAGAAGCTTTTCTCCTAAGATCAGAAACAAGACAATGATGTCCATTGTCCTCTCCTATTTGACATTGCATTGGTGGTTCCAGCCAGGACAACTAAACACGGTGGGGGGAAAAGTACCCAGATTGGAAAGGAAGAAGTGAAACTATTTCTATATGCAGATGTCATGACTTTATAGTACATAGAGAACTGAAAGAATCCACCAAAAAAACAAAAACAAAAACAAAAAACTATTAAAGCTAATAAATAAGCTCAAGGTACAAGATCAATATATAAAAATCAGTTGTATTTTTATACAGTAGCAATGAACAATCTGAAAATGAAATTAACAAAACAATTCCATTTACAATAGCATAAAAATACTTAGGAATAAATTTAACCAAGAATGCACAAAATCTACTCACTGAAAACCACAAAACAATGTGGAAAAAAAACTAAAGAAGACATATGTAAATAGAAGGACTTTCAGTGTTCCCGGATTGGAAGACCCAATATTGTTAAAACGGCAATACTCCCCAAACTGATCTACAAATTCGATGCAATTTCCATCAAAATTCTTTTAAAATTTCTTGATAGTGTCCTTTGACACACAAAAGTGTTGTAGGTTTTTTAGCCCTTGCATCTGGCTCTTTAATCCATTTTGAGTTAATTTTTGTATATGATGTGAGGTAAGAGTACAACTTTGTCTTGTATATGACTATCTAGTTTTCCTGGCACCATTTGTTAAGAAGAATATTCTTTTAACACTGAATGGCCTTGTAAATGGTCTTGATTTTTGACCCTTGTCAAAAATCAGTTGACAATCCCAGCACTTTGGGAGGCTGAGGCAAGCAGATCACTTGAGCCCAGGAGTTGAAGACCAGCCTGGGAAACATGGTAAAACCCTGTCTCTATAAAAATTAGCCAGGCATGTTGGTGTGCACCTGTAGTCCCAGCTACTCAGGAGGCTGAAGTAGGAGGATCACTTAGGCCTGGGAGATTGAAGCTGCAGTGAGCCATGATCGCACCACTACACTCCAGACGGGGCAACAGAGTGAGAACCTGTCTCAAAACAAACAAACAAAAAATCAATTGACCATAGATGTATGGCTTTCCCCATTGTATTTCATTGATCTATATGTCTCCAATCTTGAATAGAAGAAAGAACAAAGTTGGAGGATTTGTGATTTCAAGACTTACTACAAAGGTAATCAAAACTCTATGGTACTGACATAAGGATAGATGCAAAGACCAATGGAATATAACTGAAAGTTCAGAGCTAAGCCATAGCTATAAATCCCTATAACCTGACTAGGCAAGGATTTCTTAACTACAACAGCAAAATCACAAGCAACAAAAGAAATAATTTATAAATTAGATTTCGTGAAAGTTAAAAACAGGTCAGGCATGGTGGCTCAGGTCTATAATCTCAGAGCTTTGGGAGGGCAAGGCAGGAGGATCACTTGAGGCCAAGAGTCCAAGATTAGTCTGGGCAATATAGTGAGACCCTGTCTCTACAAAAAAATTAAAATAATTAGCTGGATGTGGTGCTGTGTACCTATAGTCTTAGCTACTTAGGAGGCTGAGGCGAGAGTATCTCTTGAGCTCCAGAGTTCAAGGCAATAGTGAGCTGATCATGCCACTGAATTCAGGCCTGGGTGACAGAGTGAGGGCCTGCCTCAAAAAAAAAAAGGAAAGAAAAGAAAAAGAAGATGTAAAGCATTTGTGTGTCGAAGGGTATTATGAAGAATTAAAAAGAAACCCAAGGAATGAGATAAATTATTTTTAAATCATATCTCTGATAAGGATCTAGTATCCAGAATGTAGAAATAACTCTTACAATTTAATAATAAAAAGACTAATAACTCAAATTTTTAAAAGGCAAAGGTTCTGAATAGACACTTCTACAAAGAGATACACAAATGACCAATACACATATAAAAAGATGCTCAACATCTTTATTCATTAAGGATGTGGAAAAACTGTCTCCTACTGTTGCAGCTGTTTCACTCCTGTTGTTTGGTGAGTGGGAGGGAGTGTTACAGCTCTTTTACTCCCCCCACTGGTGAGCTCCAAGTTCTTGTCCCACGACCAAGAAAAATAAGGCACACAGACACTGGAGAGTGAAGAAGGCAGAGTTGGATTTATTAAGCCACAGAAAAGCTCTCAGCAAAGAGAGGGGACCCAAAAGAGGGTTGCTAGCTAAAAGTCTGAGTCACAGGTTTTTACAGGCTTAGAATGAGGAAATACGTGCTGATTGGTTTATGGGTAGGCTTGGAAAAAGCACTACTCAGGAAGAGGTACAATAGTGTAAAGAACCAATTGGGGGCTGAAGTGAAAGCTTGGACTGAGACCTTGGCCCAGGACCAATCAGGGGCTGAAGTGACGTTACACTTTATGCAAATGAAAATTTGGCGAGCAGCTAATCACAGAAAGATAGGTATATGTTAAACAGGTAAAAGGTAAGGACCAATCGGGAGGAAGCATGTGAAATGAGACAAAGGCGTGCCAAGGAGAGGGATATATGTTCAAAAAAGGAGTGGAATTTGTTCATCTGGATTCATGGAGTAGGCGTTTCTATTCAAACATGCAGGCTCTTTTCTTTATCCAGGGCTTGCAGCTTGATTTTCAGGCTGTTCTTGGTTTGAAGGAGTTCCACCAAGGATCCACCCTAACTGCCTGCCTGACTGGCTTCTTCCTTCCTCCTCTCTCACTAGCTGTCCCCCTCTGGCCCCCTGGCTCTCTCTGAGACTCCTCCCATCCTCCTCCTCCAGCCTTCTGGGCAGGACAGGTGTTTCAGTTTCTTTAAGTGAAATATGAAACAGAGAAGCACCATTTCTGCCTCAAGACGCATGTAAAGAGGTGTAGATTCAGGTGAGTTCCTTTACAAACATTTTAAACTTATGTTTTCCTCTAATTGTAACAGCCTATATCAGGAGTTCTTAAGCTTTGCTGCACATCAGAACCACCTGGAGGGCTAGTAAATATGCTGATTCCTGAGCTACCTCTGAAGGCTCTTATTCCTTTGGTATAGGGATTTCCCAAGAATCTGCATTCTTTTCAGAAAAGCTGATCTGGGCTGGGCGCAGTGGCTCATGCCTGTAATTCCAGCACTTTGGGAGGCCAAGGCTGGCAGATTGCTTAAGTCCAGGAGTTCCGGATTGGCCTGGCAGATTTCTTGAGTCCAGGAGTTCCTTACCTAACATGATGAGACCCTATCTCTGCAAAAAATACCCCAAAAAATTAGCTAGGTGTGGTAGCACACATCTGTACTACCAGCTACTCAGGAGGCTAAGGTGAGGGGATCACTTGAGCTCAGGAGGTTGAGATGTGATCACACCACTGCATTCCAGCATGGGTGATAGGGCGAGACCCTGTCAAAAAAAAAAAAAATCAAAGAAGAAAAATTGGCTGGGCGTGGTGGCTCCCACCTGTAATCCCAGCACTTTGGGAGGCCAAGGCAGGTGGATCATGAGGTCAGGAGATTGAGACCATCCTGGCTAACATGGTGAAACCCCGTCTCTACTAAAAATACAAAAAAATAGCCAGGTGTGGTGACGGGCACCTGTAGTCCTAGCTACTTGGGAGGCTGATTCAGGAGAATGGCATGAATCTGGGAGACGGAGCTTGCAGTGAGCCAAGATCACACCACTGCACTCCAGACTAGGGGACAGAACGAGACTCCATCTCAAAAAAAAAAAAAAGAAGAAGAAGAAAAATGGATCTGGGAACCATACTTTGAGTAGACCTAACATATAAATAATATTTTTCTTATGCTGAAAGAAGTAGAGAGGTTTATTTGGCTACATATCTTTATGTAAGGCCTTGTTATTACTGGTGGTTGTATAATTTAGAGCTGTCTTTCTCAATCTAAATTATATTACAGTCCAGAAAGCTAAATTCACTCCCTTAGAGTTGAGGTGGGCCACAGAGATGGGGAGGGAGAGAGACAACCAGCAAAAGGGAGCCAGTTCACTGAATGTAACTTGGAGGGGTTTGAGATTTGACATCATTTTCCTTTTTATCTCCAAAGGCTTCCAGGCCCAGAACATGACTGCCTCTGAAATTTTTGAGTAAATGAATTAATAACCAGCAAAAAAAATGAATGATTTTTATAGATGTCCAATATCCCTTTTATTTCTAATTTGCTGAGAGTTTATATCATCAAAGGGTGTTGAGCTTTGTCAAATGCTTTTCTACATTTATCAGAAAAGATCATATAGTTTTTTTCTTTATTCTATTGATATGGTGACTTAAATTGATTTTCATGTATTAAAACAATCTCATATTTCTGGGATAAACTCAACTTGGTCATGTTATATTATTCTTTTAAAATGTATTGCTGGATTTGATCTGCCAATATTTCGTTAAGAATTTTTCTGTCTATGTTCACGAGGAATATTGTTCTGTAGTTTTCTCTTATTGTAATTTGTTGGTCTAATTTTGGTATCAGGGTTATTCTGGCCTCATAAAAGGAGTTAGAAAATATTCCATCCTTTATTTCTATTTCTTATAGTTTGTGTAAAACTGGTGTTATTTCTTCCCCAAATGTTTAAAAAAATCACTAGAAAAATCCTCTAGTTCTAAAGTTTTCTTTGTGGTAAGGATTTATATAGTTAATTATATTTCTATAACAAATGTAGGGCTATTCACATTTGCCATATCATCCCATGTCAGTTTTGATATGCTGCATGTTAAAAGAAATTCATCCATTTCATTTAAGTTGTTGGATTTTTTAACATAAAATTGATCATAATATTTATTTGTTATTCTTGTAAAGTCTATAAGATCTGTAACATATTTCTCTTTGTTCTCAATCAATCTAGATAAGGCTTCATCAATTTTTTGGTCTTTCTCTCTCTCTCTCTCTCTTTCTTTATTTCTTTTGAGACAGGGTCTTGCTCTGACACCCAGACTGGAATGCAGTGGCGCCATTATAGCTCACTGCAGCCTGAAACTCCTGGCCTCAAGGGATTCTCCTGCCTCAGCCTTTCAAAGCATTGGAATTATAGGCATGAGCCACTGCTCCTTGCTGATTTTATCAATGTATTAAAATGTTGTCAAACAACCAATTTTGATCTTGTTCATTTTATTTTCTATTTTATTTTTTCTGCTTTTATTTTTATTAATGCCTTCCTTCTACTTTAATTAGCTCTTCTATTTCTAGCTTATGTCACTGATTTAAGTCTTAGATTTTAGACGTTTATTCTTTCTAATACACGCATTTAAAGCTATAAATTTCTCTCCAAGTACTGCTTTAGTTGCATTTCATGAATTCTGATATGTGGTATTTTCATTATTATCAATGCAAAATATTTTATACTTTGCCTTTTGATTTCTTCTTTGACTCAGAGTCTAGAAGTCAGTTGGGTTTTTTTAATAAAACACAATTACTTTATTGATTTCTTACAATCAAATACTGCCAACTAGCATTACTTCCACTCATGCATCATTAAAAACAAAGGATATTTCCTCCTTGGTATTTTCAAATGATGCATTATACAATAAACAAAATTAGAACTTAAAATGCAC
This sequence comes from Homo sapiens, assembly GCF_000001405.40. Classification (NCBI taxonomy): domain Eukaryota; kingdom Metazoa; phylum Chordata; class Mammalia; order Primates; family Hominidae; genus Homo; species Homo sapiens. The sequence goes on along the minus strand of NC_000003.12, from coordinate 46,024,758 downwards.
CCTGATTAATCATGTAAACTGGTAATTTGTTTAAAAAAGCATAACTAACAATTAAGGTGTATATCTTACAACTAACAAATAAGGTGTGTATCTTACACACCTTATTTAAACAAAATGGGCATTAACAAAATGCATACAGTCAATACATGATAGAAAGCATGTTTCAAATACAAGGCAGCCCCTCGGGCCACCATATTATTTAGGTTTTGCATTATCATTTATGGCATTATAGATTAATTACACATAACATATTTTATACATTTTAACCCTGAAGATAAGAAAAATAACTGTTGCTTGAAAAAAATTATTCCAAGTAGCCATTTGGTTTGTATCAGCAGAAACTGAACCTCCATGAGTTTAGTGTTTATCAAGTTGGAATCATTAGCTCAAGTCAGTGAATGAGATATGCAACGCATTTCACAGTGACTGTTTCCCAAGTCCTGGCAATGCCTATTCTCCCACAGTCCACCAGATGATGAAACATTTCCGGGACCAGGATGCCCCTTCTACGTGGTTTTCCCTTTTCATTTTTTTTTTTTTTTTTGCTGGATTAACTATTACTGTATTATTTCCTCTTCTCCCCTCTTCTGTGGCCTTCCATTTTAATTATTCATAAATCCTTTCAGAATATTCTCAGGGAGATCCATAAGGGGAAGTTCTGGAGATGTAAAATCCAAGGGAGGAAGACTGGGGATTGGAATGTCCTTGGCTTTCCCGGCATTTGCTGCAAACTTCTGCCAGGTTGAGGAGGCTGTAGCAGTTTCTGAATGTGGCGGCAAGCTCCGTAATTCTGACGTTTCTACAAAATCAGCATCTACATCCAGCTCCTTTTCTACTGGACCTTTTTAGAAGTCTGGCCTTTTCAGCCTTTAGTTATTTTCTTTCCTTAATCTTTCATTCTCAGCCACAAGGAATTCCACACGTCTCTTCAAATCTGCAATTTTGGTTGCCTATTCCTCTATAATTGTTTTATCATCTTCTGGGGCTTTGCTTCCAATACATGGCTCTGCTGTCTCACTCTTTTGCTGAAGTAAATATAGTAGTGTGTCTGGATCCCTGTCAAAGATCCCCTGAATCTCAAGCAGGCGTTTCTCTGAAGAAGGGCTGTACTTCTGAGAAAGGGGGCTCTGGCCCTCCGCATCCTCGGCAGAGAGTTTGTGAGATGCCTGAAGATGGGCAGCTACATCCTTGTCTGTGTTCTGCTAGGCTTTCAATCTTTCCTCACGCTGGGCCCTTTTCCATCTCTCTTGGATGAGGAGGAGCTGTTTCATGTGGCTATCCCTTTGCAATTCCAGTGAAAGACGAGCCTGCTCAGATTGTGTCAGCTTCATGGCTTCAGAAAGATATGCCGCAGCCTTTTTGTGACAAGAAATCGCCTCTTCGTATTTGCCTGCAGCTAATAAACGGTCGGCTCGTCTGCTCTGCTGATGAGCCAGGTTGAGGGGTCCTTCCATTACTTCCATAGACAGCAGCAGCCTTAGGAAGGGGAGCGGTGGGGCCAGGGAACATGGAGGGGATCGCAGGGGAGCGCGACGCAGCCGCGTCCTCTCTGGGCGCAGAGGGAGCAACAATCTCTCCACTTCCTCCTCAGGCCCCGCGCCACGGGCCCGCCCCCTGCGCCGCCGCCGCGACCCCGCACGGCGCCATGACGTCACACGCGCTGGTGTTTTTAAAATTATTTCCAAATTATTGAAGCTTTTCTTGATATCTTGTTATTGATTTGTAATTCCTTTTGGGTCTTTTATATAACTTTTCTTTCTCTGCTGAGACTTTCTATCTCTCCATTCATTATGAATATAGTTTCCTTTATTTCCTTGGGAACAGGTATAATAGTTAGTTACATTTTGATACATATTTACAAATTCCAACATGTGGCCCCTCTCACAGGCAGCTGCTTGATTGTCTTTTCTTTTGAGTATGGGTCATGTTTTCCTATTTCTTTATATGCTGAGTAATTTTGGATTGTGTCCTAAACATTGTTATGTTGTGTAGACTCTGGATTTTGTTTCATTTTTCTGAAAAGTGTTGATTGGTTATTTGGTGTTTGTCTTAACAAGCATTTAAGTTTTATAAATAAAAAATATAATTCTAAGCCTCACAACTAACTGAACGGACTCCTCAGCCAAGGAAGGGCATTCTAAAGAAATATTAGTTCAGGCCATGATGGGAATAGGTAGTCAGACATGCCTCATTATACTCTCCTCCTTTTGTAATTCAGCACAGCTGACCAGTATTAACATTAAAGCAGCCCTTAAGCCTGATAGAATAGACTCTTTGTAGCAATAAGATACCAACATGACAGATAGGAATATTTTGAAATGGTCTTGGAAAGCTATCTCTTGTGGGGAAAATACACTCTGTAGAGAATCCCCTTCCCATTCCAGGTCTTTTCTCTGATCCAGGAGAGAATTAACTAAGAGTCTGGCATCTTTTTTGGGTTTTTTGTTTGTTTTTGAAACATGGTTTTTCTCTGTCACCTAGGTTGGAGTGCAGTGGCATGATCACAGCTCTCTGCAGTCTCGCCCTCCTGGGCTCAAGCAATCTTTCCCCACCCCCCGGTTTCCTGAGTAGCTGGGACTATAGGCATGCGCCACCACACCCGGGTAATTTTTAAATTTTTTGTAGAGACAGGGGTGTCACTATATTGCCTGGGATGGTCTCAAACTCCTGGGGTCAAGCAATCCTCTCCCTTTGGCCTTTCCAAAGTGCTAGGATTACAGGTGTTAGCCACTGTACCCAGCCACCACATGGCTTTAAACTCCATGTCTCTATCATTTCAGATGCTCTAAACGTCCCTGCCATCTGGTCCAGATGGAGTCCTCAGGCAACCCAGAGAGCACCACCTTTTTTTACTATGACCTTCAGAGCCAGCCGTGTGAGAACCAGGCCTGGGTCTTTGCTACCCTCGCCACCACTGTCCTATACTGCCTGGTGTTTCTCCTCAGCCTAGTGGGCAACAGCCTGGTCCTGTGGGTCCTGGTGAAGTATGAGAGCCTGGAGTCCCTCACCAACATCTTCATCCTCAACCTGTGCCTCTCAGACCTGGTGTTCGCCTGCTTGTTGCCTGTGTGGATCTCCCCATACCACTGGGGCTGGGTGCTGGGAGACTTCCTCTGCAAACTCCTCAATATGATCTTCTCCATCAGCCTCTACAGCAGCATCTTCTTCCTGACCATCATGACCATCCACCGCTACCTGTCGGTAGTGAGCCCCCTCTCCACCCTGCGCGTCCCCACCCTCCGCTGCCGGGTGCTGGTGACCATGGCTGTGTGGGTAGCCAGCATCCTGTCCTCCATCCTCGACACCATCTTCCACAAGGTGCTTTCTTCGGGCTGTGATTATTCCGAACTCACGTGGTACCTCACCTCCGTCTACCAGCACAACCTCTTCTTCCTGCTGTCCCTGGGGATTATCCTGTTCTGCTACGTGGAGATCCTCAGGACCCTGTTCCGCTCACGCTCCAAGCGGCGCCACCGCACGGTCAAGCTCATCTTCGCCATCGTGGTGGCCTACTTCCTCAGCTGGGGTCCCTACAACTTCACCCTGTTTCTGCAGACGCTGTTTCGGACCCAGATCATCCGGAGCTGCGAGGCCAAACAGCAGCTAGAATACGCCCTGCTCATCTGCCGCAACCTCGCCTTCTCCCACTGCTGCTTTAACCCGGTGCTCTATGTCTTCGTGGGGGTCAAGTTCCGCACACACCTGAAACATGTTCTCCGGCAGTTCTGGTTCTGCCGGCTGCAGGCACCCAGCCCAGCCTCGATCCCCCACTCCCCTGGTGCCTTCGCCTATGAGGGCGCCTCCTTCTACTGAGGGGCCTGTGGCGGTGCAGGCGCAGGTGCAGGTGGACAGGGACTGGAATGGGGGTCATGGAGAAGCGGGCCTGGAAGGAGCATTGCAGAACACAGCAGGGTGGAGACGTCTCCTCCGCTGCAGGCGTGCAGTGAAGGTCATTCATTACACCAGTGGGTCCCGCCAGCCTCTCATCTGCGGGAAAGTGGCTTCCTACCTGGGAATTTTATACTGCCATCCAAAAAAACATTTCTTGAACTCTGAGTTCATCTTGCACGCTCCTTCATTTAGACATGTGTTTCTAATCACTGTTTAGTTCAGAAGGTTCTAAGACATGAAAGGATTCTGGGAAAGGTGCTTCCTTGGAGACTTTACAGGGCCTAAAGCTCATTGTGATAACTGCACGATGCTGACAAGACAATGCCTCCCTTCCCTGACTGTAAGGTTGTCCCTACTGGTTTATTCACTTTGGAGGCGCCTGGCTCCGTATTCCTCAGGTACTGCTGGATGAGGCTGTCTGGAAGACAAAAGTCGCCATACCCTGAGATAAGCAGTCATGTTGATATCTGGATTCTAAAAATCCACAACTAGACTGGAGAAATGTTCTGTATCCTGGATTCAAGTCCTAGCCCACGAACTGGCCCTTAAAAATTTAGCTCATAAATATTTGATTGAAGGAATGAATTTAATAAGTGCTACCTTCTGCACTAAGTATTTATTCAGAGAATACAAAGATGAATGAGATACAGTTGCTACCCTCCAGGGGCCAACAGCCCAGCTCCAAAGGCTCACCTACCTTGGTGAACACCCACCTTGGTGAAGGCATCTAGGGTGGACTCCTCCGACATCTCATCCTTCCCAGGTGGATAGTGAGCTGACTTCACATTTATCACTTTGTACCTAAAGTGTCCTCCTCCTATTTGGTTGATGGTGGTAGCTCCCCCCACCCACCCACACTCCAAACCTCAAGTCCTCTTGGAGGCCTGTGTTTTCTTTTCCTCAACTCCCACAGCCAGGTCCAAATGACTATGCCTGTCTAGTGGCTTTCAGAGTTGACTCATTCTTGCCATTGCATGCCCATGGTTTCATCCCTGAAACAGGGCCTCACTTCCTTGGCATCTCCCCACTGCTCCTCTCTTTCCCCACCAGGCTGTTCTCTGCCCTTACACCAGGTGCTTCAAAACCCTTAGTGGCTCCTCATTACTTACAAATGAAGTCCATACACTTTAGCAAGGCTTTCAAGGCCTCCACAATCCGATGCCAGCCAACTTTTCCATTCTTATTCCACTCTAAGCCTCCTCCCCACAGCAGCTTGGGATCCAACCCCAAAACACCACTGGCCTTCTTTCAGACACATATCTCCCCAGTACCCTACCTCTAGGCATTTGTCATGCTGTCACCTGGGCCTGGAACATGTTCTAGCTGACAGGCCAGCTTCTCCAGGAAGCCCTCCCTAATCTGCAAATTAGAACATTCTCTGGGTTGTCGTGGGATTCTGCTTGTCCCCTCTAAAATAAAACAACCTTGTGTTGTAGTTACACACATGCAATGTCTTATCTCCCTGCCCCATCAGGCTGCAAGCTTCTTGAGGGCAGGAACCTGGTCTTGAACCCCAGTGTTCTATCACTGTGTGCTCAGTGGGAGCAAAGAATCAACAGCTGTTATTATCCTTCAGATTTATGCTTCTTGGGGAGCCATGCCCTGGGGCACACTTTACCTTCTTTGTCCCAGGCTGCTTCTCTATAAATATTAACCTTTCTTTCCTAGTCTACACTCTCAGAGAGTAGTAGAAAGAGAGTAGGGTGTAGTAGTAGAGAGATTGCTTATCTCTCTCTGTGGCGATGGCTATGCTTCACCTTGCCTTCTAGTTCATGGTACGCATCCCTGCCTCTCACACTGGCCCATTGCTTCACACCCAAGGGCATAAATAAAAGCCACTCTCTAAACTTTGCCATGCCACAAAGACCTGGGCCCAATCTGTGAACCTGATTTGGCTCTGGCGTGGGGATTTGGAAAAGCTTCCCATGCGATTCTGACATGCACCTTCATTAGGTACATTTGGCTGCAACTTTTTTAAAAAATGAGGAGTCCAGAGTCTTCTACAGTCCCTTGAGCAGGGATTTGCACACAGAAGACACTCAATATCTTGTTATTGAATAAAGTAGATACCAATGTAGCCCTCTGGCCAACCTAGAGAGAGCTTGTAAGGCATTTCCCCTTCAGTTCCAGATGCAACTTCAATGATCTATTTGCCAATGGGGCAGTAGATCTGGAGGAGTTTATCGGTCTAGGGAAGAGCCAGGGCCTAGTTTTAATAATGAGGCCAGTAGCACCTGCTGGACAGGGCTGGGCGGCATACCAGTGAAGGGAAGGGGCTCCCATGGACCTACCTGCCAGCCTACAGGTGGGGCCACTACTCACCACCGATGGGAGAAACAGCATAAGGAAGAGATAATGAGGTAGTTTGTGGTATCAGAGCTAAGCCTATGGGCTTCTAGTTGGCCTAATCTTTCAAACACAGTTTCACACTGATTCTTAACATTTTGTTCAACTTTTACTCAGAGGGCAGGCTGAGCCAGGGAGCAAAAAGGCAAAGGACTCCTACTCACATACCCACTTAGCAAAACCAAAGCACCTTGGGCTTTGAACCCACCCTTCTTAGAAGGCAGGTTTGGGGGTTGAGGCCCCTTGAGAAGCTCACTTCACCCTCTCCCCATGCCATCCCATTCCTACCCATCCCAAGATGCTTCTCTTGTATTTCTTTCAGCACATCCAGCCATCTCCCTGGGAGCGTTTCATATCTGACTCTTTATACTTCCAGTGATGTTTTGGCATCCCTAATAGACTGGCTCCCAAGGCAGTCTTTAATCAGGAGTCTTCCCCTAATCTAGCTCCTCAAGAACCCAAGGGAAGAGGCACAAAGAGAAGTATGAATAGGAAGATAGAAGGGTAACCCAGTCAGAGAGGGAGTGGCAGATGACACTGCTGAAAAGGAGTTTCCAGAGAGTTGCACACCATGAGCCACGCTGTCTGTCCCTGACCACAACCTCCACTGGCCACCACCTCCTGGGCTTCCCCTCCCTCCACCCACAGAAACCATTGCTCAATCTCAACTGGACTCTTGCAGGCCTATCTCTCCCTCCAAACAGAGATGTCCTGGACACAGAGCTGCAGACCTCTAACCACTCCTGGAACATAAAAAAACCCACGGTGGTTCTACAGCATTTACACCTCCAGTTTCCCTCAGACAGAATCCAGAAGAGAAGAACCTCGCTGATCTCTGAGCGGAGCATGTCTCCAAGCTCAGGCCAGCCCCAGAACTCCAATGGCCTCAACTGGAGTGGAAATCCCTCAAAGGCACAAACCCAGTTCCTACCATCTCCCTCAGTGCCTGGCAATGTTTGTGGTTGGTTGAGTGAGTTAACAGGAGACCATCTTTTGGCCTTTTTTCTACCTCTGTTTTCTCTTACTATACTTGCCTACATCTCATCTTCTGGTCAACACCAGGTACTCACCCCATGAGCTTCTTGTGAACTTGTCTGGGGCCCACCGGCCTAAACATCATCTTTTTTGTTTGGAATTAAGCTTTGTTGAACTTTTCACAGGTTTCATTTATGCAAATGCCTGTGATGGGACAAAAAGGTCTGCAAACATGGAAACCTGGTCTAAAGATGTCCAAAGTAAACTGTCTGTGGAGTCGAATGACATTTGAGCCCTGGACCTAAACTCCAAATCCAAGCTCTTTCCCACTGTGACCTTGGGCCTCTCAAGGCTCAGTTTCCTCACCTATAAACTGTAGAGAAGCCAATAACAGACTCATCCACACTATGAGGCTGTGCATAAGGTCATGTATGTAAAACTACTTGCTTTGTTGATCATTCTGTCCCAGATAAGTATGAATTATTATGCATCATTTCATTAAACAAGAAAGCTTCACTGTGTTAATATGCACAAGTAAAAGATTAGCATGTATTGTCTTACCTTTGGCTGGCTGTCTTAGTCAGTTCGGGCTGCTATGACAAATACCATAAACTGAGTGGCAAACACTCAGCCCATAGCATTGATTATGTCCCCTCATTTCTACCAAGAGCATATAGGTTCTTAAAAGTCTTCTACTTATGGAAGATCTGGGTTAGGGATTCAGGATTGGAGAACAAAGTGTGGAAAAAGGCCTGTGTGAGTCAGGGTGGTGGGAAACTGGCTCAATTTAGACCTTAGGTGAAATTGTCCAGGAGACCAAGTCTATCTTGAATGCTCTGTGACTCAATTTCCTATCCCCATTTCTCCCCTGGCTTGACACCCAAGTCTTCTGTCTCCAAGTCCAAGGCTTTTATTTTCTGTATTATAAAATATTTGGGTCTGAACAGGGACCGTTCAGAAATACAGTCCTACAATCAGAAGGTATGATACTATTATTGGCTGGAAATTTCAGGCATGCTGAAAACTTGGTGGGAGATACTTGGGGGTTTCAGGGAAGATTGGGAAGGGTAAGAGGGATTATCCTAACTCTTCACCAACTTATTCTGAGCACAGAGCTTTGCTCTCTACCTTAAGGCCAGCCCAGATCATAGATGTGGGGTTGCTGCAACCGTCCCCCGACATGTCCACTGGCCCCTCCACAAAAGGAAGTGAGACCAGAGGGACCAAAGAAAAACAAAGGAAGCCTGGTTCCTTGACTTTGACCATGTCAGAAAATCAGCGTTGAGCATCATTCATGGTTAGAAAGAAGAACTGGACAGTTGGATGGTTGCAGGAGTGAGAAGGGAGAGAAGGGTGTGAGACAATGGCATGCAAACCTCCAGGCAACCCCTGGCTACTTTTTTGGAGTATTTTCCCAATGCAAGAGCAGAGCAAAGCCCATGTTGTGGAGAGTGAGACCACAAAGATGAATTGGCCCCACTCTCAAGTTGGCCACCCTCTAGTCATACCCATTTGAAGAAAAGTTCCCATAGGATTACTCCAGGCCCAAGAAATTCCTGTTCCTTTTCCCAGACCACCTTGCTGACCTCTCTTGACTGAAAGAAAATGACCTGGCTTATTGTCCACACAACTGGGGATGCTCACTTTAAATGTATTATTAAAGCTCTTCCAAGGCACTTTGCAATGAACTGTGGGAATGTGGGGTAGGAGGTACCCACCTTTACCTGCTCCCACCCTCAACTTTGGTTGCAATTGGTTCAACGATATGCCAATATACAGTTTCCCAATAGTAAGGTTAAATTGGGGGGCGGGGGTGGGGGAGGAAGAACCACTGGGCCCTGCTAATTTATCAAAGAATCTTCTGTTTACTTCAAAATTAGAGAAAAAAATACAAATCAGGCCCACTTTTCTGGCTGGGTCTTTAGCAAGTCACTTCCCCTCCTTTGAAGCTTATTTCTTCATCTTAACTAGAGAGGTTTGCACTCAGATCTATTCTTATGCTTAAAAACAAAGTCTATAGGTCTAAAATTTCATGGCTTACATTTTGATGAAGTTCTTCAGGGGATACAAATCTGTAGCTTAGGGCAGGTTACAGGTTGAATTGTGTCATCCTCTGCCCCCAGATTCATATGTTCAACTCCTAACCCACAGTCTCCCTGAATAACCCACAGTCTCCCTGAATATGACCTTATTTGGAAATAGGATTATTGCAGATCATATAAAATGAGATTATGCTGAGGTAAGGTGAGTTTATAATTCAATATGGCTGGTGTCCTTGCAAAAAGGGTAAATTTGGGCACAGACACAGGAGAATGTCATGTGAAGACTAGAGTTATGCTGCCACAAGCCAAAAAACACCAAAGACTGCCAGCAAGCGACCAGAAGCAAGGAGAAAGGCATGGAGCAGATTCTCCCTTACAGCCCCAGAAGGAATGAACCTGACACCTAGATCTCAGACTTCCAGTCTCCAGAACTGTGAGACAGTATATTTCTCTCGTTCGAGCCACCCAGTCATGGAACTTGGTTAATGGCAGCCGGAGCAAATTAATACAGGACACAAATTTCAGTGTGTGGGAGCGGAATCCCAGTGCACCTCCAAACCTTCCATGATGTTCCAGTGTCTCCTGCACCTACACAGAAGGCTACACCTAACTGAAGACATGCAGAGGAGATTGGAAGCTAGTGTTTACTGAGACCTACTATGTATTAGGTCCATACATTTTCACGTCTCACAGCTACCTTACGAGGTTTCTGTTTTCTCCAGTTTGACTAAGGAGGATACAAGGGACCAGAATAGGTCACACTCCAACATCCAAGGCTACATGTCAGATCACACGCGGAGCTTAAAAAATACTAATGTTGGCCGGGCGCAGTGGCTCATGCCTGTAATCCCAGCACTTTGGGAGGCCGAGGCAGGTAGATCATGAAGTCAAGAGATCGAGACCATCCTGGTCAACATGGTGAAACCCCGTCTCTACTAAAAATACAAAAATTAATTGGGCGTGGTGGTGCACGCCTGTAGTCCCAGCTACTCGGGAGGCTGAGGCGGAGGTTGCAATGAGCTGAGATTGCGCCACTGCACTACAGCCTGGCAACAGAGCAAGACTCTGTCTCAAAAAACAAAAACAAGCAAACAAAAAAAACACTAATGTCTGAGTTTCTACCCCAAAGGTTCTGATGCAATTGTTCTAGGGTGCAACCTGGCCTCAGGATGTTTTTAAAGTCTCCTGGTGGTTCTAATGTACAGCCATGTTTGACAATCACTGATCTAGTGTCTTTATTTATTCAATCATTCACTCAATGAATATTTATTGAGCAACTACTGGGTGCTAGAAACTGTGCTATATCCCTTGCACACATTATGCCACATTCTCACAATTTTACAAGGTAGGCATTGTCACTACCCAGATGAGAAAAGGGGGGCTTGGAGAGATAAATGACTTTCTTAAGTTAAAGCCAAACTCAGGTCTGTATTGTACCCAAACACCTACTCTTTCCATCACATCTTGCCAATTTCCCAAATGATATGCCCATCAGGACTCTTAACCATAAGCAACAGAAATTGCCTCTAGTTGCCACGGCAGAAGAAAATGTGTGGAAAAGATACTGCATGTGATTTCATTGTAATTGCATCAGAGATGCGGCAGGGTACAGTGTCATGATGTCTGCAACTACATCACAAATGATTCGGCAAAAAATTAAAAAAAGAAAAATGTGTGTAATTATACATTAAAATTGGAGAGAAATGACATATAGAAGAGGTTATACTCAAAGAAAGAGAAAAGCTGCTGGGTAGCTCACAAAACTGGTGGGAAGGCAGGAGAAACAGCTAGAACAAAGGGAGGTGGTCTCTGGCACAACAACCGCAGGAGCCAGAGGTTACAGTGACTCTAGAAAGACTTCTCCCACCTGCATTACAAAAAACAGGTACACGAGGCTCACAGAGTGAGCCAAGGCCACACACCCACACTCTGGCCTCAAGGGAGCTGGGAAAGAGCGCCCAGGCTTCCTTATCTCCTACAGAAGTGGGCTCTGCCTCCCACCAAGACTCGTGGTGAGGAATCCCCCCAAGCAGGGAGAGTTCAGCCACAGGATCAGCTAATGGCCACCACAAGTGTGAAAAAGGTTACTGAGGTTTTCTACTGCTCTGCCAGTAGAGAAAGCCAGTGGCTTACAGTCTAAGCCACTAAGATAGGAGGTCAGAGGTGTGACACCACTGGGCACACCAAAAACATTTTAGGATAAGCCTTTGACAAGTGATACGATCAAACCCCACCCCAAATTGCTCCCATCAGCAGTACTGCTCCCTGCCCACATCAACAGAACTACTCAAGAGACAGTGAAGCACTTGGAAAATGGCGGGCTCAATTTTCTACAATAGTACTATTGAGAATTTCCTTCCTACCAGCCATTTACTTAAAGGTTATTTCTTGGTAGCAAAGCTGAGTTTTTCCAAAGAGGTTTTTCAATTTCTTCTCATGTCTTAGATGGAGTTGATTTCCTTTATTCTGAGTGTCAAGAGCCAGTTTGAAAATAAAAGAACTTGGGCCGGGTGCGGTGGCTCACACCTGTAATCCCAGCACTTTGGGAAGCTGAGGCAGGTGGATCACGGGTCAAGAGTTCAAGACCAGCCAGGCCAACATGGTGAAACCCCATCTCTACTAAAAATACAAAAATGAGCTGGGCGTGGTGGCGGGCACCTGTAATCCCAGTTACTCGGGAGGCTGAGGCAGGAGAATCACTTGAACCTGGGAAGCAGAGGTTGCAGTGAACTAAGTCACACCACTGCACTCCAGCCCGGGTGACAGAGCAAGACTCCATCCCCCTCCCCCCACCAAAAAAAAGGAAAGAAAAAAGAAATTAAGAGCAATTTATTTTTCCACTCAGAAAAAAAAAGACTTTGTTACACTGTCTTGGCCAAGGAAATACTTAAGTTTGTGTTGAGAATTTGGAGGCTTCAGTAGTGGAAAGGTCACTGAATTTGGAGTCTGAAAACCAAAATCGTCCCAGCTCTGCCACTAGCTGGCTGGGGGGCACTTTCTGAAATAGCGATGATGAAAATGATGATGATAGTGGTGGTGGTGGGGGTGGTGGTGATAGTGACAATAATGATGACAGTGGTGGTGATGGCGATAATGATGACGGTGCTGCTGCTGATGATGATATGACAATGTAGCCAGCAATTATTCAGCAGAAACTTTATATCAGGCACCATGGTAGAGGGCTTGGATTGCCTTAGCTCATTTAATGCTCCCAAAACTATTTGGAATTGCTGTTACTGCCCCTTCTTCTAGATGAGGATGGTAAAGCATGGAGGGATTAAACAAATTATCCAAAGTCACATAGTCAGGACTCAAACCTAAGCTTTCAACTAGCACTGTGCCTCCTTTCATAACCCTATTGACATTTCTAGACCTTAGTTTGTTCATCTGCAATACAAGGAATTAGATCAGAGGGTTTTTACCAGGAGTACATGACAGTATCACCTGGAAAGGTACTTAAAACTACAGATGCCCTGACCCTGTCTAGACCTACTAAATCAGAATGCTGCAGAGGGTAAGGCTCCAGGACATGTATTTTTTGTTAAGCCTGGATGGGCCCAGGCAACTATATATTTAAGTACCTTCATCAGAAGTGATTCTGATGACCCCAATGAGAGCCAGTGAACCAACATACTGACACTGGTCCCTTCTGTCTCCTCTGGTTTTCATCTGCATGTGCCAGCGTGTTTCCTGGAACACTAATCCTTAACATGGTTCATGACCAGGGGTTCCTGGGGTGATTCAGTTGTAGAAATACCATCATCTCCCTTTTCTCCATTGTGGAGACTCCCAGCGCTGCCTGAGGCTACTTCATGAGGAGGGGTGACCAGAGAGTGGTGATGCCAAGCCCCACCTGCTACTCCGCTTGACTCAGCCTCTCACAGAGATGCTGTCAATGTGAGCTGAGGACCATGGCTGCTGAGCTTTTCCACCCAGTCTTCTCAGGAAGTCACCTCTCCACTGTCCCTCTGCCAGGACACTGCAATGAGTTTTCTCCAGTTTCCTCCTGCAACTCCAGCTTATGCTGTCTCCCTCAGGCCATTGCCTCCTTCCATCAGTGTGGCTTGGAGGGACTGGGACAAGGATGAAGGAAGAGGGACTCATCCTTCTCGTTGCCACTCTATCCCAAGCCCGACCTCTTTTTTTGAGAGAAAATCTCACTCTGTCACCCAGGCTGAAGTGCAGTGGTGCAATCTCAGCTCACTGCAACCTCCGCCTCCCAGGTTCAAGTGATTCTCGTGACTCAGCCTCCCAAGTAGCTAGGATTACAGGCGCCCGCCACCACATCCAGCTAATTTTTGTATTTTTAATAGAGATGGGGTTTCACCATGTTGGCCAGGCTGATCTCAAACTCCTGACCTCAAGTGATCCACCCACCTTGGCCTCCCAAAGTGAGTTATAATTTCTAATCTTGTGGCTAATTTGTGAGTTTTACAAAGGCAGTCTGATCCCCAGGCAAGGAGGGGGTTTGTTCTGGGGAGGAGCTCTTAATATCTTTGTTTCAAAGTTAAACTGTAAACTAAATTCTTTCCAAAGTTAGCTTGACCCATGCCCAGGAATGAACAAGGGCAGCTTGAAGATTAGAAGCAAGATGGAGTCAGTTAGGTTAGATCTCTTTCACTGTCTAATTTTCTCACTGTAATAATTTTTGCAAAGATGATTTCAAATTATTTTCATTTCCTTCATGATAAAGTAGTCAAAAGCATAGAAACAGAAAGTAGTAAGGTGGTTACCAAGGACTTGGGGGTGGAGGAGCTAGTGTCTAATGAGTATTGAGTTTCAGTGTTGTGAGATGAAAAAGTTCTAGAGATCTGTTGCACAATAATGTGAATATACTCAACATTACTGAACTGTACACTTAAAATGATTACGATAATAAATTTATTTTGTTAGATAATAAATTCAATGTTACATGTTTTTACTATAATAAAAACAATTTTTTTTTTTTTTTGAGACGGAATCTCACTCTGTCACCCAGGCTGGAGTGCAGTGGTGCGATCTCGGCTCACTGCAAGTCCGCCTCCCGGGTTCACGCCATTCTCCTGCCTCAGCCTCCCGAGTAGCTGGGACTACAGGCGCCCGCCACCATTCCCAGCTAATTTGTTTTGCATTTTTAGTATAGACGGGGTTTCACCATGTTAGCCAGGATGGTCTCAATCTCCTGACCTCATGATCTGCCCGCCTTGGCCTCCCAAAGTGCTGGGATTATAGGTGTGAGCCACCGCACCCAGCCAATAAAAACAATTTTTTAAAGGGATCTGAGATCAAACTGAAAGTCATTGCTTTAAACCAATCGTATGTTGATGACACCCACATTTATATCTGCCACAGCTCAAACCTCTCCCCTGCATGTGGGCTCATGCATCTTGGTCAGAGGTGTCCTAACCAGAGTGATTCCATCTTTAATAAAGCTGGGATAAAGCCAAACCTGCTGAGTTACATTCCCAGGGAGCTGGGCACTCTTGGTCACAAGATGTTTATGGTTGAGGGAATGAGTTAATAGTGTTAACTAACTAAATAAAGACCCAGAACTTATGGAAACGTCCCAGTACTTTAAGAAGAAAAAGGATTTTTAGTTTAAGAACAGGTTTTGCTTTAAAGATAATAGTAACAGGAAAGTAACAATACTAATAGACTGTTACAAGCTGATCACAGGCCTTTGTGATAGAGTACACTATTCTTAATAACTTAGATAAGCCAGCACTACGTTTAAGGTAGTGCATTCCTCCTCTTGCTTTCTGAGGACGCCCTACTTTGTAATTGAGTAGCCTCTAATAAACTTAACTTCAATATATTCTGTGACTCGCCCTGAATTCTTTCCTGTGCAAGATCCAAGAGCCCACTCTTGGGGTCTGGGACAAGACCCCTTTTCTGGTGATAGCTTCTGCCTGCCGGACACCTCCACTTGGATGTCTAATCAGCATCTGAAATCTATGTCTAAAACCCAGCTCTTGACCTGCCCCCTACATACAACCCTACATCTGCTTCTACAGTCTTCACCATTTCTGCTTTTGCTAATTCAATTCTTCCATTGGCCAAAAAGCTAGGAATCATCTTTGGTTCCTTTCTTTCTCTCAGTGTTTATGACCAGTTCATGACTGAATCTTCTCAGCTCTACCTTTTAATCCAACCACTTCTCACCCCTATCTCTTCTGTGACCAACCGCACTGACTCACCTGCACTCTCATAAGTGGCTCCCTGCTTCTTCCCTTGCCCCTACAGTCTATTCTCCTCCGGCCACACTGGCCTCCTTGTGGCTCCTCAAACACACGAGGCCCAGGTCTTGACTCAGAGCCTTTGTGCTGGTTGTTCTTTTTGCCTAAAATTATTTCTCCAGTTATCCCCAAGGCTCACTCCATATCCATCTCACCATGTGGCCTTCCTCATGGCATGACTGTCTCAGGGTAGTCAGATTTCTTTTTTTTTTTAGACGGAGTCTCACTCTGTCACCCAGGCTGGAGTGCAGTGGCATGATCTCAGCTCACTGCAAGCTCCGCCTCCCGGGTTCACGCCATTCGCCATTCTCCTCCCTCAGACTCCTGCGTAGCTGGGACTACAGGCGCTTGCCATCACACCCGGCTAATTTTTTTTTTTTTTTTGTATTTTTAGTAGAGACAGGGTTTCACCGTGTTAGCCAGGATGGTCTCGATCTCTTGACCTTGTGATCCGCCCCCCTCAGCCTCCCAAAGTGCCGGGATTACATGTGTGAGCCACCACGCCCGGCGGGTAGTCAGACTTCTTACGTGAAAGTTCAAAACTCCAACTACATCATTTTTCGTGACTCAGCCTTGGAAAACACAGTGTTGCTTCTGCATTCTGTATTGGTGGAAGCAGTCGCCAGCGACTCAGGATCAAGTTGAGGGGAATTAGACTCCGCCTCTTGATGGGAGAGTGGCAAGGTCACATTGTGGAAAAACACAAGGGATGGGAAATCGTGTTGTGACCGTCTTTGGAAAATACAATCTGACACAGTTCACTTTTCCCAGTCCACTTTTAGCAGATTTCTATTTCAGATACCATTTCTGCCTAACAAATTATCCTGAAACTTAGCAGCTTAAAGCTATCATTTTATTTGTTTATTGCTCACGGATTTTGTGGGTCAGGAATACAGGAAGGGCTCAGCAGGGCAGTTCCCACCTAGGATCACTTACACGGTTGCAGTCAGATGTCGGCTGAAGCTGCCATCATTTCATGGCTTGACTGGGTAGGACGTCCAAGATGGTGCAATCACACGGCTGGCAGGTGACACTGGTGTCAGCTAGAAGCTCCACTGGGCTATAGATGTGGACTCTCCAGCAGGGAGTTCTCAGTGAATCAGATTTCTTACATAGCATCTGGCTCCCACAGAGAACAATCCCAAGGCAACCAGATGGAGACTGCACTGTCTATTCCCACCTAGCCTCAGAAGTTCCATAGCATCACTTGCTGCGTTCTTTAGGTTACAAGCAATTCACAAAGGTCAGCCAAGATTCAAGGGGAGAAGACATAGAATCCTCCCACCCACCACCACTACCTCTGGGTGAGAGTAATGTCAAAGACATGCTTATGAACATGTTTTAAAATTGCCATACTCATCTCCTTCAAGTTTGCTAAAATGTCACCTTCTCTTTTTTGTTTTTTTAGTTTTTGAACATTAAAAAAAAATAGAGACAGGGTCTTGCTATGTTTCCTAGGCTGGTCTTGAACTCCTGAACTCAAATGATCCTCCCACCTAGGCCTACCAAAGTGCTAGGATTACAGGTGTGAGCCACCATGCCCAGCCAAAATGTCACATTCTAAGAGAGACTTTTTCTTCCCACCCAACCCCCGATCCCAGCCTTGCAATTCCTTTTCCATGGTTTCTTTTTCCCCCATAGTATCTGTCACCTTCTAACTTAACATTTAAATTCTCTTTATCATGCTTATTGTCTCCCTCCTCTAGAATATAAGTTCCATGAGAACAGAGATTTTTGTCCATTCAGTCCACTGCTGAAGCCCAGGCATCTAAGCCAGGAGTCAGCAAATGGCCATATCTGACCTGCTGCTGTTTTTTTTAAATAAAGTTATGTTGAAACACAGCCATGTCCATTCACCTATGTATTGTCTATGGCTGCTTTTGCACCATAATGACAGACTTAAGCAGTTGCAACTGAGACCATATGAGCCACAAAGTTTAAAATATTTACTTCTGGCTCTTTACATATAAATTTTGTCAACCCCTGATCCAGAATAATACCTGGAGTGCTCCATAAATATTTATTGATGAATAAATAGCTGTGATTTAACCAAATACAACTTTTCTATTACCAAACAGTTTCTATTACCAAACTCTGTTTTTGTTTTTAAGTATAAAACAGAGAATGGGCACAAAGAGGCCCATTTCAGTGTTTTTTCCCAAAATAAAGAAACATTTTGCCCAAAGGTGAATTGAAGTCCCCATCCCTTACAAGATAAACTGCTCACAAGTATGAAATGGCAAATCTCCAGCTGCAATTGCTTCCTGGACTCCTGGAAGCAACTGCAACCAGGGGCTCATTTTTAAACATTTGGAGGTTCCCCAGAGTCCTGTGGTATGGACTTTGTTTTTTGTCTTCATCCAATCCTGTTTTCAAAACTTATTTGACCACAGGGTCTAATATTGTTGATGAAACACTCTTTACTATCTCAGGGAACTACTTGACTCATGGAGAGAGTGACTGTGATATTATGCAATAGATATTTGGTCTTCATCCCCATTTCCTGGCATACAACTCCTAAAATTCTTGGAATCTTCCAAGTGCTATGTTTTTTGTATGCTAATGTTGACTTGTTAGTAATGCCGAATCTGCATGGGTCTGCAGCAACTCGATTCTGACCTCCTCAAAGGAAAGAATTCAACTGAGGGGCATAAGGCAGAGGGAGAAACAGAGGCAAGTTTTAGAGCAGGAGTGAAAGGAAGTAAAATACACTTGGAAGAGGGCCAAGTGGGTGACCTGAGAGATCCAAGTGCCCCATCTGGCCCTTGACTTGGGGTTTTATACGTTGGCATGCTTCTGGGGTTTTGCATCTCTCTTCTTTGATTTTTTCCTTCAGGACAGCTTGTCCTCAGTACACTGGCCTGCCAGCACTTGGGAGGGGCTGCATGCGCAGTGTGTTTAGGAAGTTGTACATATGCTCACTTGAGGCGTTTTTCCCTTACCAACTGAGTGTTCTTAGGTGAAGGTCATCTACCAGTTAAACTCCACCATTTTGCTGCTTAGTGTGCATGCTTCAGCCCATTTTCCCCAATTCCTGAGATCTTACTGGGAAGCCACTGATCACCAGCTTCAAGTGTTTTCTGTCTATTGGGAGACTGTCTAGTTGCCAGCTGCAACTAATTACTATTTTAGAGAGACAGTTTGACAACTGCCTGACCATCATCGGAGAGTTGCCTGACCATCATCGGAGAGTTGCCTGACATTCCTGGTGGGGAGGAGGGCCCCCTTGTGCCCTGCTCATGTCTGCCTAACTACCTACTCTAACATTTCCCCCCTAAAGAGTCCAAGACCCAATTCTTTGGGAAAATGGACGAAGAACAGTCTTCTGTAACTGCTTCCTGCTGACAGAGGGGCAGTGGTGGTTGTTCTGTGGTTCTTGGCCTCTTGTTAGCTGTCAGGGCAGGTGGCTCCATGGGTTGGAGTTGAGTTTCACTCAGCTCCTGTAGCATTTGGGAAGCTGAGTGAAGTCCATCTGCCAGTCCTCCCCAGGGTATGTGCCTCTCCTTTGGATTGCACTTATTAATGGAGGGGGCTTCTCTCTCAGAGGATTATTTATGGTGCACAAGGTGCAGGCTTGACAAATCTGTTGAATAGTTTTATTTAGTGCCTTCCTGCTAAACGCCCATTTACAAATTTGCCCTAGTCTGTCCTTTCCAAGGCGGCAGGAGTTGTGGAAACTCTTGATGACTTTCTTTGGGAGGCTTTAGGTAGATAGAGAAGCCCTCCCAACCTGTACCAACCACTGATTTCTTCCTTATACCCACGTTGGGTGGCCCAATCTATTTCTTCCTTAGTGTACTGGAAAGGGGGCAGTTCACTGGTGGGAGAGGGGAGCGAGGCCTCCATGAAGGTATTTTTTGAGACGGCTGCCTCTTTAGCTTTTTGGTCAGCTAACCGTTTTCCTCATGCAGTTTCATCAGAACCCTTCTGGTGTCCTCTACAGTGCACTACTGCCACTTCCCAGGGCAAATGAACAGCCTCTAGGAGCTCTAAGATTTGAGGCCCATACTTAATAGGAGTATCCCAAGCTGTTAGGTACCCCCCTTTCCTTTCAGATAGCCACATGGACATGAGACACCAGAAAGGCGTATTTAAAATCTGTATACATGGTTATTCTTTTTCTTTCCCTAGTTTTAGGGCTCTGGTTAGTGCAATGAGTTTGGCTACTTGCACTGAGGTCCCCGGGGACAGAGCTTTAGCCTCCAGAACTAGATGAAGGGACACTATAGTGTACCCTGCATATCTAGTTCCATTCCAGACAAAACTACTTTAATCTGAAAACCATATTTCGTCCGGATTATCTAGGGGCTGATTCTTTGAGTCTTCCCAGCTGGCATAAATTTGGTTAAGTATCTCACAACATGAATGTGTTGAGTTATAGTCTCCTCGTAGTGGCAGTAAGGAGGCTGGGTGAAGGGTGGAATACCACTCAACTGTTACCTGTTGGTTTTCTAACAACAAGACTTGGTACTTTAGCAGTCTGTTATCAGTGTGCCATTATGGCACTTTTATGTTCAATAAGGGGCCTACTTGCTGGAATGTCAGGAGTCGGACTGACAGTCCCATGGTGATTTTAAGGGCCTCCTCAAGTAGGATGGCCACTGCAACAAGTGTGACCACACTTGCACTACTGGGTCTAGGTTCTTTAAAAATAATTCTAGGAGAAGTACCTCCAGATACTCAGTTGTTTTCAGTCTTAGACCTCAAAGACACTTTCTTTCGTATCTCCCTAGACTCATCCTCCCAATTTTATTTGCATTTGAGTAGGAGAATAAGAAAGCAAGGCATCAACAGCTCACCTGGACAGTGCTTCCACAAGGTTTCACAGATAGTTCCCATTTGTTTGGGCAAGCCTTGGCTAGAGATTTGCAGGACCTGACTCTTGAGGTGGGGCAGATGGCTCCTACAGCCTACCGGATGTTTGATTGGCTCGATGGTTTGACTTAGAACTCCTAGGGCTACACCTTGCCTTTCAGTGACAAAAAGCTGAAATGGATTGGTTAGTGTGAGTAGCCCAAGGTCTGGGGCTTGTAAGAGGGCAGTTTTTAGCTGTATAAAGTCTTGCTCCTGATCATTTACCCAAAGAAGTGGGTGCCTATCAGTCCTTTCTTTTAGAGCCTGATATAAGTACTGAACAATCCCACCATGTCCCAGTATCCAAACTCTGCAATATCCTGTGATCCCTAGAAAGGCCTGATGCTGCTTTTGGGTGGCTGGGAGAAGTATTTTAAAGATGGCCTGTATCCATTCTGGGGAGAACTTATGTTCTCCAGGGGTCATGATTATCTCCAAGTATTGGACCTCTTGTCTTAGTAGCTGTGTCTTGGCCTTGGACACCTTGTGCCCTCTGTCTGCCAGTAAATTTAGTGTCTGGACTAGATGTTGGATTCCCAGCTGTCTTGTGGGGGAGCAGATTAACAGGTCATCCATATGCTGTAGGAGCCATCTGCCCCACCTCAAGAGTCAGGTCCTGCAAATCTCTAGCCAAGGCTTGCCCAAACAAATGGGAACTATCTGTGAAACCTTGTGGAAGCACTGTCCAGGTGAGCTGTTGATGCCTTGCTTTCTTATTCTCCTACTCAAATGCAAATAAAATTGGGAGGATGAGTCTAGGGAGATACGAAAGAAAGTGTCTTTGAGGTCTAAGACTGAAAACAACTGAGTATCTGGAGGTACTTCTCCTAGAATTATTAATATATATGGGTTGGGGACCACTGGGACTACTGCCTCATTTATGATTCGCAGGTCCTGGACTAGCCTGTATTTGTCATTGCTCTTTTTTTTATTTTTTGAGACGGAGTTTTGCTCTTATTCCCCAGGCTGGAGTGCAATGGCGCAATCTTGGCTCACTGCAACCTCTGCCTCCCAGGTTCAAGCGATTCTCCTGCCTCAGCCTCCCGAGTAGCTGGGATTATAGGCATGTGCCACCATGCCTGGCAATTTTTTTTTTTTTTTTTTGTATTTTTAGTAGAGAGGGGGTTTCTCCATGTTGGCCAGGCTGGTCTCAAACTCCTGACCTCAAGTGATCCACCCGGCTCAGCCTCCCAAAGTGCTGGGATATAGGTGTGAGCCACTGCGCCTGGCCTCATTGCTCTTCTTAACAGGTAGGATGCAGGTGTTACAGGGCAAGTTATCGAGTATTAATAATTCACGTTACAGAAAATTTTCAATCAGGAGCCAAAGTCCCTCTTTGGCCAGCTGCCTTCTACAAGGATAGCAAGAAGGATCCTTGAGATGAATTACTACAGGCATTGCCATTATGGCCTTTCCATGTATTCCTGTGGCCCAGACCTCTGGATTAATGGAAAGGTCTGTTAGCAGTTCATCCTGTGTGTGGTTTCCTTGAGGCATAAGATTGCATTTGGAAAAGGAGGTGTTGCCTTAGAGGAAAGGTTAACTAAGCCTCTAGTCTAAATAAACTATCTCTACCCAAAAGGGGCATAGGACATTCTGGCATCATTAAAAATGAATGAGAAAAGACAGTTTCCCCCTACAGGCACCAGAGAGGAGGAGTAAATCTTCAGCTTATAGGCACCTCATTTAGCCCCAGCACCAGCGAGGATTTGGAGGATAATTGCTCAGGAAAAGAGGTAAGCACTGAGTAGTCCACTCCCATATCCAAAAGAAAACTTATAGTCCTACCTGCCATGTCCAAAGCAGCCCTTGGGTCTGTCCCTTCAACAGTGATGTTCAATCTGGGAGCTGGCTGATGTGTAGGGCTCCTTCAGCTCAAGGCCATCAGGGGTTGGGATTCTGTCCCAGAGTCCCTTCGATCCTCAGGGCAGTCCCATTTTCAGTGGCCAAGCTTGTGGCAGTGGGGGCAAGCCATGCGGGGCTTTTTTCCATCAGTCCTATTGGGGCAGTTTGCCTTCCAGTGGCCTGCCCTCCTGTGCTGATGGCAGTTACCTGCGAGGGTAATCTGAGGGCAACCTGGAGGGGGCTGGCAGACTTGTAGTGCAGCCAAGAGTTGGAGCTGCTACTTTTCCTTTTGCCTCCCTTTTCCTGAGCTCTTTCCTCCTTCTCCTGGTTTTGGTTGTAGAAGATTGAGGAAGCTATTTTGAAGATATCAGGCCCGGGGCGTTGGGGCCCAGTGCTAGCTTTTGGAGTTTCCTCTGAATATCTGGGGCTGCCGGAGTTAGGAAATGGTCCTTTAGGGTCAGTTGTCTTTCTGGTGTGTCTGGGTCTAGGTTAGTATGTTTCATTAGTGCCTCTTGTAGCCTCTCTAGGGGTTTTCAAGAGGGCCTTGATCTATTAAGGCCGATTTATTATAGTTCATAGGCTCTGTTTTGCTAGCTTTCATTCCTTCTACCAGACAGAGAAACATGTGGTTCCTTGCCCATATACCGCCCCCAGGTATGGTAACCCGAATTAGGGTCAACCTAGGGAACTGCGGTGGCCCCCACAGTGTTGCCACCAGAGTCAGTCATGTGCATTGTAGTTATAAATTGCTGGGTCACCTCTGTAATGGAGTCACATTCTCCCTTAAACAGAGTTTGCCATAGTATGACTGAGAGGGCCCTCCAGGTGAGTTCAAATGTTTAGCCCAGTTTACGGAACGCTTTGATGTATTTTTCAGGGTCTTCCATAAACTTCCTACTTCCATCTTAATCTGGCTCAGGTCTTACATAGTGAACGGAGTCTGGACTCTAGTGGGTCCACTGGGGCTGCTAACCTCTTGAAAGGGGCATAACTTAAGGGGGTGGTGTCCAGAGGGTGGCCCTGGCTAGAAAGAGCAAGGATCCAAGGCTGGAAGACTTGGATATTAAGGGGTAGAAGGGGCAGTGGGGTTTGACCCAAGCTCTGCCCTTGGTTCCTCTGGGGCTTGAGCCCTGGGTAAACCCAATAAGAGGCCTCCCAAACCAACTGGTGGCAGCTGCCTGACAATGGCCGCTATCATCACTGGATCCATTTTACAAGCCTGACAAAGGCCATGGTTGTTTCTTAGGGCCACGAAGGCCTGTACATAAAGGATTTCTGTTCATTTTCCCTGTTGACAGCAAAACAAATCTAGTTGATGGATTGTATTAAAATTTATGCTTCTGTTTTCTGGCCAACATTACTGGTCCTGGAGATTTTATTCAACCCAAGCTGTGTTACAGAAAAATATTAGCCTTTTCCTTTTTAGGGTTTGGGGTTCAAACTTTTCTCCCTTCTTGAGGATGCATCCGAGGGGCATGTCCCATGGTATGAATATGTGATTATCCATCTGTGAAGAGAGAATAGAGGATTAAAAAAAAGGGAAAAAGAAGGTATCCTCTCTTATTTCCCTATTATCCCTTCCTGAACAGGGTATGCCCCATTCATCCTTGGGGCTCCAGAGTGAACCGGTCTTACCTGGTACCCTTAAGCTTGCTCCCATCTCATCATGTTTATCCACCTGAGAAGACAGGAGATACCAGAGTGAATAGGGGTCCCCTTATTCATCCTTGGAGTTTCAGAATGAACTGGTCTTACGGATACCCCTAACCTTGCCTTCATCTCTGTTCTAGGGTAATCTATTCTGTGCCTGTAGCCTGGGACCAGCCTTCATCTCTGTCCGGTGGGTACTTTTGTCTCTTGAGCCTGTGGCCTTGGGCCAGCCTATATCCTTGTATCCATGAACTTACAGTGACTCTCTCAGAGCATTCTAGCAACAAAGTGAGTATCTCTTTTCTTATCATCTCATTTCACATTTTTCTTAAAGTAGATGAGAAGCCTGTGTCTGTACCAGTTCAGCCAACTGCCAGAATGGAATGGACTTCTTTCCCTTCAAATATGACCTTGAAGGTCTGGATGCATATTGGCAAGGGCAT
Source organism: Homo sapiens (assembly GCF_000001405.40). Taxonomy (NCBI): domain Eukaryota; kingdom Metazoa; phylum Chordata; class Mammalia; order Primates; family Hominidae; genus Homo; species Homo sapiens. The sequence continues at coordinate 46,000,497 of NC_000003.12, read as the reverse complement.
GGAAGTGATTCAAGAAATGGAGGAAAACGTGTATGTGAGATTCCTCGTCCTCCTCCCTAACCATCACCTGATGGTTGCCTGACATTCCTTGGCAGGGGTGAGGGGGTCTCCTGCCCTGCTCATGTCTGCCTAGCTACCTGCAATAAGAGACTGACAGCTTCAGGGTGGGGCTGGTCACCATAGACAGAGGCATGATTAGAGGGTTGGGACTTAGCTCCACCACCAACCTACCAAGAGGGGAGAGAAGCTGAAGGTTAAGTTGATCACCAATGGCCAATGACTTAATCAATCATGCTTATATAATGAAGCCTCCATAAAAACCCAAGTGGCCTGGGTTCACAGAGTTTCCATACCACGTGGAGGTTCCTGGGGGGTGGTATGCCCAGGGAGAGCATGGAAGCTCTGGCGCCCCTTCCCCCATACCTTGCCCTGTGTATCGTCTCTTTATCTGTATCCTTTGTAATATCCTTTTAATAAACTGGTAAATGTGTTTCCCTGAGTTCTGTGAGGTGCTTCAGTAAACCAATCAAACCCAAAGAGGAGGTCTTGGGAACCCCAACTCAAAGCTGGTCAGTCAAAAGTTCTGGAGGGCCGGACTTGTGACTGGTATCTAAGGAGGGAAGCATGATTCTTGGGTTGTGGGCCCCAAAGTGGCAGGCTCTGACACCATCTTCAGGTAGACAGTGTCAGAATTCAATTGGAGGACACCCAGTTGGTATCTGCTGCAGAAGTGATTGCTTGCTTTGTGGTGGAAAGGAATCCTCAGGAAATGCAGAAGTCTTCTGTGTTGATTGTTGTGGTGTGAGAACAGAGGAAAACCGGTTTGAGAGTTTTTCCCGAACAGTAACTATAATGTATTGAGAAAATGGGACACCACTGGGAGTGAACAGAGGTGCTGTGAATATTCATGCTGGGATAACAGGGCTCTCTTGGCTGAACCAGGAAGTATAGTCCCCTTATTCTGTGGGAAATGCTATTTTCTATTATTATCACTTAAAATGGAAAAAGTCTAAATCTGTATTATCAAGAGCTTATTTTAAAATTTCAAAAGTTTTCAGTTGATGAAGGGTTGAGGAGAAAAGTCAATAGTAGAGTTATGGAGAAAAAATTCTGGAAAATATACATGTCAGAATTCAAACCAAATTCCGGAGCCCTGAGGTCCACATCCTTCTGCATTGTCTATGAATCATTACTGAAAAGCTGTGTTCTGTAGGGGAAGATAGCTCAACCAGCTTAGAGCTGTTGATTCTGCAGTCAACTTCTGATTCCTTCCGTGGGTCTTACACTCGAATTTTCCAGCAGAGAGATTAATTGACCAGTGACTATCAAGAGGAGGCTGACTCTTTTGAGCTGCCACCCCATGCCATTGGCATGGCTGGCATCCACTTCTGGCCTGACCAGCAGGGGCCACAATGGTAGGGTCCTTGGCAGAGCACATGGCTGCCCCATGGAAGGAGCTGCCATCACAGTGGTTAAAGGCTTAAACTCTAATTGGACAGACCTGAGCTCAAAATTTGTCTCTGCCACTATAAGGTTTGGGCTTTAGGCAAATTAGCTAACTTCTCTAAGGCTGTTTGCTTATCTGCTTAATGTGGATAATTATGTATCATGAGACTGATATAAGGATAAAACTAAACCAGGTGTGGAATACACATAACATGGCACCTGGCACATAAAAAGCCCTTAACAATCATTCCAAGAGCCTCATCCCTCCTCAGGGCCGTGGGCACGGTCAGCTTCCCGTGAGGAATAGTCTCCTCTTCTGCCACTTGTTAAGGCTGTAAGGAGAGGGTGTGGGGATTTGGTGATTTTGAATCTGATCTCTTAATGTGTATTCACATCAGAACACAAGAATATGCTGCGTTTGTTTGTATGTTTGTTTGAAAGATTATAGTTTGAAATACTCTGCTGTATCTATAAAGGAAATCCAAGTTAAACTACCTGAACAGTAGTGATTTTGTTAACCTTCCCTGTATCTGACAGTGTGCTGGGTGACAGAAGACCCCTCAGGAGCCCCCAGCTCTACCCCAGCCTCCACCACTCTCCACCACTTATTAGGTGGGTGGACCAGGACAGTCATTTAACCTCTCTGAGCTTCATCTCCTCATCTTCAAAGTATGATAATGAATACTAATTATGTCACCAAGTGGCTGCAAGTTTTAAATATAATGCTGAATGGGTTTTTGTTGTTGTTTTTTGTTTTTTTGCTGGGGGGCTAGGGACTGGCATATAGGTCCTCAATAAATATTAGGTTTGTTTTCCTTTTCTTTTCAAACTCCTTTTGGGTTTAAGTTTCTGTGGTATTATGATGTCTGTCTATCTGTCTGTCTATCTATCTATCTATCTATCTATCTATCTATCTATCTATCTATCTATCTTGGTTTTCTTCCATGGTTCCTGGCTCATAACTCCCATAGCCCTTGTTACAGTCTTTTGTTATGTTAGGTATGTTAGGCTTCAGGAAACCGAATCTCTCTGGCCTTCTGCCCTCCTTTCACCTGCTTTAAGGCAGGACTCTAATCTTCCCCCGCCTTTCTTTCTTTTTTTTTTTCTTTAAGATGGAGTTTTGCTCTTGTTGCCCAGGCTGGAGTGCAATGGCTCGATCTTGGCTCACCGCAACCTCCGCCTCCCGGGTTCAAGCGATTCTCCTGCCTCAGCCTCCCTAGAAGCTGGGATTATAGGCATGTGCCACCACGCCCGGCTAATTTTGTATTTTTAATAGAGATGGGGTTTCTCCATGTTGGTCAGGCTGGTCTCAAACTCCCGACCTCAGGTGATCCGCCCACCTCGGCCTCCCAAGGCGTGAGCTGGGATTACAGGCGTGAGCCACCGTGCCCAGCCGCTTCCCCCGCCTTTCTGATTATAGGTCTTAAGACCCTCCCAAGAGAGGGTCCTCCCCTATACCCTGGGGGAAGCAATGCTGACATCACGAAGCTTCCATAAAAGCCCAAGAGGACTGGATTCGGGGAGCTTCGGGATAGCTGAACACGTGGAGGTTACTGAAGAGTGGTGCATCCAGGGAAGGCATGGAAGCCCCACGCCCCTTCCTCCACACCTCATCCTACGTGTCTCTTTATCTGCATCCATTGCAGTATCCTTTATAATAGACCAGTAAATGTGTTTCTCTGAGTTCTATGAACCACTTTAGCAAATTAGCTGAACCCAAAGAGGGTGTCGTGGGAACTCAACTTGAAGCCAGTCATTCCAAAATTCTGGAGGCCTAGACTTACAACTGGTGTTTAAAGGTGAGGAGGCAGTCTTGGGGACTGAGCCCTCCACTTGTGGGATCTGATACTCCAGGTAGATAGTGTCGGAATTGAATTGGAGGACACCCAGGTGCGGTCCACTGCTCAGTGTGTGGGGAAAACCCCACACACATCTGGTCACCAAATTATTCTCCTGTGTTGATGATTGCTGTTGTGTAAGAGTAGAGGAAAAATACGGTTTGAGGGAGGTTTTTTTTTCCCCACACAGTTTCAAACAAGGATATTGGACCAGATGACCAACATTAAAATCTCTCTCATCCTTAATATTGCATGAAGCTGTTCAGACAGTGGTTGGAGCAATGATTTCTCTTAGACCACTACATTGATTACTTTTCTCTTTGTCATCTTCTCACTCCCCCCGTTTTCTTTCTGTTCTCCTTTCTGTTAACAAGAGTGGAAATCACTTCTATTCATGTACCTCCTCCCAACCCCACCCCCAAACTGACTACTCCATCCATCCAACTCACTGTTTTAGCTACATCTAATTTATAAAATTAGATGGCTAATGAGATGTCATAGCCTAAAATCGACTAAGAAATTGATTTTCTTTCTGTATTATTGTACCCAGACAACACCCTGCTTCCTCAGTTTAGAATGTTGGGCCACCACGGTTCCTGACTGGATACCACGAGCTAGGTCCTACAAGGGAGAGAGCTGTTTCTGGCTTAAATGATGAGAACTAGGGCAGAGAGTAAAGGATAGCCAGCCACAGCTAAGGAATGCAGTCAGTTAGAAGCCAAAGTCCCCGTGTAGTGTTCCTCTTTTCTACTGTGCCCATAGCGGACACTGATTGAATGCATTTTGTTCTATCGTATTCAGTTCCACAGTGCTTTGCAACACCCATCTTATAAATAGAAGTTGGGCTGAGGATGGGGCCAAAGTTAGGGGTGGTAGTTCATAAACACGTAGTTTTTGAGCACTAATTTTAAGTAAGACCCTGATATTAAGAAATAAGGGGGATTAAAAGATGGGAAATTAGGCCCACCAATACATGTTTTTCTATTTCCCAATATATCAAAATATTATCATTTTAACATGCAATCACTAAAAATTAATGAGCTAGTTAACATTCTTCGGACTCTTTGGTACCTAGGTGTATTTCACACTTACAGCACGTGCACGATTCAACTCGAACTAGCTACCTTTGGAGTGCTCCTTAGCCACACAAGAACAGCGTTGTTGTCAAGATGCCAGACCTTTGATTTGTGGCCCTCCGGGGTTGCAGGCGTTAACCTGGGGCCAGCATGGGTCGCGGGTGGGACAGTCGGTCCGGGGACTGGGCGGTGGGAGCACTTAAACCCCGCCCTGCGGAGTCGCCGGGAGTTGTAGTCGGAGCCCCGGGAGTCCGATGGGAGTTGCAGGCCTCAGCCCCGGGGAGCACGCCGGGAGTTGTAGTCCGCCCCCGCCACCCTCTTGGTGTGCGCGTCATGGCCGTCAGCACCGCGTTCCCGTCCTCTTCCGCTTGGCCCCAGAAAGTTTCGGTTCTGCCCGGCGGTGGACCCACGAGCGCGTAAGTGCCGCGGAAGACCGGCTGGACTCTGGGGGCACCTGGGTCGCTCACGATCCCTGAGGCGAGAGCTTCGCTCGGGGCGCGGCTTGTCACCTGTTGCCCTTACAGTCCCCGCCCATCCCAGGTCTCCCTCAGACCCTGCCCGAGCGCCCCCGTCCTTGCCCAGCGGGCCGGGAAGCACCTCGGGCAGGTGGAAGCCGGCCCAGGCACCCAGCCTGCCTCTGTTGGTCGGTTAGAAAGACAGACCCCAAACACCAGTTCCAAGACCCCGGAGGGCGGAGGGCCCGCAAAGGAAAGGAGCCCACCATGCGGCGTCTCAGAACAAGCCTGAATGTCTTAGCGCAGGATGGGGCAGGCCCCGGAGTTCCTGCCTGCGTGGTCTTTAGGAAGTTTAGTCTCTGGCCCAGTTGGGCCGGGACAGCCCAGACCTTCACTTTGCAAGACTCCGCTGGTGCTCGGATCTCTGCCCTCTTCCCAGGAGGGGAAGAAGCTTCTTTCTTCCTGGCCCATCCTTTGGCCAAGACCTATTCACTATCCACTGCCCCTTGTGCCCATGCGCAGGGTCTCGAGCTAGCCCCCAGGGGTCTTTTCCCGAAACACCTGTTGTCTCTGGTGTGGCGGCACTGCACTGGACTGGAGTCCGTGCTGTTGAAACCTGGCGGGGGTGGGGCGGGGAGGGGGGAGGATGGCGGGATTTTATTTTTTGTAAGAAAAGCACATGTGGTTGACACGTTAACCGCGTGGCCCCCTGTTAAAGCACATGTATTCTCTGATGTCCCTGTCACTCTTCACTGTTCCCATTGGGTGTCCTCTCCAGAAAAAAAAATAGAACACTTGTTGAAACTGCCTGTGTTGGCCAGAGCCTCTCAGCCCCTCTGCTTGTCTTACCACAGCAGTTTCCTTTCCCGACAGAGAAATGGGTCAGGGGCTTTTGCGGGGCAGAGGATCCAGGGCTTAATCTGCTCACTGGTTCTCCTGCCCGTGCAGGCCTTGTGGTCTCAGGCTGCAAGCTTAATTCCCCTGCCATCTGCCTAATGCGGCTGGAGGGTGTTGGGGGCTGGTGTGGGGGAGGGGTGGGGAGCTGGAGCTATCATGCCAAGGTTTTCTGCTTTCAGTAGTTCCCACCTTCTGAAGTGGACCCCTGTTGAGTGAGCTCCACTTGACCCTCCCTTCTGTGACAACCACTGTTCTGAAAGCATTGAATGCCCCATACTAGTTGTGCACCGTGGTTATTATCACCCTGAAAATAAGAGCTAATTGTCACAGTGATGGATCTCAGCCTCCTTTGATTAATAGGATCTCTCCTAAAGGCTCTTGCTTTAGGAAATAGAGTTTATCTGTTTATGTTCAAAGTGACTATCTTTGTGTAGCACTTCATTTACTTTTTAAATTGTTTTTAATATTTTATTAGAAAAATAAACATACAGAATCACTGAAAGGATTGTATGGTGAATATCCGTATACTCAATTCTTAATATTTTACTTTGATTTTTTTTTTTTTTTGCAGTTACTTTAGAGATTGGTAACAGTCTCAGGCAGTGATCCTTTAGCTGTTGTTCCGATGACCTTTGCCCCTTGGGGCTGGGTTTGGAGCACCAGTATAATTTCAGGAGCCAAGTTTTTAACCTGGTCCTTTTTGAGGGGGATGGCCCCCATAGATGTTTGTGATGAGAGGAATCACCCATAACAGAGCAAGATCAGAGCAGCTGGTAGCTTTGACCCATATTGGTCACCAAGGCTATGGACTGCTGACTCAAGAATACAAAGTAGGTACGCAAGAAATGGCAGCCCCCTCACCCCCACCCACCCTGCTTCCCTTTAGGGGAGATGTTTAGCTGATAGGTAACTTTTGTTTACTGAAGATTCCAAAGACACAGCTTTGGTGACTCAAGACTAGAATGTCTTTAAACATGAGGCAGAGGAAGTGTGTTGTCTAGCTGTGGTCTTATGGTGGAAATCACTGGTAGGCACCTAGATTTAGGAACCACGTTCACTGCAAGCAGCCCTAGGCAGCAGGTAAGGGTCATTAACTGGTGCCTGTGATTACAGAGGCAACTTGTGAGCACAGATGAGTCCATTATGGTCAGGGCAACATCTGCTCACGTCATGACTGCTATGTTCTTGTCTTAGTCAAAAGATAAACAGTATTTTGTTTGTGAGCTCAATGCCAGTTTCAAGAAAATAAGAAGTCTTTATTGGTATAAGAGCCTCTATCTGAGCAATTAAATAAATCAATAGGGTGGGAATTGGAATGTTTCTGTGGTTCTACCTATGGAAATGCTGTTTACCTTCTTGCTGTTCGTTGATACATCACAAAAATGGCTGAAATGTCTGTACTACCCCCATAATAAGAGCCATTGCCTTGGAGCAAATGGGCCCCATGGCTTTGAGAAGAGGATGATGGCAGAAGCTGTGCTCAGTTAGGCAAGAGCAGTTTTATCCCTTTTCTCACATGGGAGCCAGTCAACCTGTTGATTTTAGTAACTTCCAGTGGTCCTTCCTGTTCACTTGGATCTCTGTGGCATTTGAAAGGCACCAAGGGCCTGTTTCTCATTAGGCCGGATGCCATTTGGAGGATGTGTACATCAGTGTGGTTCTGATGAAAGACTTAAGGAGAATCTGTGGTTTGGGTATAGTATTGTGGCCCTGTGGCTGGGACCCAAGGGCTGATCTGGCCAACTACCTCAGGAATCTAGAGTACTATACCCTAGGCCAGTCCCAGGAACCCGAGTTAGGGGAAGTCCTTAGCATACAAAAGAAAAGCTTGGACCAAAAAAAGCATTCCAAGAAAACCATTAGCATGCAGGGGGCAAGGCCAAGAGAAGAATCCCTATGTGAAGTCCAGGATAGGGCTGGATAGCTGAATCAGAAACAGTGGTTTAAAATGGAGCTGGAAGGAATTTCCTGAAGTTGACTCTGCAGCCCCAGATGCTTTTTCCAGGGTATCTGTAGACTTGGTCAGGAGCAGGGAGGGGACACTTAGAAGCCTCAGCCACTGAGAATGTCTGTTACCCCCCCTTTCCCACCTCCTTCAAGGGTTGCAATTCTTAATTAATTCACATGAAGGAAGTTTACCTCTCAACATTGCATCTGAAAAAAGAAAGGTAGGAAGAGGTCAAATGACTTCCCCAGGACAGATAGAGTGCCTAAAAATAGTTGAGTAAGCTAAATATACCTTGGGTCTCACCCAACCATGGCATGATCTTTGTTGCATAATACATAATGGAAAGTTCACGTAACTAGTCTGATTCCAAAATCTAAATAGGGTCCCATTTGACAAAACTTGGCTACCACTGGTAAGAGAGAAGAAAATATCTTGCTCATTGCTCCAACTCCAGCTTCAGAGCCATCCTGGGTCCTGCTTGCCCCTCCCATCTGCAGCATGGCCCCACCTTCTGCCTCTCTGCACCTACGCTGGCACTGCTGTTGTCATGCTCCTCCCCAAGAAGTGCAACAGAACCCAGGCCCACCAGCACCTCCCCTCCCCAGGTTGCCTTGTTGATGGTGTCACATGCACACTTTCAGGAATGGAGAGACAAGGGCCTTGGGAGGTGTATTTGTGCTAGGGCTGCCATAACAAAATACCACAAACTGAGTGGCTTAAGCAGCAGAAATGTACTTTCTTACAGTTCTGGAGGCTGTAAGTCCCAGATCAAGCCATTGGCAGGTTTGGCTTCTCCTGAGGCCTCTCTCCTTGGCTCTCAGACAGCCGCCTTCTTGCTGTGGCCTCACACGGCTTTTCCTCTGTGCTCCGCATCCCTGGTATCTCTTGTGTGTGTCCAGAATTCCCCTTATAAACTCACCAGTTCCAATTGGATTTGGGCCCACTCTCATGGCCTCATTTAATCTTCATTACCTCTTTAAAGGCCCTGTCTTCAAATGCAGTCACATTCTGAGGTATGAGGGTTAGGGCTTCAACATCGAAATGCGGTGGGGTGGTGTGCACAATTCACCCCCTGACAGGAGGTTTGGGTTAGCAGGGTTGTTTGTGAGGGTGGCGGTGCTTTTCATTTTCCAGGATGGGGTGAAGGAGGCTGTGGGTAAGGCTTCCTCGGGAACCGAACTGTGGTTCACACTTCCTCCTGTCCACACCAAACCCAGCGAGACTGGAGCAGCTGGCCAAAGGAAGGTGTAGGGAGCATGAGCTGGGCAGGGCATGGCCTTGGCAGAGGGAGCAGAGCATTCAAACCCTGGAGGCAGGGCCCAGCCACAGAAGGGCATCGCAGGGATGCCTGAACATAGGCAGAGGGGAAGAAGGGAAGGAGGAGGGACAAGAAGATGGGCCTATCCCTATCGAGGTCAGGCAGCCCATCTGTAAAGGGCCTCACAAGCTGGGTTAAGAGATTTGTACCCATGTCTGACAGCAGTCACCTGAGCTCTCAGGACACCAGAGGTCTGTTTATAAAGAGAGGCTAGGTAGGCAGTGTGGAGTAGACACACTTCATCCATCCCTGAATTATATTATTCTATTCACTCTGGGAATAATAGCTCACAATATTTTTACAATAATTACAACATAATGTTCACAATTTCTACATGGTGTTTTAAGTGCATTATTTTATTCAACATACAAATAATTTATGCTCAATAAAGGAAAATTGAAAAATCAGAGAAATAGAATTTTTTTAAAAATGTGCTCATGATGGCCGGGCGCAGTGGCTCATGCCTGTAATCCCAGCACTTTGGGAGGCCAAGGCGGGTGGATCACGAGGTCAGGAGATCAAGACCATCCTGGCCAACATGGTGAAACCCCGTCTCTACTAAAATACATTTAAAAAAAAAATTGCCAGTCGTGGTGGCGTGCGCCTGTAGCCCCAGCTACTCACGAGGCTGAGGCAGGGGAAATCACTTGAACCTGGGAGGGGGAGGTTGCAGTGAGCTGAGATCGCGCCACTGCACTCCAGCCTGGCGACAGAGCGAGACTCCATTTCAAAAAAAAAGTGCTCTTGTTGCCACCATTGAAAGATTAGTAGTATTTACATCTTTGTACATTTCTATGCCTCAAAGTTTAGTTTGTATGGTGGGGCAAGGATCTATGTGTTTTGTTTTGTCTAATTCATTCATTCATTCAGCAGTAATTTATTGAGGGCTCTCCATGTGCCAGAACTGTGCTAGGGGAAATCATGAACAGCAACGAAGTTTACAGTCAAGTGGAAAGAATAGAGATTCAACAAAAAATTACCATTGTGACAAATGGCCCCAGAAGCCACAGAAGCATAATGTGAGACTCTGCAGTGAGGGCTGAGAATCATGAGCGGAGTACAGTGTGGTACCTTGTATGTTCACTTGTTCTTATCAAAGCACTTACCAGGCCTCAAGTGCTCCTTCTTACTAGTTTTTATTGGGGTATATGTTATCTATTTCTCCTGCTGAGCCTGAGTTCCTTAAAGGTCAGAGCTCCACCCACTGCCCCTTTTCACAGCTATAGCCCCGGCTCCTGGTTCAGGCTTGCCTCTTAATCGTGCTGCCAAAAAATACCTTTTACCTGGCTGGCAGTTTGTTAGCACACAGAAGTTGCCTGCTGCTTCCTCAAGGCCATGTTTTGTGGCTATGTCATATTCTATCAGAGATTCAGTTCTTAGTTCATAACTAGCTGGATTGACCCCCTGACACTTCGGTCAGGAGAGGTCCCAGAGCATATAATTTTGGAGATCTGTAGTTTTTCCCCATCTAGGTTGGGCCTGTATTCTTTGGAGCAGGAGTAGATGCACCAGTTGAGTTCTTAATTATTGATGCAGTTGTTCCAGAGATTGTCCAGATTCTCATGCCTGTCATTGTCACCTCTTGGATATTTTCTCAGCCCCACAGCGTCAAGTACAGAGGTGTGGCTCCTCCCTTGAGCAACTGCCCACCTCACTAAAAAAAGACTTGGCTTCCCCAGATCCAAAAGCAACACCTCAGAGCCCTCTAAGTCCTGCTCTCTGGGGTCCATGGACTCGAATAGTGGCTGTTTTGTATGTGTTCTGGGAGAGCAACCAAGGAAACTGCTATTGTTGGTGGGGGGAAGGGGACCAAGAGAAGGTTGAAGAAGCCATGGCAAAGCCTCAAGTTCTCATTCCCTTTATGAAAGAGAGAAGATGACAAGCAAAAAGGAGTGTTTGGGAAAGATGACCCAGGCATGCAGTGGGTTAACACTTTAATCATAGGTCCAAGGGGTTGGGTCACCTAATGAGTCTTTGTTCACGTGTGCTGAAATGCCTGCCTCTGAGCTGGCCTCTGGCAAACTCCGGAGCACTCTCCTAGCCACCCTCTTGAAGCTCTGGGAAGGGCAGTCTGCCTGCCCACTGATTGTTCCAGCCCCTGGGCCAGCAGGACCTCCAGGCCTTCGAAGCTGCAGGTACCAGCCAAGTGCCTCCCTTTCTGTAGGTGGTAACTAGATAGTTGCCGTTGGGTGTGCTGAACCAGGCCTAGGCAATGGACTCTTCCAGAAAGGCTTTTCTGCCTTTTTAACCATCCTTGTCCTTAACATTCTTTCTTGGTCAGGGGAGACTTTACAACTGGTAGGCTCCTCCTTATTTGGGACTGGGGGAGGAATCCAACTGTAAGGTGTCCTCTCTGGGTCAGCCCTTAGCTATTGTGTTGGGAGCAAAATTTTGAAGGTGGAGAAAGGTTGACTTCCACGCCTCCAACCTCCTCCTCCCCTGATGATTCTTCTTTCCTTGTGTGACTACTCAGATGCTGTCTGAGCCAGTTTCTGGGCAATATTATGAGTATTAGTCACTTGGACCATAGCATAAATAGGTTTGCATGAGTCAGTCAGCATCTTTGTATCTTAATTTGACTAAATTGCCGTTGCTATTGTTTAAGGCATTTAGGGCATCTGGGCAGGTATAGAAAAAACTTGGAGGTCAGAGAAGGTCCTTTACTTCTAAAATGATATCTAGGTCATGACTAGGAACTCATACAGTAGTACCAAGTGAAAAATAAGAATTTTAAAAAATGCATTGAGTCCCTTTTCCTCTTTGTCAGAAAACTGGATGTTTTCAGACATTTTGGATAGGCTTAAACATAATTTTGAGTTGTTGGCAAGGAAATTCAATGCTTCCAAAGATTTTATAAAACGCATTTCTCTGATATTTGAAAGAGCCTGTCAGAGACAGCAACGAAGGTTTTTACATGTTGTGCAACAAGGACTGTGGGTTTATGAGGTGATTGGCACACTGGGGGCCCTGTGAGGTGTGTGAGTCCTGGAGTCCTTACGCTGGTGCTGGGGCAGCCGTGGTAGTATGTACAGAGCTTTGAGTGTCTCCTGAGTTAGGAGAGCCATTTGCTAATGGGTTGTAGATGTCAGGATCAGGCTGGTTCATGCCAGGAGTCTGTGATTCCCTCAATGAAAGGGCAAGCTTATCTAGAGACACAAGGAAGTTGGCCATGTTTGGAGAGTGATCTTGCCCATTCTGTGCCTTTTGTTGGTTAGTAATGACCTCAGACCGAGACGGAGGAGCAAGGAGGGCAAGATGCTGAGTTCCTGAAAATAGCATCCCCATGGTGACCATGTTCTCTATGGAAGCTCTGATTTACTTCCTGAATCCCTGTGAGGTGATGACCCAGAGCCAGAGTGGGGAAGCCCACCACACCCCACAGGCCTGGCAGGCAGTTTCTTAGGGCTCATTATGCTGGTGGCGACACAGGCTCTTTGAAAAATCAGCTTGTGTAATGAGTGGCTGGGAACAGCTCACCCCACGACCTGGGAACTTGACACCAGCCAAGAGCACACTCCCAAGGTCAGACAGAGAAGGTCTCCTGCCTTGGGCTCACACAAGGGCAGTGTCACCAAAGCACCAAGAAGTCTTAAAGGAGTGTGTTGCCATCTGTGTTCAGGCTTATGATGCTGTTTGGGTTTGCAGACATTGTTTCCCTTGTGCCAGACTCCAGTTAGGGCTGGTTTCCAGAAAATCCAGCTGGTTGGTTCCTTCATTGTCCTGGCCGCAGCCCGGATGAGTTACTCAGGATCTGTTGTTGCTATCACCTCCTTCCCAAGCTCCACCCTCTCCACAGACATGGTCAGAAGTGTACACACAGACCCAGTGGGCTGCATTTAAAGATCACAGGGTATCACTCCAGTCGTCTTTCTCCAGGATTATTTCTCTCAGAGACTGCAAACTCCTCTGTGTTGGCAGCAGCCAAATAAGAGGAATGCAGTTAGAGAAACAGCCTTTACTCTTGTGTGCCTCCGTCCCAGCATCCTTTTCTTTTTGGCTCTCTCCAGTGACTGCCTGTTCACTTTTTAGGCCTGGCCATCACAGAGTGTCTACCACTTCTCCCTTCCCCAAGCTGAATTAGATTTTCCCTTCCTCAGATCCCACTGCATTTTTTTTTATAAATTCATCCCAATGCTCCTTTTTTGTGAGATATAACTTATAGTTATATGAGTTGTGACAAGTGTATGTTTGTCAAATACATATAGTCATGTAACCATCACCGTAATCAAGGCAGTAAACAGAATTGCCCCCCATATTTTCCTGTGCTCCTTTGTAGTCAGACTCTCCCTTCTCCCCTAGACCCTGGCAGCTACTGATGTGATTTCTCTCCTAATGATTTGCCTTTGCCAGAATAGCATATAAATGGGATTGCACAGTTGTGGTGGTTTGAGAGGCTTCTTTGACTCAGCACAGGGCATTTCAGATTCCTCCATGTTGTTTTGTATGCCCATAGTTCATATCTTCTCAGTACTGAGTGCCCATGACTTTTTATCCATATCTCTACGTGAGCCTCTTCCATTGTATCTGGATATGTGATATTTTTCCATCTGTCTCCTTGATGGGTAGCCAGGCTCTTCCAGGGCTGGACTGTGTCTTGTGTGCCTCTGTATCCCCAGCCTGCATGTAGCAGACACTTGACGGAATGTGCTGGGGCAGCTGTGTGTTGATAGTGGAGGTTCTTATCCTCTCTGGCTCTCTCTAGGGCCCCGGCTGGTCCCTGCTCAGGCCTGTGTTCAGCTGGTGACCTGGAGAGACACCCAGGGATGGGCAGGCAGGCTTCTCATAAAGCACTCCCATCCTCAGTTTGGTGTCCCTGATGGATGGGTGCCAACACTTGTTGGGAGGTTTGGGGGGTTCTCTGTGGCTCCCCTGAAGCTCTTCTCTCTGGGACTCATGAATTCCTGGGACTGTGGTACGGGCATGTGTCTGTTTCCTTCCTAAGCCAGAGAAGCCCTCTTTGGGCCTTGTTTGCACTGAGTCACAGCTACATTGGCTAGTTAGTTAAAAATAGGCTCTAGTTATCTCTGCCCTGTGATAGGCCCTCTCCTCGGGCAGAGGCAGGAATCCTTATGTAAATATTTGGAGGAGCTTGTGGCTGGGGTGGTTTCCATGCCAGGATCTGCTTGCCTGGACTCCTGGAGCCACGAGGGCAAGGTGGCAGTGGGAGAGTGAGAGGTGGCATGTGTTAGAACACTCAGGGTGTTCACATTACTTGGGAGATGCTGGAGTTCATGGTAGTACCTCGAGCCGGTGGAAGTGGTTGGTCATTTGCTGTAGTGACAATGGCTGAGTCTTAAAAAGTCAGTAGGACTTATTGGAAAACCACCAGGTTTGAAATCAGACTGACCAGAGTTCAGTCTCTGTGATTCCTCGCCTTACTGGCCCGTGGCCTAAAACAAGTTACATGACTCCTCTGAGCATCATTTTCTCCTTTGTAAACAGGGACGATGTTATCTGCTCCACCAGGGTGATTGTGAGAATTAAAAGTGATCATGTGTGTAAAGCACGTAACAGAGCCCTGCACGCAATAGACCCTCATTTAGTGCCGGCTGCCACCACAGCCAACTCTAGTCTTGCTATCTACTTTGCCAGCAAACATTACAACCTTGCACTGGATATCTAAGGGAAGAATGAGAGGTTCTGAAAGGACGTAGGATCTCCAGATGCATGTCCAGACCTCTTTCCAATGTGCTCACATCTCTTTAACTTCTGTTGGCCTTCAGCCCTACGGGTAAATCACTTCAACAGCTGCCCATGTAGGGCTGATAACTCAGGACTCACCAGCTGGGAGAGGACTGTAACCAAACTTAAAAATAGAGACACATCCATTGCCTGGTGCAGGGGCTGTGCAGGCCTCTGGAGAGAAGGCCAGGCAGCATCTGCACACCCAGGCTGAGTTGGACTCTGGGCAGCTGGAGGCTTCAAGCCTCACGACGAAGGGGACCCTGCCAGGCAAGCCCGGCTTTCCTTGGTCCAGAAGTTCTGAGGGTATGTGTCCTCATCCTCTCCCCCAACTAGCACTGCCTGGCTAGAGACTGACCATTCTTCAGAGAAAGAAAGGTGGAGAGGGTGTGGGGCCAGGTGTGGGGGAGATGGGGATCCTTAGGCTTAGCAGAGCTGTCTGAAGCTGGGCTGCACTGATTCCGTGTAGCCTTTGGTATAAGGGGATGGAGAGAGCCACTAGGTGGCTTTTTAAAGGAAAGTAAGGCAGTCCTATCTAAGGTGAATGGAAAGTGAGCTCAAAAAGATAGGCTGCAATATGATTGATCTAATTTCTTGTTTAGCCCCAAACCAGGTCACTGTGTCTGAATAGAAGTGTGTCAGAAACAAACCAGAGAGTGCCCACAGAACAAGGCCCACACAGAAAGGTCAAGCCCTCCTGTTGAGGGAATACACCCAGATAGGGTGACCTTTGTGCCCAGAGCAGAGTTCTCTAATATTGTCGTTAAATTGTGTCTGTATCTGCTTCCTCCATGGCCTCCCCTTCCTCTGTGCAGGTGCCACCATGGAGTCTGACCACTGCTGAGCAGACAGCCACCGAGGGCCGAAATTCTGAGCCTTCCTCTGGACCCAGGCAGGAGACATACAGACAAGAAAGGCAAACTCACCATGGCCTCCACCAATGCAGAGAGCCAGCTCCAGAGAATCATCCGAGACTTGCAAGGTATGGTAGGTTGCTGGGCAGGCTGAGTTTGGTTTTGAGGGACTTGTGGCAGGGCTTTTTGCTGTTGCCAGTTGAAATTCAACCCTTTCATTTTTGTTCACACAACGAGTAATTGGAGTCCTCAGGTCACATCATATTGAAATATTTGGGTCTCAAATATCCACCTTGTGTAAGGCTTGGAAAGCTTGCCTGGTTTCCTTTCAGAGAACTGTAAAGCCAGTTTGTAAACAAAATCATACACCCGGCTCCAGGACTGGGTCTGATTTCCATTAGTGCACACATGTGTGTTTTGAAGCTGCCTGTTAAGTCTTTGGCTAAATCCCAAACTTCTGGGCTCTGATGAAGTTGGCTTCTTTGGAAAAGAATGTTCTTTCTCCCACTGAGCAGGAAGGACAGAGACCCACCTATCTTGTTTTGCTGCCCAACTGGGTCCTGGCTGGCGGATGGCCCATTGCCTGGGATGCACTGTAGGTCCAGTCCTGCTGCCTCCCAGACTTCCCTGAGCTCAGCGTTGTCCACTGAGAGAGGCTATGACTTGTATCCCTTATCTCACTGGAGAAAAGCAAGGCAGAGGAAGGTGCAGATAAAGTTTCATAGACTCAGGAGAAACGGACTATTTTCTTTTTGGCTGCAAATTCCAAGTTTCACTCTTTCAGATGCTGTCCCAGGGGTCAGAGTTTTTATAAGTTTTCCATCCCCACTCATCACCAGTGCTGACCTTTAAGCTCTTCGGAGCTCTAGGACACTTGATACTACACAGTCTGAAGCTGACCACTTCCTCCATGCCTGCAGAGTCCGCTGTGACACTTTTCTGACAGACTAAAGGCCCAGGCTTCTAACTGCTTGGGCACCACAAGCAGTTATCTCCCATACCAGGAGCCATTGGCCTAGCATGGCCACAGTGCAGTTCTCATTCTGAAGTTCCAAAGTCAACAAGATAAAAAACATTTTCTCAGGCTTTTAATCTTGTGTCTACCATGCCTTGGGCCTCTGATAGCTAACAATTTCATGGCATTTCATGTGCACCGGGCACTTTCTATACCAACAGCCTGGCACCAGTCTATGCTCCTAACCACTCTAGTCTACTTTCAGCTAAGACATTAGATGCTTTTTTAAATCTACACAGAGAGGCAGAGAAAGTGAAATGCCAGTCTCTGCAAATCTGAGTTTGCCACTGGCTTTAAGAGGTCTCTCCATAAAGTAGATAGTCTTTTCTGTGTTTCAATATCTGGTTCTTGAGGATAACTTTGAGACCTGGAGGTCCTTATTGGGAGGGAAGAGGGTGAAATAGGGGACCCTCAGGTAGAGCTTCTGATCTAGACCATTGTCTATCCTATGTACCAGCTGAGTCTGGCCACCCCCAACATCCTGGGCTGATTTCAATGTCCTTTACATAGGCCACAGAGCACTTTGGTGGGAATTCTTGAAAGGTGCCACTTTCTCAGTACCCTCCACTTTCATCTGTTGGTAAACGTCTTAATAAGCATACAAATCTACAGCATCTACCATGAGAGTGGAGTGTCCTTAACTGAGGCATCTTTGTGTGGTACACAGCCTTCACTCCTCTGCAGGGCAGCCCACTTATCCTCTTGGTGACAGCAGTTTCAAAGACTTTGGAGTCAGGCAGGGGTGTGCTCAGCTTCTGGCTTCTCTTTTAACCCTCGAAAATGTTGGACAAGTCCCTTCACCTTTCCAACGCACAGTTGCTTCCTTCATGTGCCAGGTGGGTTTGATGATAACACCCACTTCTCAAGATTATTGAAAGAATCAAATAGTAATTCCTGCAAAGCTAATATTACTTAGAATATCAGAGATTAGAGCTGAAAATTTCATATTTCATATCCAGAGTCTACTCCTTCAAAGTTTCAGGAGTTCCCAGATCAGGTTGCGAGTGTTTACCTGGCCTGAGGAGGCAGGAGGGTGGAGGAGGAAGGCTCTTTGTCTCTCCCAGGCCCCTGGCTCACTGGCTGTCAGTGCCAGCCATTGCAGACACTTCTAGCAAGGTACAGTGGACAACAGTCACTTGTAAGAATCAGTCCCAAGAACCTGTCTCCACCATTTGCTAATCTTTGCCTGAGGGGTCGTGTTGATTACATTTTCAGCCATCTTAGGCTTGGCTTCAGTCCTGGACAGGTCTGCTTCAAACCATGGTTCTTGGGAGCAGGGTTTAGGAATTTAAGAATTGCCAGAGAAGCAGATAGTTTTGTGAAGCACATCCCACCATCTCTGCTGGGAAAAGGTTTTCCAGGATCTAAACCAAATCCAGTGTCTCGATAGTCCCTCTGTCCCACAGCAGAGGCAGTGAGTGAGAGTCAAAGGTGGGTTTTCCTCTTTTCTACACAGGGAGGTGAATTATCTTAGAAGTTAAGAGGTGAGCTCTGGAGTTAGACAGCTCTTGAGAAAACCAGGGTTCTTATTCCAGCTCTGCTGTTTGCCACCCATGATCTTTGGCCAAGTGCTCTGATTTCTCTGTACACTCCTCATCTGCAAAATGGGGATAATCATAGCAGACTTCATAGATTCTAAATTGTACTTTTTTTTTTGACATTTTAACAGCTCTGAAACTGTAATGTATATTATAATTAATTGTATCTTAGATTCATCGAAATAAGGCAATCCCTGCCTCTCAATGCCATATTAAATGAGAAAAATACATGTAAAGGCCCAGCCCCTCAAGGACACTCAGTTAACAGAAGCAGGTGCGGTTGTCATTGTTGGAATTGTGATTGTCACTACTATTATTTGCACATACTGGGTATTCTGATCCTGCGCTTACCTATAATGAGCAGTAGGATTATAGTGAAGAACCTGAAATGTGGCTAGAATAAAGGTAAAGCTTTCTGGAAGTCAGTATTCAGGGACTGAATTGATTCATCCACACAGCAAACATTTGTTGTCCAGCTACTATATGCAAATTACTAGCCCTGGGTGGTGGACAGACAAGGGTGAACAAGAAATGTGCCCAGTCAACAAGCATTGTAAAGTATCTGTGAGCTCTCAGGACATTTCAACACTCCCTGACTTGGAGTTATATCTCATGGATACTTACATACCCTTTTATGTTTCAGAGGTGCTTTGTATCACTGACCACTTGCTCCTCATGCTTCCTGGATTATTTCTGCTTCTCTGTCTGAGTTTAGTCACTATCTGGTTACATGTTCCTATTTGTTGTCTTAAAGATGCTGTGACAGAACTAAGCAAAGAATTTCAGGAAGCAGGGGAACCCATCACGGATGACAGCACCAGCTTGCATAAATTTTCTTATAAACTTGAGTATCTCCTGCAAGTAAGTGATGCCTGTAATGTGTTGATTTTTGCACTGGTATCTCTTTTCTCCCTCTTGGGTGACTCATCAGCATTCAAGATATGGTTCAGAAAGCCCAAGGAGCCAGTAAGCCCTCGTGGTTAGATTGAAGGTCAGAGCAGTCCCCAGTGCCAGCTCAATCCTCCAAGTGTGATCCTTTGGGGAATTGCAATGTTGCCCCTTAGGATGGCTTTGAGAATCAAGAACATCCTTTAGAGATTTAGGTCATTGTAAGGTAGGTCAGAAGGTTACTGTATGGCAAAGATCTTAACTTTGGGACAGTTACATACCCCTTTGGGAGTTTAGTGAAAGCTATAGAGTCTTCCCAAAAAGACATTCGTGTATGTATACACACAATCACGCATTTTTGCAGGCAGATTCTAAGAGTGTGTGGACCCTCTAAAGATTATCCATGGGCTTCTGTTTTAGAGCTTTGCTACTCAATGTGCAGTCCATAGACCAGCAGCATCAGCATCCTCTGGGAGCTTATTTGTAGTATATTCTTGGCTCCCACCCCAACCTACTGAATCAGAATCTCTGGGGTCAGCCCAGGATATTTTCTTTTAACATATTGATGGTATAACTCTTATCCCTGCTTAGCCCAAAAAGTGCTGATGTAAAAAACACTGCAGATGTGGAAAAATGCATGCAACTAAAATAGGCAGGAAAGAAATGCTGTAGAAGTTATTTTAGGGTAGTGGTATTAGGTGTTAAATTTTTTTCTATTTTTGTGTTTTGTTTTATCTAGATATCCTAATAACATACGCATATCTTGCTTCTGTAATCAGAAAAAAAATGCTATAAAATGTTATAGAAAGATATACCTGTGTCATTGTGAACACCATTATTTTGCAACGTCACATCCCACCAAAGCACGTAGTATGCGGGCCCACTAGAGGAAAGGCCCCTAACGTGCTGAAGGGCTTGCCTCTCTCATGACATTTCAGCTGGTTCTTTAACATTGTAAAAATGTTTTTGAGCCTTTCTTTTTTTCAATTAAGCCCATTTTGGTTTTGGGTTTGAAATGACTCAGAGCTGACATTTATTTAAATTTATTGTAGGTGTATTAAAACGATATTGAAACTGAAGTGTTGAGTAACTGGGATAAAAGGTCATTATCTTATTTCCCTAAGTCGAAGCATAGTTAACACTCTTCATATTGCCCTTAAGACTCTTTTCTTTTTCTTTTTTTTTTTTTCTTTGAGACAGAGTTTCACTCTTGTTGCCCAGGCTGGAGTGCAGTGGTGCAACCTTGGCTCACTGCTACCTCTGCCTCCTGGGTTCAAGTGATTCTCCTGCCTCAGCCTCTTGAGTAGCTGGGATCACAGGCGCCCGCCACCACACCCAGCTAATTTTTGTATTTTTAGTAGAGATGGGGTTTCACCATGTTGGCCAGGCTGGTCTTGGACCCCTGACCTCAGGTGATCCACCCACCTCAGCCTCCCAAAGTGCTGGATTACCAGCGTGAGCCACCGCACATGGCCAAGACTCTTTTCTTGTATTTCTTTCTCATCCGTTAATAACACCTTCGGTGGTTTTCCACCCAGCTGTATGAACAGGGTATTAACACACCTTGATTTGCCAATAAATAAAAATAATGCCAATAAAGGGCCTCACCCAGTGCTGGCACCTAAGAAGCTATTGTTATTATTTATCATTTAAATGCCGGAATGAAGAGCAGTGGGTTTGGACCTCCTCTCCCTTTCCCTTTCCCTACCCAGTTTGATCAGAAAGAGAAGGCCACCCTCCTGGGCAACAAGAAGGACTACTGGGATTACTTCTGTGCCTGCCTGGCCAAGGTGAAAGGAGCCAATGATGGGATCCGCTTTGTCAAGTCTATCTCAGAGGTAAGCTGAGCAAGCAGCCAACAACTTCATGTCGTCCTTTTGCCTGCTTAAAGCAGCTCTTGCAGAGACCTTTGCTGCAGACAGCTAAATAAGGAAGTGGGAGTTTATGGGTGGTAAAGAAATCTAGTCCAGGTATACGCAATGCCCATTGTTGCAGTGGCTCAAGGTTGGGGAAACCACTTCAGTGAGTGTTTATCAAGGGGAAGAATGCTGAGTCCTGAATGTACCTTAGGCCACAACCCGCATGTTACTTAACAGGGTGGCCTATTCACATACATTGTAGTCTGCTAATGGCAGCCCTTGAGATGTAAAGCATAGGATGACTCCATCTTTTTAAAAAACTCATTTTCTGAGATAAAATTCTTTAGAGTTTGCTATGCTGCTTTCCCTACACTTTGCCCAGGAAACTTAGATTTGAAATAAGAATGATGTGGGATCTCAAGAGACATTTCTTAAAACAGTGATGTGCCAACTTTCTACTTTAAATTCTGCGCCCCTCAAGAGCAAAATGCCATGGCTTTGCTGTTTTACAAAACTCCAGAACAGGCCGGGCGCGGTGGCTCACGCCTGTAATCCCAGCACTTTGGGAGGCCGAGGCGGGCAGATCACGAGGTCAGGAGATCGAGACCATCCTGGCTAACACAGTGAAACCCCGTCTCTACTAAAAAACACACAAAAAAATTAGCCAGGCGTGGTGGCGGGCGCCTGTAGTCCCAGCTACGCGGGAGGCTGAGGCAGGAGAATGGCGTGAACCCGGGAGGCGGAGCTTGCAGTGAGCCGAGATCGCGCCACTGCACTCCAGCCTGGGCGACAGAGCGAGACTCCGTCTCAAAAAAAAAAAAAAAACTCCAGAACAACAAACACACACACATACTTCACATACACACTCACACTCTCCTTTCTGTTTATTTTCCACCCTCAACCCCCAGAGAATCTTTCTTCTCTCTCCTCAGCCTATTCCATCCAGGAGTGCAGAACTTTGCATATCAGGGAGCAGGTAAACCCCTTGATTTGAGACAGGAGGTTTGTACATTTCTTCTTTCTTTTCAGTAAGTGTGAAGTCAGTTTAAAGTCAACACACCTGCTGCTTGGCTGGCTGCCCACAAATACCACAGCCTAAGGTATTCTGGGAAGGGCTCCTCACCAAACACGCCAGCTGGAGCTAAATGACTTTCTTCTTATAGAGAATGATGGTGTTAGATATGCTGACATCAATGGCTGGACATTTCCCACCATTTGCACTCTCTGACATCTGAGACGATGAGGAAGGATCCTGGCTCTAAAGGGCTGGTTCTGCGAGTTTCTTTAATGTCCATGTTAGTGTGGATGAGTCTTGTGAGGTCTGGTGGGATACTTGGGTCCATGAAGTAGAGCAGTATTTTAATTTTAGTGCATCATAAATGTGGAAGAGGTTCTCTTTGTCACTCTCCTCTCTTCATTCCTCAGCCGCTGCATCAGAGCAACTAAAGCCTTTAACTTTATGACTTTGGACAGTTGAAGTCTGGAAATAAATTTAGTTTTAGTCCGCATTCCCCAGGATTATGAAATGCTTGCTAAAACACATCTACTTTTTGGCTAGTTTCTTCTTCTTTTCTCATAATGCAAACAGATCTTTAGACAGTCTGAAGCCATGAAAATTGACTTTCTAGAAGCAAAAAACATTCCTTGCTTGCATGAATGTTGGTGTTTTAGTGGCTGGCATAGGCTCTGCTTCCCATAGGGTCCAGTTTCATCTCTGTTGAAGACTGCTCTCTGGGGCATCATTGGTTGGAATGGCTTGGAACATCCCTAGGCTAAGTGAGTTGCTGGTTACTTGGTTAATTTTAATAATCAAGTAGCCATCTGGGTCTTTAACTGAGAGGGCAAGAGTTAATGGATAAGAAGCATTTGTAGGTTCCCTCAGACCCCTTTGAGGTAGGCGGTAGCTATTTAGGCTAAAATAGGTGAAGGTTCTAAGAAACCATTTCTGGAGATTCAGTATGGGCTCAGCTTGGACTGTGTTTCACTGTGATGAGGGTGTAGCTCGGCATCGGGCTCTTGGCACAATGACCTGGTTTAAAGCAGAATCAGCTCTCCTGTACCCTGCAGATTTCCTGTCCTTTGCTGCCATTGTATTGCTTCTCTGGATAGTGTATGTGGGTTCTGATTAGAAGCTAAAAAAAATTAAGGAATTAGTTAATGAAAGTGGATCCATAATCTCAAAACATAAAAAGGCCATGCAGCATTTTGATTTGCAGTACAAAGGAACTATTGTTCCCTTCCCCCTAAAAATACCTTTTAAAATAAATAGTTCCCTTTATATATATATATATATATATATATATATATATATATATATATATATATATATATATTTAATTCAGTTAATGGGCCTGATTAAAAGTATAGCCTCAAATGTTTGCCATTAAAAAAGTTTTGATGTTCTAAAGGCTGGTATAATGGTAAGTTTGCCAAAAATAAGGACAAGTTCCTGTCTTTGGGAGCTTACAGACCTGGGCTGTGATGTGAGGGTCTTAATGAAATTCTGCAGGGTGTGTGTTTGTATAATTGACATGCTTCACTTTACAATGCCTTGCTCACCTCTTTCCAACGGCCTGAATTTCCTGGTTATCACCACTAAACACTTTGTTCTCACCTCAATCGTCAGTGGAAAACTGATTTAGACAGGATATACCATCAAGATTCTCCCCCGCGCATCTGCTGAGATCGTCTATCTGCAGACATGTCATGGTGGTTTTTATAAAGCCAATAAACCAGGCTGCTGCCTGCCTTCACTTCCAGGTGTCCTGGCTGTACCCAAAACATACATGGGGAAATGTCTTACAGCTTCTGTAGTTAAAGAGAGTTAACACCTTTTTGTTTTTTAAAACTACTTCATATGGTATCATTTCCTTGAGTCAGCAGTAAGAAGAAATATAGTTCTGAGCTAAAAGGTGCTATACACCAGGATGTTTACCCCATTGAATCAGGAAATATGTGGTACAGCCTCAATCACTGGCATTTAATGCCAATATTTCCTGACTCAATATAGTGTTGGAATTAAAATTTGAATAGTATGAGGTATAGGAACCCTCTGGCAAACCACTGCTCCCCCTTCCCCCATCACATATACACACTGTAAATATTTCTGACCTTTGAAGGGGTGGGGAGGGTATTGGTTCCAGCTTACCCTACCCAGAGCCAGAGCCTGAGAGAGCAGGTGCTTGTGGTAGGTCAGGAGGTTTTGAATTCCTGCCTACTTTCTTGAGTTTCTGGGCTGACCTATCAGGAATATGAATCCTAATTTGCAAACTTGCCCAAGTGTCTTCTGTGGCTGTCCCTTTTATTCCATCCGCCTTGGCCATTATATGCTCCCAGCTGACAGAGCCCTGCTTTGCAGCCTCATGGCAGAGTCTCTGACCAACATATCCCATTTCCATCACAACAAGCTTTTGAGTGGTGAATTTAAGCCTCAAACAGTTACGGTCACATCTCCTTCCTCTGAATTGGATTTTAGGTATAAGCTCTGTGGGGAGAGGTTTTGAAGACAGGCCTGCACCTGGGCCTTCCTATGCCATCCATGCCAAACTTGTGAGACAGACCCATATCCATTTTATCCTTAGCCCAGTGTGACTGGGCTGCCTAGAGACACCCCTGGTCTCACCCCTGGGCTCCTTCTGATTCAATGTAGTGATTTGGCATATCTGATAAAGAACAGGAAATCCAACCAGGAAAGCGTTGGCAGACTTGTAGATTTTACTGATGGTTTCATGGAACACAGATGAGGCAGTTACACGGCCGCACTCACGCACCTCTGCCCTTGTCCCTCCCTTCCTCCTTCTGCACATGTTTCTGCCAAGCCCTTTAGGCCCTTCCCCTGCACCTGTTCCCCACGCACCTTAAAAACAAACCATCATTAGCTGAGCTGAGCCCATCTCTTCCTCCTCAAGCTGACTTCTGGTGTGAGAAGTGCTTCACTTACCTACCTCCAGGTTTTACTCTAATATAAAACTGAGTTTTATTTGGTTCCTATCTGACTCCAAACCCAGAGATTCTGATAGAGCAGAGGAGGGAAAGTGACATTCCAATAGAATCCACAGATGTTTGGAAGCCTCTTGTTAATATGTTTTCCATGATATGTTTGCTGGAGTCTGCAGATTATTCTCAGATGAAGGCCTGCAAGTAGTTCACCCACTTCAAGCCTTACTCTCTGCGGTAAGAGTATCAAATGTGTTGTGTCCTTTGAAGGACAACGTATAGGGTAAAATTGGGTGACATTTTTTGCCCTGTATCTGTGTTTCACAAGCCATCTATGAGACCAGGTCTGTATTTGGAGTTAGGCTGACAGCTCTTTGGCTCTATGTAATCTGCTTTTTCCAGCTCCGAACATCCTTGGGGAAAGGAAGAGCATTTATTCGCTACTCCTTGGTGCACCAGAGGTTGGCAGACACCTTACAGCAGTGCTTCATGAACACCAAAGTGACCAGGTAAATACAGGACAGGGCTGGGGTTTGGGATCATCCCGTGCAGAAATGAACTAAAGTTCATTAATAATAATGACAGCTGCAACAGTAGTGCTCATTTGTGTCCCCCGTGACACTGCAGACTCCTTCCACATATATCATTGTCTTCCACCCCTCCTCCCAAAGTCCTTGACACATGTGGGCAAGTAGCACTGTGTTTTTATAGGTAAGTGAGGCTCAGAGGGGCTTAATGCTTTTCTCTAGGCCTCACCCGTTACTCTCTTAACTCCCGATACCAGGCATTTTCCCTGGTGGATGGCATGTCCTTGGTGCCAGCACTACTGGACAGACAGGTTACAGCCTTGGCCTCTCAGCAGAATCACCTGTGGGGCTTTTAATACTACTGAGCCTGCGTCCTCACCTGGCATACTGAGTGAACACACTGGAGACTGGTGGGTAGCCAGGACTGGGAGCCACTGCAGAGCTCAGGTCAGGTGTGCAGTCAGCCTTTGTGCGGGTAGTGCTGAAGCCTCAAAAGGGAAGAGAGAAGGGAGGAGAGAGGCAGGGATTGAGTCTATAAAGGGGAGAATGGGTGTCAGCTTAGAAGCTGCAAATCAGGTACCAGTCAACTAAACCTCTTTGGGTTTTCCAGCATCTCTTGGCCCCTTTCCTTTTGGAGTATTCCAAATTTTTTTGAATCTAAAAAAAACTACAAAGGGAAAACCTTTTGTTTCATTATGTCACCTTAAAGATTGATTTGCATAGAGATGTACTCATATTTCTCATGCATGTGACAGGCCTTGTGAATTGATGTGAGCTGAAAAAGTTTGCATATTTGATTTGAAGGTTATTTTGTTTTAGATGTTTGGTGAAGATCGCACAGTTCACAGACAATAATGTCCCACTTTTTTGCCCACGCGGGAGTGCAGTGGCACGATCATAGCACACTGTAACCTCAAGCTGCTGGGCTCAAGTGATCTTCTTACCTCAGCCTTCGAGTAGCTGGATAGGCATTTACCACTGTGTCTGGCTAATTTTTTACTTTTTATATAGACAGGGTCTCACTATGTTGCCCAGCTTGGCCTCAAATTCCTGGGCTCAAGTGAACCCCCTGCCTAGGCCTCCCAAAGTGCTAGGATTACAGGTGTGAGCCACTATGCCCAGGCATCTTTTTCATTTTGGGCAAGGGTTGGGGTAGGGGGTTGGGGTAGTCTTAACCTGTCACACAGGCTGGAGTGCAGTGGCATGATCATGGCTTACTGTGGCCTCTACCTCCTGGGTTCAAGCAATCCTCCTGCCTCAGCCTCTTGAGAAGCTGGGACTACAGGTACATGCCACCATGCTCAGCTAATTTTTTGTGTTTTTTTGGTAGAGATGGGATATTGCCATGTTGCCCACCCTGGCCTCAAACTCCTGGGTTCAAGCTATCCTCCTGCCTCAGCTTCCCAAAGTGTTGGGATTACAGGCATGAGCGACTGTGTTCTGATGCATCTTTTTAAAATTCTTGTTACTTTGCCTGAAATGAAACAACCACTACCTCAAAATGCAGATAACATTTATTTTATTTTTTCTCACCCTGTCTTACGGTGCTGAACCATTTCTGAATAGTTTGTTCCTTGGCTTTTAAATTGGTATCTGGACAGAAATTAGCAGTGAGTTTAGTGTCCCATATTGAGTTCTGAAAATGGAATAGGTAGTAATCTTTCAAAAAAGAAGTTTTCTTTCTCCTACAATTCCCCTTTCTTGGCAAATAATTGATGTTTAAGGTTTCCCATATCCTTTTTGAGAAGTAGATATGATATATATAATAAATGAATAAGCATCCAGATCATTGCAGTAATTTCTTTGAAGAAGAGCAAGCTTATTTGAGAGTTATGTTCTTCTACCATGAAAATGAAATTGGTTTGTGTGCCTGTGTCTTTTAATTTAGTAACCTGAGTTGGAATTCGATGAGGCAGAGCCACAGTGGGAGGACTGAGTAAATTCATACTTTATCTTTATTACTCTTATAATTGACATGTTTTTCTGCAGTGACTGGTACTATGCAAGAAGCCCCTTTCTGCAGCCAAAGCTGAGCTCGGACATTGTGGGCCAACTCTATGAGCTGACTGAGGTTCAGTTTGACCTGGCGTCGAGGGGCTTTGACTTGGATGCTGCCTGGCCAACATTTGCCAGGTACTTTGAAGGATTGCTTGGTTTAAAAGACAGGAAAAGAGACATTTGAAGTTTTGAAGATTGCCACCAGTCTACTCAAAACAATTTTGCTTGCTCAGTAAATTACACAAACCTGTTCAACTCTTATTCCAGCTCCTTTTACAGACTTTGTTGAATCATGACTAACAATAACATCTGAAGGCTCCAACCTTAAACCAACTTAACTGGCCAGGGCATGAGTCAGTGGAGATGTGTATTGCAAAAGCCAAGGCTTTAAAATTTTTTTAAGGCACTTGTTGTTACGGGCATTGGGGGAGGAGTGGGCTTTTTCCCGTGCCTGTTCTTATGGAGTTATTACAGAAGGCTCCTAAGCAGTAGGAGAGGAAGTGAAAGCCACAGCTTGTCCACATAAGGGTTGCAGGAAAGGTTGCTGCATTTTTGTTTCTTCTTTTTTTCTTTTCTGAGGCCATCAAGCCAGCCATATCTTACACCAGTGTGGCACTCACATACCACCAGAGTCCTTACATGAGCTCCAAGAAGGAGGTGTGAGGAACAGGCTCAGAGGATCAGGGGACTTGACAAAGTCACCTAGCTGGTGGGCAGCAGGCCTGGGACACCTGACTTGGGTTAAAATCAAGTCCAGTGTTCTTTGTTTTGTTTTGCTTTCTGTTTATAAGGCTTTTAAAATTTAACATTCATATTTTTTATTAGGAAATACTTCATGTATAGAGAAAAGTGGTGACTATGATAGTCACATGCAAACCACTAGGATTTAATTTTGCCATATTCAGATGTCCTTTTTTTATTTTTATTTTTTGTAGGGACGGAGTCTTGCCATCTCTCCCAAGCTGGTTTGAACTCCTGGGCTCAAGCTATCCTCCTATCTTGGCCTTCCAAACTGCTGGGATTACAGGTGTGAGCCACCACGCCTGGCCCAGATACTCTTTTTAAAACTTTTACATTTTGAAATAATTTCAGAATTACAGAAAAGTTGCAAAAATAGTACAAAGTACTCATCTATCCTTCACCCTGATTCCCTAGTTATCGATATTTTACTATAATTGTTCATCATTTTTTCTATTTACATGTTGATTTATTTCCTAAGCCTTTTGAGAGTAAATTACAGACTTGATCCTCTTTTCTCTTAAGTACTTAATTGTGTATTTTCTAAAATCAAGGACATCCTGTTATATAACTCAGTACAGTTATTAAAATCAGAAAATTAGCATTGATACAATACTGCTATCTAATTTACAGATCTCATTTAAATTTTACAAATTATCTCAGTAATGTCTCTCATAATCTAAGGTCCAATCCCAGATCACATATTAATTGTTAATTCATTAATTGCTATGCCTCTCTAGTCCCCTTTAATTTTGAACAGTTTTTCAGTCTTTGTCTTTCATAACATTGACATTTTTGAAAAATACAGGCCAGTTATTTTGTAAAATGTTCCTTAATTTGAGTTTGTCTGATGTTTCCTCATTATTGGATTTAGGTTAAGTGTTTTTGGCAGGAATACCTTACCTGTTGTGTCCTTGTCAGCACACTGTATCTGGAGGCACACAGTGTTGATTTGTTTCATTACTAATGAGGTTAACCCTGGTCATTTGGGTAAGGCGGTGCTTGCCAAGTTTCTCCAAAAGTTACTATTTCTTCCTTTGTAATGAGTATATATCTTATGGGAAGACATGCTGAAATTACATTATTATCCTTTTTTCTCTTAAATCTGTCCTGTATTAGTTTTAATACCATTTGATCATTCTTGCCTGAAGCAGTTATTACCATAATAATTACCAGAGTGATTTTCTAACTCCATTATTTCTTTTACATTATTAGTTGGCATTCTACTGTAAGGAAGATCTTTTTCTTTTTCCCCATTTATTCATTCATAGCAGTATTGACTCATGGATTCTTATTTTATTCAATAGGTTGCATTCTGTCACTGTCATTATTTATTTTGAAGCTTACATTATCCCATTTATCCAATTACCCCAGTGGGGAGCCCCCTTCAAGCTGGCTCTTGTGGGGAGGTTTGGTTACATCTGATACTTTTTTAAGAAATAAAATATTATAGATCAGCTAAAGCCCCACCCCAATGCCATCCTTTCTCCTTTGTTCCCCTTTCAGAAGTAATCATGTAATCAATGCATTTCATTCTCAGATCTTATGCTTTCATTATTAATTGTGTATTTGTAAATATTTTATATATGTATATATATATAGTTTTATTTTGTAAATGTTTTAAAATTTTACACATGTTGAATCATGTAATAGCTATCCTTTGCAACCTGCTTTTTTCATTTTGCCTTGTTTTTGAGATTTTGTATCTGTTTATACATGGAGTTCTGTAAGTGTAGAGTTGGGTTGGCAAAGCACAGCCCAGAGGGCTGTGTGGAACACAGCTTTGCCCATTTACTCACCTGTTGTCCATGGCTGCTTTTATGCTAACAGTGCCAGTTGAGTGACAGAGACCATATAGCCCACAAGACCAAAATATTTACTATCTGGCCCTTTTCAAAAAAAAAGAATGCCAACCCATGGTGTAGAGAATTCTGTTGGGTGAATAAGCCACAGTGTATCTCTTTCCATAGCAGTGTAGAGTTTGTTTGGTTTCCCTTTTTCCAGTTACAGTGCTGCCAAGAGCATCCCCACTGTCTCCTTATGTACATATGTGACTGTCTTCAGGGAAGATACTGTGAAGGGCAGTTGCTGGGTTTTGGAGACTAGGTTTGAACACACAATAATTTTAGATTTAGGAGATGATTCTGATGAAGTAAAAATGTGTTTCGTTTCCAGTGTTCCTGCTAAACGAGAGTTATCACACAAGCCTTTGTATTTCTAAAGCAGTGCCATCCAATGGAACTTTCTGCATGAGGGAAATGTTCTGTATCTGCACTGACTGGCCTGGTTATGTGACCTAGAAGCAGGCCTCCCAGCCACACTGTTGCTGTGTCATACAGAGCGGGCAGCTGAGCCCCCAAGCACAGTGTGACTCTTATTTACCAAACTGACTGCTGCTTGTTCCTCACTGGCAGACAAACTGAGGCAGGCACCAAAAGCTCAAGGAAAATTTAAACCAAATAGTGGGAAATACATGTTCACTTAATTCTTTTTTGGCAGTGGGAGGAAAGCCATGATGGTAAAACTCTAGCCATGGAATTTATCTGTTACAGACCAGTGTAGCTGTGCTCTTTGGTGGAATCTGTTGGCTTTGACTTTCTTACATTCTACCTGGGAAGGCAGCCCCCTACCACCACCTGGTTGCCTAGTGACCAGCAAGGCCTCCATGTGTTAGGTTTCCTGCTCTGAATACAGGTATGTCTGTTTTGTGGCCCCACAGGAGGACGCTGACCACTGGCTCTTCTGCTTACCTGTGGAAACCCCCTAGCCGCAGCTCCAGCATGAGCAGCTTGGTGAGCAGCTACCTGCAGGTAAGGCCAGGAAGGCTGGGAATTATCTTCCTATAGCTTCTACCAGGGTATGTCCTTGCCCCTAGCAACTCAAGGGTGATGTTCTCAGATGCCCGTTGTTCCAGCCAGAGCAATAGAACCACTCAGTTATGGCTGCTGTTCCCGGGAGTCTGGGTTTTTCAACCAAATAGAATCTAGGCTCTCTTAAAATTACATTCTTCTAAATGATTTTAAAGTATTTTAAAAGAAGCAGTTTAGCACCGTGGTTAAAAGTGACAAGAGTCAAATCCTGATTCTCACCTACCAGCTGTGACCAAGGGGAAATTACTTAACCTTCAGCTCTCTCATCCACAGGATGGGGATAATAAAACTCATTCTAGCTCATAAATGAGGAGTGCGCATGCACTTCTTAAGCATATGTTAAGTACTTACGGGCTTGACATATGCAAGGGCTCAGTCAATGTTAGTAGGTAGTGGCAGTTTGTTAATTTTTTTTAGAAATGTGAATTTATCACAGCTGTATATAGTTCTGTGGAAACTGAATAGCAATTAAAAAAATTAAAATGATCAATATAAGGAGCATTAAGAGTAGAAAATAGATGAATCTTTTACCTTATTTTGTGGCTTAATCATGCCAGGAGTTGCAGTTACGGGTATGGCACAATGAATGAACAACAGCTTAGATATAACTGAATTTATCTCAGAGACAACGTCCATTAAGTTAATAAGGCTGAAGAAGGCTGGATGGGAAATGCAAGTCTGTATCTCAGTGGAGCTCACATGGGTGGCCTCATAGCTTTGGAATGTGCTGCTGAATCTGTGGCAGATGCTTTGAGCAAAGGGATTCTAGTCTTTTGAATAGTTCTTTAGACTAACCTTAGGGCAGGTAATGCCTGTATTTTTACCTCTGCTCTCATTAAACTCTAAAGCTTTTCTAAATAGCCCTGTAGCTTCATCCTAAAGCCACTTGTCTTTTGTGTTTTCCCTCCCAGACTCAAGAGATGGTGTCCAACTTTGACCTGAACAGCCCCCTAAACAACGAGGCATTGGAGGGCTTTGATGAGATGCGACTAGAGCTGGACCAGTTGGAGGTGCGGGAGAAGCAGCTACGGGAGCGCATGCAGCAGCTGGACAGAGAGAACCAGGAGCTGAGGGCAGCTGTCAGCCAGCAAGGGGAGCAACTGCAGACAGAGAGGGAGAGGGGGCGCACTGCAGCGGAGGACAACGTTCGCCTCACTTGCTTGGTAGCTGAGCTCCAGAAGCAGTGGGAGGTCACCCAGGCCACCCAGAACACTGTGAAGGAGCTGCAGACATGCCTGCAGGGCCTGGAGCTAGGAGCAGCAGAGAAGGAGGAGGACTACCACACAGCCCTGCGGCGGCTGGAGTCCATGCTGCAGCCCTTGGCACAGGAGCTTGAGGCCACACGGGACTCACTGGACAAGAAAAACCAGCATTTAGCCAGCTTCCCAGGCTGGCTAGCCATGGCTCAGCAGAAGGCAGATACGGCATCAGACACAAAGGGCCGGCAAGAACCTATTCCCAGTGATGCGGCCCAGGAGATGCAGGAGCTAGGGGAGAAGCTTCAAGCCCTAGAAAGGGAGAGAACCAAGGTCGAGGAGGTCAACAGACAGCAGAGTGCCCAACTGGAACAGCTGGTCAAGGAGCTTCAGCTGAAAGAGGATGCCCGGGCCAGCCTGGAGCGCCTGGTGAAGGAGATGGCCCCACTCCAGGAGGAGTTGTCTGGGAAGGGACAGGAGGCAGACCAGCTCTGGCGACGGCTGCAGGAGTTGCTGGCCCACACGAGCTCCTGGGAGGAGGAGCTAGCAGAGTTGAGGCGGGAGAAAAAACAGCAACAGGAGGAGAAGGAGCTGCTGGAGCAGGAGGTCAGGTCTCTGACCCGGCAGCTGCAGTTCCTGGAGACCCAGCTGGCACAGGTGAGCCAACATGTGAGTGACCTGGAGGAGCAGAAGAAGCAGCTCATTCAGGACAAAGACCACCTCAGCCAGCAGGTGGGTATGCTCGAGCGGCTTGCTGGGCCGCCTGGCCCAGAACTGCCAGTGGCAGGTGAGAAGAATGAGGCCCTGGTCCCTGTGAACTCCAGTCTGCAAGAGGCCTGGGGGAAGCCAGAGGAGGAGCAGAGGGGCCTGCAGGAGGCACAGTTAGACGATACCAAGGTGCAAGAGGGCAGCCAGGAGGAAGAGCTCCGGCAGGCCAACAGGGAGCTGGAGAAGGAGCTACAGAATGTGGTCGGGCGTAACCAGCTCCTGGAGGGCAAGCTGCAAGCCCTGCAGGCCGATTACCAGGCTTTGCAGCAGCGGGAATCAGCCATCCAGGGCTCCTTGGCCTCCCTGGAGGCCGAGCAGGCCAGCATCCGGCACTTGGGTGACCAGATGGAGGCGAGCTTGCTGGCTGTAAGGAAGGCCAAGGAGGCCATGAAAGCCCAGATGGCAGAGAAGGAGGCCATTCTACAGAGCAAGGAGGGCGAGTGTCAGCAGCTGCGGGAGGAGGTGGAGCAGTGCCAGCAACTGGCAGAAGCCCGGCACAGAGAGCTTAGGGCTCTCGAGAGCCAGTGCCAGCAGCAGACCCAGCTGATTGAGGTCCTCACAGCAGAGAAAGGCCAACAGGGAGTTGGCCCACCCACTGACAATGAAGCCCGTGAGCTGGCTGCCCAGCTAGCCCTGTCTCAGGCGCAGCTGGAAGTCCATCAGGGGGAGGTCCAACGGCTGCAGGCTCAGGTGGTGGACCTCCAGGCCAAGATGCGGGCAGCCCTGGATGACCAGGACAAGGTGCAGAGCCAGCTAAGCATGGCTGAGGCCGTCCTGAGGGAGCACAAAACCCTTGTGCAGCAGCTGAAGGAGCAGAATGAAGCCCTTAACAGAGCCCATGTCCAGGAGCTGCTGCAATGCTCGGAGCGTGAAGGGGCACTGCAGGAGGAGAGGGCCGATGAGGCCCAGCAGAGGGAGGAGGAGCTGCGGGCCCTGCAGGAGGAGCTGTCCCAGGCCAAATGCAGCTCCGAGGAAGCACAGCTGGAGCACGCTGAGCTGCAAGAGCAGCTGCACCGGGCCAACACAGACACAGCTGAGCTGGGCATCCAGGTTTGCGCACTGACCGTGGAAAAGGAGCGAGTGGAGGAGGCACTGGCCTGTGCTGTCCAGGAGCTCCAGGACGCCAAAGAGGCAGCCTCAAGGGAGCGAGAGGGCCTGGAGCGCCAAGTAGCTGGGCTGCAGCAAGAGAAGGAGAGCTTGCAGGAGAAGCTGAAGGCGGCCAAGGCAGCAGCCGGCTCACTGCCTGGCCTGCAGGCCCAGCTCGCCCAGGCAGAGCAGCGGGCCCAGAGCCTCCAAGAGGCTGCACACCAGGAGCTCAACACCCTCAAGTTCCAGCTGAGTGCTGAAATCATGGACTACCAGAGCAGACTTAAGGTAATCCTAGCTTCAACCACTTGGGCTCTACCCCTCTCCCTGGGCAGGCCTGGTGGGTCCATGGGAAGATGCACCTTTAGCCATGAGGCAGGTGAGGGCTGGAGAATGTACTGTGGGTGCAGGCAAACACCTTGTGGCCCTTTCCTATCACAGCTCCCAGTAGCATCTTTCTCTCTGCAGGAATATGTTAGGCGCAGAACATTGGGAGTGATGCCTTAGCCCAGAAGTTTAAACTCAAGACCATTGCAAACAAGATTAGCCCACACAGAAGTTTGTAAAACTAGTAGCCAACATTGAAAGAGCAGGGTGTTTACAAATATAGTTTGAGGGCTTTTGAAAGCCTGCGTCCTCACCTTGCCCCCGCCCTGTGGCAGCAGTCAGCAGGAACCTGAGGGTGTCTGCCCACTTTAAAGGAGGCACACATCCTCTGCACTTTTCCTTACACTGGTTTCTGTACTTGCCCAGCCCCGCCGGGCATGTGAGTGTGAGAGCCCTGACTTGGCCTCTAAAACCCCTGCAGAGGGCCAGCAGTTCACAGCTGCCTCATGTCCTATCTCTGAGTTCTTAATGAATAACCAACCCCATCAGGTGCTCTCCTGACAGCAGATACAGGGAAGGGAACAAGCTCACTTCATTTTTACAAGGCCCTTGGGACAGACAAGTTAATGAGATGAGCAGTTACTATGTGCCTTTGATAGTACACAAAGATGAGGGGTTAAGGACTGTCTAGAGTGAAGACAGCGCAGAATGGCCTGGGGCTTTGGTTTCCAGGGCTTGCCACTAGTCTGTCTGCATCAAGGTCTGTGCACTCTCAGGCTACTCCTAACCCTCCTCTCTGAGGCAGCTCCACCGCAGTGCCACAGATGTGCCTCCCCACCCAGTGCCACCCCACTCCGTGAAACTCCATGTGGCTTATAGCCAACTTTTTCCCTTGCGGAAATTAAGTTCTAAGTTTGGGGACCAGGCTAAGTCTCTTTTCTTAGTAAGCTTGAAAGTGTTTCACTATTAATAAACCCAAAGCTCATTGAGGAGCCAGTTTGCAGGGAAAAAGAGAAAGTTAGCTTGGTTTTATCTGTTTGGGTGAGGGGGCTGAGGGATCCTCAGAGCAAGGACCCTACTTTTATGTCCTCTTTCTTTCTTGTCCTCTCTAGAATGCTGGTGAAGAGTGCAAGAGCCTCAGGGGCCAGCTTGAGGAGCAAGGCCGGCAGCTGCAGGCTGCTGAGGAAGCTGTGGAGAAGCTGAAGGTAGGCCCTGGTAGTGTAGACCTGTCAGGGAGAGGGCATCTGGTGTGGTTTTGACTGGACCATTTAAGAGGGCTCCCTGCATGCCTCCAGATTCCCAAGCTGAAGCCGTCCTCAGTTCACCTTTGTAGACACCCTAGTTTGTACCCTGACCCCCTCCATCCATTCCCTGGACACCTGGCCGGAGCTGCCAAATGCAGAAAGGAAATAAGTGTCCTCTTTGGCCATCTCTATGGGTGATCGCCAGCCAGTGATTCTGAAATGGGTGGGAGCAGGGGTGGCACTGGATCCACAGTCTTCAGAGCAGTGACTTGTTCAGGTGAATCCTGCTCCCTGCCACCCCTACCTTCAGTGTTACCCTGGGAATTCTGGTACCTGCCACTTGCCAACCACCACAACTAGTTGCAGTTGAGGCCCCACAAATATAGAGCAGAGGTTCATGGCCTCTTGAACTTAATAGGAAACAACCCTCCATTTAGAAGTGACCCAGCCAGATGGGGTGGATGGCACACCAGCCACTTTATGGTACGTTGCATGGCCTTCTGCAAGCTGAGTGTCTTCTCCCTGACGTCCTGTGCCAGGCCACCCAAGCAGACATGGGAGAGAAGCTGAGCTGCACTAGCAACCATCTTGCAGAGTGCCAGGCGGCCATGCTGAGGAAGGACAAGGAGGGGGCTGCCCTGCGTGAAGACCTAGAAAGGTTAGTCACAGTCCACCTACGTAGCTGTCGGTAGTCTTCAGGGAAGGAGTGTTTGGTCTCGTCATTTAGAAAGTCAGTCACTCATATTAGGTTTAGGAAGTCCTTTTGCAAGAAAAGCCACAAACTCAGAAAGTGCTTCTGCTGGAAGCATGCCACAGAGAACCTGGTTGCCTGCCCATCACAACCTATACACGGCTAAAGCACCTTTCTCCTAACTCAATTTTCTTCTCTCTGGCAGTGCATATCATACTTCAGTAACTGCAAGCTTTGGAAAAACTAAAATGAAATAAAAGTTAGATCATAATAATAATGGTAATAGTAGCAGCATGTATTTAAATAATGCTGAAAACGTGGCCGACTCTGTTTTGAATACTTTGCATACATTTACCCATTTAATCCTCCTAACAGTCCTATGAGGAAGGTGTTATCATCTATCCCCATTTTATGGATGAGGAAGATGAGTGTGCCAAGGACCAGGATCAGCCTGTCTTTGTGCAGACTCTGATGCCATATCTGTGGATAGCAGATCACGCTGCCACCCAAGGCCTCCTTGACCCCCTCATTTTCAGGCTTGGGGCCATGTGGAGTTGTGAGCCTAAGTCCACCATGTGGTCATGGGACACAGCTAGTTGAGCCAGGACCTGATTAAGAAAAGATGTAACAGGGAGGAAGACCTGATTTTAAAAAGGTGTAGCAGGGAGGAGGAGTTGCTGGAATCGAATTGCATGTGTGCCACCAGCAAAGATAAGCACACCAAATTGTCCCAAGTCTCTAACTTTTCTATTTATCTATTACCTCTTCCCAACACCTGCCTTCTAGGCCTGGGCTCTGGCTCAGTAGGAGATCCAGGATATCTTTGACATTTGGTAACCTGGACATACATTTTTCATCTTACCCTTCTAGTGTTCAGATCCTACAGGGCACTGGCTGCCCTTAGTTAAGTCATGTTCATATGACAATTTAAACAGAGTCTGAGTTGGTGGCATGAAAACATGATAAACAGTGGTTTTTTGTAAGATCTCAGAGCATTTGTTTCAGTTGCTCAAAGCTGTACAGTCTATTTGCCAACTTATTTTATTCAGTGTGTGTGTGTGGTGTGTGTGTGTGCAAGCACACACATATGCTGCCTGTGTGTGTGGGTGCACCTATAAGGCCATTTTGGTGGACAGGGTCTACTAAACAACTTCCTGGCAACTTTATACTAGATGTGGAAGGTGTAAAGTAATCAGTCTCTCTGCAGAACCCTTTGTTTAATGGAGCTTTTATTATGTCCCACTGGACCATCCTTGGAAAACCACTGCCTTAGGAAATAGCTGCATTAAAAATGGAGTGGGTGGGGTGAGGAAGACAGCGAGATTCAGCCAGCTCCCTCTGCTATAGACTGAGACACCCTGCAGCACCCAAAACGGAATTCCCTGGGCCTCAGGGGGGCTATCAGGTAGAACAGCTGGCAGTGCAGATTAAGACTGAGTGCCTGCTGTGGGCCCAGGGCCATGCCCCATGTGTAGAGTCCCAAGGACGTGTGGAAGACAGGCCCTCCTCTGTGTGGCCACCTCCAGGAAGCTACACCTCTGTCCTGCCTGTCCTGACTCCTTTCTCCTCCTGCCCATCCTCCCCATCACCAGCCCATGAGCCTTGCCTATCAGGCTTCTCTTGCAAGCCCAGCCCCTGTCCAGGAGCCAAGGGGTGCAGAGTTCTATTCACTTAGGGTGCTTCTGGCAACCTGGGGTCAGCCTGCTTTCCCTCCCAGAATGCCCCTTTGTATGTGGGGGTGAGAGGAGAGTCTCAAAAGCTAGGGGACTGCATAAGCTGTGAGCAGATACCAAGGGGCTCCCCCATGGCGGAGGGCAGTAGCACCCCTCATTAGAGTCCTGGGTGAGCTTAGAGCCCTGGGAAAGCTGGAAGTCCTGGCTAATCAAGAAAACTTACCACTCCTCCCCCAGGACCCAGAAGGAACTCGAAAAAGCCACAACAAAAATCCAAGAGTATTACAACAAACTCTGCCAGGAGGTGACAAATCGTGAGAGGAATGACCAGAAGATGCTTGCTGACCTGGATGACCTCAACAGAACCAAGAAGTATCTCGAGGAGCGGCTGATAGAGCTGCTCAG
Source organism: Homo sapiens (assembly GCF_000001405.40). Lineage (NCBI taxonomy): Eukaryota > Metazoa > Chordata > Mammalia > Primates > Hominidae > Homo > Homo sapiens. The sequence continues at coordinate 45,962,224 of NC_000003.12, read as the reverse complement.
GTGAGTGCTGTGTCAAACCAGCAGCTGGGGTTTTCCCCACACTGGGGTTTTTCTCTAAAGAAATGCAGCTGTTCTTGAAAGCATACTTCAGAAATTTCCCCACTTTCTTGCTGCTGTCTCAGGAGCCCCTCTCTCCTTCTCCATCTCACTTTCCCCAGTACTAGAGTCCCAAACTCCAGCGCCTGCAGGTACCAGGCAGCTGATACAAGTGGAAGCTTGTATCAGGAGGGGACTGTGAGAAACTGAGGACACAGCTGGGCTCTGCTTCTGCCATATGTCTTGGCCTAGAACTGCCAGACCACCTTACTTCTTGAGAGAAGGTGGAAACCTGGATCTTAATGTGAAGTGTCCTGATTTTTTAATGCTGACAAGTCATTCAAAACTTATTTTAACTTTTCCTTATGGAAATTTTCAAATATACAAAAATGGAATCATGTAATACACCTCCAGGTACCTGTCACCCAGCTTCAACAGTGTTCAGCTCAGGGCCAGTCTTGATTCATCTGTAGACCCACCTGCTTACCCACCTTCCCAGATTATTTTGAAGCAAATCCCAGACATATCATTTCATCCATAAATATTTCAATATGTACCTCTCCAAGGTAAGGACTCTTTTATTTTCTATTTTTTGAATTTTTTTTTTTTTTGAGACAGAGTCTCACTCTGTTGCCCAGGCTTGAGTACAGTGGCGTGATCTTGGCTCACTGCAACCTCTTCCTCCTGCATTCAAGCGATTCTTGTGCCTCAGCCACCCAAGTAGCTGGGATTACAGGCACACACCACCACTCCCAGCTAATTTTTATATTTTTAGTAGAAATAGGCTTCACCATGTTGGCCAGGCTGGTTCTGAATTCCTGGCCCCAAATGATTTGCCTGCCTCAGCCTCCCAAGTCCTGGGAGTACAGGCATGAGCCACCATGCCTGGTGCCAGAACCCTCCATTTTAAACAACCACAGTGTCCTTATTACACCTTAAAAAATGAAGTATAATTTCTTAATATCATCAAGTGTCTAGTCAGTTTCAAATTTTTCCGATTGCCTTAGAATATTTTCAGGTCGTTCTAATCAGGATCTAAATTAGATTCATCTATTGCAATTGCTGTGTCTCTTACATCCCTTTTAGTCAATGGGTTTCCCTATCATCTCTCTACTTTTGCCGATTGCATCCCCATGGTGTCATTTAACATGATCATCCATCCCTTGCATTTCCTGTGAGTCCATAGTTAGAACTATTGCAGTGGTTCTCAATCCTGGCTACATATTAGAATCACTAGGAAAGTAATTTAAAAATGCCCATGTCCAGGCCCCACCAAGACTAACCGAATTGGAATTTCTGGGAGTGAGACTCAGACACCAGTGAGCCAGAGCTGAGAACCATCATTCTACTGGCAGCTTGCTTAGACTCAGGTTCAAAATTTTGGTAAGAAGCCTTCATAGAATTGGTTTGTAGTTTGGGGTCTTTCCTTCAAGAGGCACATACAATCTGATTAGCCCTGTTTTTGTGATGTTAGCAGCACCATGGATCAGCAAAGCCTAGATATGCTAATTCATTAAGTGTTAGAAAACAGTGATATTAAAATTATAACCAATTTGAAAGTTTAAAAACTCTGCCTTCTTATCATCAATATACAGAGTTAGAACTCAGGGTATTTGTGACCTGAGGGGTGTGATGGAAAACACCAGCTCCTGGCAGCATTCCACATTCCCAAAGTTTGGGTGGACCAGCCTAGAGAATGAGGCTGCTTCAGAGAATGAGTCTTCCTGCTTCCTGACAATTTCAAGTGTCCTTGAAAAAGCCAGCCAAGCCCATGTTCAAGCTTTTTTATTTAAGGCAAAAGATCTGGGGTTGATTGGGAGTTCCTGGTCAGTGATGGAGCCTGTCTCTCTCAGGACCTGAGTGGCTCGGGTGTCACATTACCGGTGGCTGAGGTGCTGCTAGAGCCACGTTAGCCCTGAGGATGCTAGCTGGGGCTCCATACGAGAAAGAACTAAACTTCACATGTCAGAAACCATCAAGCCTGAACATGCTCATTAGTATCCCTGAGGAAGCCTCTGTTCACATCCTCCCCCTCCAGTGCATCAGGCACATTCTGACACTGCCAGACCTTTCTGGAAAGCCTCACACTTCTTTGAGTCTGGCTTCTTGGAGTGACCTTACCATCTCTCTGAGGGGCAGAGGAGGCTAACATCTGATCAGATTTTCACACTAGGAAATCTTTGATCTTCTCCACTGATTAATTGTTACTTGGATCAACCATAGAAACATAAAGGGCCCCAAGCACATTAAGATTCAGGTGGGAAGTACATTCATGGTCCTTGGGCTTACTGCACGCCGTCGGCATGGCAGCACGTTTTAGCTTAAACTCCCAGTGGTCCCCCAGCACTGTTGTTTAGGTGCCTGAGTGGTGGCTCTCTTTGGTGCTGGCAGCTCTTTGCATTTAACAGTGCCTTCTGTGTACATCTTTTGCCTCCCGCATGTTCTCACACATGCGGTGTCAGTTAAGTCTGCATGTCGGGGGAGATGGAGGAGACTTAGCATGGGCTGGGGCATATTTCCAAGGTGAAAGTGAATTTTCTTTCTATGACTTAGGAAATTTGATACCAGTCTTTTGAAATGAAGAAGGATCATCCTATTGTTTTCATGGATTCTCTCTCCTTTTCTTCCAATGTGGTTTTGTCCCAGGGACAAGGATGCTCTCTGGCAGAAGTCAGATGCCCTGGAATTCCAGCAGAAGCTCAGTGCTGAGGAGAGATGGCTCGGAGACACAGAGGCAAACCACTGCCTCGACTGTAAGCGGGAGTTCAGCTGGATGGTGCGGCGGCACCACTGCAGGTCAGCAGGGAGCTCGTGGGTTGGCACCAACACCCTGGTGGGGCCCAGGACCAGAGCAGACAGCTCCAAAAGAGGACTCTGTGATAGGTGTTGGCACCATGGCTGACTATTTAGGAAGAGCACATTGCGTTTTGGCTTTAAGGGAACCAGGTAAGGAAGGTGTATTAGTTGGGATCCTAACAAGACACTCAGGGCTCCCTGAAAGGAAAAAATACAGAGATGTGGATGGAGTTAGGGGGCCCCGCAGGGATGGGGCATACCCAGAGACTAGCAGTTCTTCTACCATTCCTATAGGGACCAGAGGGGAGCAGCATTACTGGAAGCCAGCAAGAGCTGGCCTGAAACCTCACTAGAGGAACACAGGCAGTGCCAGGGGCATGAAGGCCAGAGAAGGATGGATAAAGATGAATCTCGGGCTGGGCTGGGGGCAGGTGCAGAATAATCAGCAGAGCTGTGAAGGTCTGTGGTCTCTTAGAGCCTTAGCTTCTGAGATATGGGAGGCATACCTACAACTTGGTGCCAGGGAAGGTGGGCTCAGCCACACTTTGTCTCCCTGCCTCCCAGGACCTTAGGAAGTAAACCATGCTTTCACCAAGCTGACAAGAAGGCTTTGTTGGAATCTTATGAAATGAGCTCATGGCCACATCCTAACTTGGGGGCAGAGCCAGGTCTGATGAGAGTCACATGGCATCCAGAGCCCAGTTTGGGTGCTGAGCAGATCACACAAGATCATAGTGTGTCATCCTCACAGCCTGGGCTTGTTTTGTTCCCAGGATATGTGGCCGCATCTTCTGTTACTACTGCTGCAACAACTACGTCCTGAGCAAGCACGGTGGCAAAAAGGAGCGCTGCTGCCGAGCCTGTTTCCAGAAGCTCAGTGAAGGCCCTGGCTCCCCTGATAGCAGTGGCTCAGGCACTAGCCAGGGAGAGCCCAGCCCTGCACTGTCACCAGCCTCACCTGGGCCCCAGGCCACAGGAGGCCAAGGTCAGTCTCCTGCTACTACTGCCTACTATGTTCTCTAGGTGCCACTTCCTCCCCTACCGATGTTGTGGCTAGTTAGTGCTAATAAGCTGAATTCAGTGTTTTCTAAACTTAGGTATTAAAGAGGTGCTAAAATATATTACCACCAACTTGAGACTTTCATTTTGATATATTAGGATTGAAAGAGAATTGAAAAAGGAATAACTTTGCCCTGATAAGATTCAGTGTGATTTAACCTGAAGTCTATGTACCTGTTAATGCACATTCATGAAATACACCCCATGCTTTGGAGAATGCCGTCTACCAGAGCTGCAGCCTTGGCATCCAGAGTAACTCAAGGCTAGGAGTTGTGTCTGGAACCATCCATATCCTTCAGTCTCTTCCTGAAGCTCGCTCTTCCTTCATGTCCAAGGAGGATGTAATCTCCTTTGTGTCCTCCCACTCAGCCCAGTGAAGGAAGTAGAGTTTGGGTTCTGCTGCTTCGGTTTTGAGCACACCCTAGCAGACAGGCCTGGGCTGCCCTTCCGGGCACTGGACTTTGAATGTGGAACACAGGGAGGCAGAGCTGAGACGGCACAGGCAGAAGTGGTCTCAGCTCGTCTCTGCTCGAGCATCATTGCCATCTGCAGCTGGTCCCTGTGAACTCCTCCTTGGCCTCTGCCTGGATGCAGGCCAGCCAGCCTTTAGAAATACTGTCCATTCCTCTTTTGTTTGAGTGGATTACCAAGTGGTTGGCAGGCCCCATTATGTTGTTGGGTACAAAGAACTGACAAGGATGGGGAGTGTACTTTGCACAGCTTTAGTTTATCTTCTTCAAATCTTTTGCCCATTTTAAAATGTTTTTTAAGTATTGAATGTTGAGAGTCCTCTGTATATTCTCTATGCAAGTTCTTTGTCACATATGTATTTTACAAGTATTTTTTCCCAATCTATAGCTTATCTTTATATTTTCTTTCAAAGAGCAAAAAAGTCTTCAAAGAGCAGAAGTTTATCATTTTAATGAGGTCCAATGTATCAGGTTTTTTCTGTTATGCATAAATGTTTTTCTTTTTGTTGTCATGTCTGGCTTTACTTAGCCCAAGGACTCACAGACCTTCTTCTGTTGTCGCTTAGAAGTTTTACAGCTTTAGCTTATACATTTAGGCCTATGATGCATTTTCAGTTATCTTTGTGTATGGTGCAAGGTATGAATAGAGATTCATCTTTTTGTATGGCTGTCCAGTTATTTCAACACCATTGATTGAAAGACTGTTCCTTGCACCTTTGTCAAAAACCGACCTTATTTTTTTTTATGCTGCCATGAGAAAGTAGGCAATTGACCTTATATGTGTGGATTTATATCTGGACTTTTATTCTATTCCATTTATCTATGTGCCTATTCTTTCACTAATACCAAACTGTTATGATGACCATAGTTTTATAAAGCATCTTAACATCACGTAGAGTGACTCCAGTTTTGTTCTTTATCAAAGTATTGGCTATTCTAGGTTTTTTGTTTTTCTATATAAGTTTTAGAATCAGTTTGTCAATTTCTACAAAAAATCCTGGTGATATTTAAATTGAGATTGCATTGAATCTCTAGTTCAGTTTGGGGAGAATTGACATCTTAATAAAATTGACTCAGTCCATGAACATGATACAACTTTCTATTTATTTAAGTCTTTGGTTTCTCTCAGTGGACATCATTTTAGATCCCTGCTGTCTGCTTTCCCTTCCCTCTGCCAGCCTTACAAGGCAGGTTCAGGAGTGTGGCTGAATTGATGGAAAAAAAAACAATCCCTGGCCCCTTTTTTCAGCCTATGCCTCAAGCTCTCTATTACACAGACTTGAAACAAGAAGAAGAACTTCACTTCTAAAGCAGGGCCTGCCTTAGTGGTCATGTGGCAGGTCCAGGTGGGAACTTTAAGCTCACCTGAACCATTTTTCTTGCTAAACACCCCAGGAACTTTGCATGGGCTTGCCCTGACTCATTAGTGACCACAGAGTGCTGCGGTCACTTGTTTTGATTTTTGACATTTCCTGTCTACTCATTTATTTATTTATTTATTTATTTATTTATTTATTTATTTATTTTTGAGACTAAGTCTTGCTCTGTTTCTCAGGCTGGAGTGCAGTGGTACGATCTCGGCTCACTGCAACCTCTGCCTCCTGGGTTCATGTGATTCTCGTGCCTCAGCTTCCTGAGTAGCTGGGATTACAGGTGCCCGCCACCACACCTGGCTAATTTTTATATTTTTATTAGACACAGGGTTTCATCAAGTTGGCCAGGCTGGTACTGAACTCCTGGCCTCAAGTGATCCACCCACCCCGGCTTCCCAAAGTGCTGGGATTATAGGCATGAGCCACAGCACCCAGTGTTTTTTTCATTTTTGCCTCAAACCTGCTCTCACATTTTTCCGTGACATATGCTGGAGAGTGTTTGTGGGCAGATGACTGGTACAGGAACATTTCTACAGTGGCCTTCCTACTAAGTGGTTTGCACAGTCGGACACAAGGCCCCTGGTTGGAAACCCAGTGCCTGCTGCAAGCCCTTGAGCACTGGGAGGTTCTTTCCCACGCATCAGTGGATTAAGGGAAAATGCAGGTCAGACAGACTCCTGCTTTCAAAAATACATGAATAAGTACTGCCTGTGTCTTACAGAGCAAGGATTTAGTGGCATAGAAGTGTGTTTTCTGTTATTAGGTTCTTTCTTAATAAGATTTTTCCTTCTAAATAAGGGACCTCAGAGAATATGCAAGAGGTTGAAACCTCTCTAAGCCCCTGACTTTGAGAAGTCTCTTAGGTTGTACATTCCATTTCGTCTGTAAGCCTTCCTCTACTTTTTTGGAATGTTCCAGCAACCAACCATTTCTCTCAACTCTGGACAGAATAGCTGTCAGTTGAGTGACCACTTAAATTGTGCCTCAGCAGCTTGTTCTGCATAGCTGCACTCTCTCACTTTCCCAAGGGCCCTTACCCAGCCTATGCATAACAGTGTGTTGTGTCTCTTCTCTCCTGATCTGCCTCTGCTGCCCAGGAGCAAATACAGACTACAGGCCACCGGACGACGCTGTGTTTGATATCATCACAGATGAGGAATTGTGCCAGATACAGGAGTCCGGCTCCTCTTTGCCTGAAACACCCACTGAAACTGATTCTCTCGACCCAAATGCGGCTGAACAGTGAGTAGAGGTCACCCCCATTTCCTGAGTGCTCATTACAGGCCTGGCCCCTGTGCTTTCTTATCAAAGGATGAGGAAAGTGAGACACTGGAAGCAGGATTGACTGTCCTTGCCTAAGGGAACAGTGCTTGCGATGGCCTTGAAGAGCATCGGCGCTCGGGAAGTTGTCAGTGTTGAGCCTTGCAGAGAGTTCCTGAGAGATGTCAGTGGCCCCAGGTTTCAGCATCACTATTAAGGCCTGTCTTTCTTGGCTTGAGCGACTATATTAGTTTGCTTGGGTGCTATATAAAATACCGCAGACCGGGTGGCTTAAATAACAGAAATTTACCTTCTCACAGCTCTGGAGGCTGGAAGTGCAAGGTCAGGTGCTGGCAGGGCTGGTTTCCTGCAAGATGCTTCTCCTTGGCTTGCAGATATCTGCCCCCTTGCTGCCTCTTCATGTGGCTGTCCCCTGTTGCATGCCCCTGGTGTGTCTCCATGTCTCTCAGTCTCCTCTTCTTACAGACACTGGTCGATTGGATTAGGGCCCACCCTAGCGGCATCATCTTAACTTAATCATTCCTCTACAGGCCTCATCTCCAAATGCAGTCACAGTCTGAGGTACTGGTGCTTAGGGCTTCAGCATGTGAATAATTGGGGCATGGGGAGACGATTCAGCCTATAACAGCAACCCTTGCTGGGCCGCCCTTGGCAATTGCTCAGAGCAACATGCTGCTCTTTAAAAGCCTTGCTCCCAGGCCCCTGTGCTCCTGGTCTTACTCACCTTACCACCTACCCACCTGGCTTGCTGAGTGATGAAGGCAGAGTATGGCTTAGTGCTAATGGAATGAAGCATGCCCTAGGGACCACTGGACTATAGGGGTTGGGAGAACACTGCAGGCTAATACTGTCAGGGAACGCATCAGAGCAGGGGTGTCCAGTCTTTTGGCTTCCCTGGACCACACTGGAAGAAGAATTGTTTTGGGCCACACATAAAATAAACTAACACTAACAATAGCTAATGAGCTTTAAAAAAATCGCCTTACCCCCCCCAAAAAATGTCATAACGTTTCAAGAAAGTTTATGAATTTGTGTTGGGCTGCATTCAAAGTCATGGGCTGCATGCGGCCTATGGGCCACAGGTTGGATAAGCTTGCTTCAGAGGAAGGTGTTCCAGGAAGGGAAGGCAAGGCCCAAAGTCACAGAGGCAACAGTGAGTAGGGGCTGTCTTGGGTCTCCAGTTTGGTGATTGGATTGGCTTTGTCCATGAGGCTCCAGCACGGTGAGTTTAGTTCATCTTTTGGAAACACTAATCAGGCTTGGCGAGGATGCCATGAGAAAGGAAGCTCGGATTTAGTTGCAATTGTCTCTGATAGATGCGCCCTCTCAGAGGTTCCTTTAGCTGCAGATAAACCCACTCAAAGCCTCAAAGTTTTAGCAGTAAGAAAAATATGGACAGGCCTATTACTCTGTACCCTGTGGAACCCAAGGGACTTTCCACTCACCTAGCCTGCACTTTGCCCTAGCACTGGTATTTTATGCTGCTTTTAATCAGTGACCTGGATCCACTGAACCTTCCTGACTGCCGCAAGAATGCTATAGCTTACACAGGCAGAGCAGGCTTCAGAGGGACAAAGCAGCCACGGCAAGGATATCCTTAAGTACTTATTCTCCCTTGGCCTTCTCATTTTTCTAGTGTAGCTATTTGCCAACAAGGTTTTCAAGGAGAGTTTCACAAGGTCAGTTTTTAAAAATATGAGTTGTATAAAGTGCCACCATGTTAAAATGTCAAGAGTTTATGACATGGGACCCATAAGAAAAGGAGGTCCTTGCTTGATGTTTCTCAGTCTGTGTTGTCTGGCTTTAGAGCAGTTTACAAAAAAGCACTGGCTGTTCAGAACCTCAAGAAAGAATTTATGTGGGTCCCAGGTCCCAGACGTTTCTTGACCCATTTTCCCTCTGGTTAAGGACATTTTTTATGATGCTCCTGCCTCAACATTGAGATCTGTCCCTCTTTTCCTGCCCAGAATTCAGAGGAGAGCTAGGACTGCTCTGTCAGATTGATCATTCAGGATTTCTGCTGCATGTCTTTAATCTTCATGACGCTGCCATTGTAAGGGACTTCGGGCTTACATGTATCTCCACAACCCTCTGTTCCCTGACTAGAGAATAACTGAACTTATCATGTTATAGCTTCATGGATAAAGCCAGCCTGATCACCAAACTCACCAGACCCAAGATCATGTCTACTTCTGTCACTTCTGTGACTTTAGGCTTTTCCTTTCCTTCCTGGGACACCCCTCCAACCCCTGACCATGTAAGCCTGCAGTGTTCTCCCAACCCCCATGGCTCAATGGTCCCTGGGGCATGTTCCATTCCACTAGCACTAAGCCACACTCTGCCTCCATCACCTGGAAAGCCAGGTGGGTAGATGATAGGTGGTAAAGTGAGCAGGACCAGAAACCTGGGGGCCTGGGAGGACATTCCGGCTTGAAATTCTCTTCTTGCTTCCTCTAGCCTGAGTGAGAAAGTGACTATCCTACAGCTCTCTCTCTCCTTACCCCTCACCTTCCCCTGCCCAGTAGGAACAAAAACAGAAGGCATTCTGACTGCTGACAAATATGTGTGGTTTGGTCTTGGGAAATCAGGAACTGTTCCAGGGAAAGGAAACTGCCAGTGTGCTGGTCTTCGGCCACCAAGGCGGATCTGGGACTAACTGATAGGAACCTGTAATCCCTGCACTTCTGTTAGGGTGAAGAGCCACCCTTCCAAGTCAGTTAAAGGCTGCGTTGTCAGACACTTTTTTTGTGCATTAGCTAGAGATAAACCCAAGCATTTCTGGTAGCTTTTTCCTACATACTTTTTCTTCCTAAGTTTTAAGACCTAAACCAAAAACACCGAGAGTCTGAGAAAGTGTGGGAGATCTAGAGCCCTAGATTTGTGTAAGCATCCCTGGCAAGAAACTTCGGGAAAAAATAAGCAAATCCAAGGTAAGAAGGGATCCGGGAGAGATTAAACACTAAGTCCAAATTCATGAGGAATATTAGGCCACTTGGAAGTAGTGTTGTTGAAAGTGATGCTGTTGAGCGCCTCCCTTGCACCAGCTGCTCTTACACGTGACCTCACTAGTCCCTGTGCAGCCCATCAGGGAGTGGAAATTATCTCATTTTATAGGCAAAGAAGCTGAAGCCTCAGGAGGCTGGATAACTTCTGTTGTTGGAGGTGCCAGAACTAGGCTTTAGACTCCAGTCCACTGGCTTAAGATTCATTTGGAAGAGTTCAGCTCTCTTCTCTCCGTCCCATGTCCGCATTTTGCCCATCTCCCCTGCCTTCATGTTCTCTCTTTCGCACATGTACACAGTTTTGGGGCTAAGGAAGTTGTTTGCCTTGCCCCTCCTCCTGGCAGAGATGGGTCAGGAAGGGGTCCCAAAGTCCAGCCTGCCAGGGAGATGTGGCCTGATGCTGGGACTCCCTAAGCAACCTCCTAGTGGTCCCTGTGCATGGCTCAGACCTAGAATGGTGGTGCAGAGCAGGACCACAGCCCCTGACTTCTGGAGAAAAGATGGTATTCGTCATAGCCCTCCAGACACACCCATGCACAACCCCTTTTCAGTCATTCAGGCCCACCCTCCACCATCTACACTGACCAGGTGTCCAGCTGTTCTCTGGACTGAGGCAGAGAAGGAAATCAAGCTCTTGGCAGCTGGTGAACCAGGCCTGTGGAGTAAGGGCTGGCAGGGGCACTGGGCTGTGGCTCCCTCAGCCTTTGCTCAGCCTCTACCCAGTCATGGCCTCCTTGAGGCCCGGCCTCCCCCTCTAGCTACCAGATGAGCAGACAGTATGGTGGTGAAGAGCTTGAGCTCCAGAACCAAACATACCTGGTCTGCCACCTCCAGGCTCCATGGCTCTAGGTAGTGCAGCCCACAAACTCAGTTTCCTCCTCTATACCGAAGAGACTGGAACAGCACTCACCCCTAGGGGTGTTAGGAAGATTGCATGAGAACTGTGTGTGTGGAGCACTGAGCCCAGCCCAGTGTCTAATGCCTGGGAAGACTTTCATGGAGTTATGTTGCTTTCCTGATGTGTCATCAGGGGCTGAGCTGTGTGTGCTACTGCTACCACCTCAGTACCTTGCACTGCGCAGCCCAGTCGTCTCCTGCAAAGAAGATCCTTCAGATACCCAGATGACCCTAAGTGAGCTTAAACTCTCCCACAGAAACATTCCCTGAACCCTCAGAGCATCTTTACCAGTAATTGCTTCAGAACTGGTGCTTCATGGTCAGAGTGTTTAGGGGAGCTGTGGTAGATTTGTCACCCACCAGGAGATTTGATGTTTGGTATCTCAGAAACAAAATGAGAACAGGATATGGTGAATGGTTAAGGTTACAAAGCCACCTTGCGCGTGGGTTGACCCAAGATCTCTGCCTTCAGCTGAATACAGAGGTGACAGGTACCCTGTGGCTTGTCAGTGGCAGGAAACCTTCTTGGAGCCAACATTTCTGGGCAAAGAAAGGCTGTTTACTGAGATTGTAGTCCTAGCTCTGTTGTGTGAGCTTTGGCAGGCATTAATCTCTCTGAACTAGTTTTCTCATCTGAAAATGGGGATGATAGTGCCAGGCCTTCTACAAAATGGCATTAGTTACCAGGGACCAACAAGGACTAGGCAGCTGGAAGGGGGTGCTGCTTTGAGAGCCCCTTGGAGGAGGAGGCCAGAGTGACTGCCCTGACCACTTCTGGGCCCCATCCTCTTCGCTTTGCCTCCACCCCTCCAGTAGGGGTAGCTCCAGGCTTTTCCCTTCTATGGCACCATCTCCTCAGTCCAGAACACCTACGGAGGACACCTGGGCCCCTAGCACCCAGGTAGCCCCTAGAGTCAGTGTCATCTTGTGTTCCCCACATCTCAGATGATGTGGCCATTAGTGGCCTCTGCCATATCTCTGAAGGGATTGGAGCCCATAAGTACTGCAGCCACCCCCAGGTGTTGGGAACTTGGTAGGGAAAGAGCACATCCTTTACCCTCCAACCCTGAGGCCACACCAAGGCAGTATGGACTCAAGCAGAGCCCACACCCAGCCTCATCCCCTCCCCCAAGGCCTCTGATGCCATGTGCTGGTGTGGACAAGCAGAAGGGAGAGCCAAATGGAAGGGAGAAGGGTGGGCTGAGATTGGGAACTGGCTCTGCCCCACACATGACCTCAGTCTCCTCTGTGGAATGGAGCCTGTACCAACAGCATCTTCTGCTTCCTGGGCTGTGATGTGGATGGAGTGAGATCAAGACGTGAAGGCCCTTTGTAATCTGCATGTGCTGTGCCCGCGTTTATTCCCCTATCCAGGGGAAGGGGTTGGTAAACTGACATCTACTCCAAAGAGTGGCAGGTAAGGGCCCAGACGCATAGGATCAATTAGTGGCTGAGGAGGCAGGGAAGGCAAAGAAAGATTTTGCTGCTGTGCTGTTCCTGGGGCCAGGCAGGCAGGGCTTTCCTAAGCTACAAAAGGCCAGTGCAGGGACCCTGGGAGGGGGCGGGCACCTGGTCAGGGAAAGCCCCATGGTCCCAGCGCTGCTTTTCTGTTGCTGTGGCCAGGCAGGCCCAAGCATGGTGCTTGCAGTGTGCTGGCCGTGCTCATGAGCACCCCAGGAGGGAAGGCCTTCATGAGCCAGTGGTGTAGGTGGTGAACCAGGGCTTGGGTCAGGGGTACTGCATCCCCTGCACAGGGGTACATGGTGGTGGAGCTGTCACTGAACACTGTCAGAGTGAGCCCAGAGCCTGCATTCTCATCACACCTTTCTGCATCTCTCCATGGGGACTCGTGGAAATGCTGCAGGGCCCTGTCTCCTGACTCTACTTCTGCCTCTGTCCCTTGGGCCGGGACACTGTCAGGGATACCAGGGACTGGTGGCCCCTCTGTCAGAAGTGTTCCAGGTTAACATGAATGCACAAAGGGGGAATGACAGAAACTCTCTTTGAAAGCCACTTAAAAGATAAATGTCAGCCTTGTCACCCTAAAAGGGCAGATTTTGTAGTTGGAGGAAGCACTCGGAGGTCCATGTGGCCTGAGTACAGTAAAACTCTGCTTGTAGACGCATTTAGGCATGTTTATGAAACAGTAGGTAGGATCATGTGGGCTCTGAAAGGCCCAGCCTGTGCTCAGCTGCACCAGGTGCACATGGTATGCCACACACCTGGAAGGCACGATACAAACCCTCCCTCGCCTCGCTAACCCACGGAGCTGACATGGAGGGCTTCCATTTTGTGTCACCAGTTCTTGTAAGAAATAATAACTAGTGCTATTTTTTGGACCTTTTCTCCCCAAATGCAAACTGTGCCAAGTGTTTTACATGCAGTGTCTCAGGTATTCACACCAACCCATAGAGGTGGTGCTGTTATGATCCATGTTTCACCAAAAAGAAAGGAAACAGGTGCTCAGAGGCTAAGAGATTCGCCCAAGGTCTTACAAACTGGTGAGTGGCAGGGATTCAGCTCTCGTCTATTCAGCCCCAAAACCACACTGTTAAGTCAGTTCTGGCCTACTTCTCTGCGCATTCTACTTAGCTGTTGTCAGTTGGTTCTCCGTATTTTGGTGAGTGATTTTGGGATACATAAGCCCAAAAAACATCTTTAAGCCTATTGAACAGACTGCCAGGATTTAATAAACATGCATAAAATCTGACATTTAAAACTATGCCTCATCCTGTGACCACATTCTGGAAGTTAAACAAATGTGCCCCACACTTTGGACAGGAGGTTAGAAACCACAGTGAAAGAGCAGGGTCATTATCACTGGTGTATTCCATTTCCGTGATAGAGCAATGCCATGAAAGTTTACGACTTATTTCCCGGGCTCTGAGCCCAAAAGTAACTTTTTTGTATATTCCAGGCATACCACATTGAAATAGAATGTGCCGAAGTGTAAAAGTAGTTTGGAGACTTTAACAGTTTTATTTCTTAGCTATGAAACTCATATGCTAGTAATATATGACATATGTGTGTATGTGTGTGGGTATATACATTTACATACGTTTGTGTGGCAGACATTGGAAAATTTCATTTTTAAAATGCAAAGCCACCAAAGAGTCCACTTCAGAAATGCTGCTTAGATTCATTACAGTCTTAAACGCTGTTTTGCACATTTTTCAAGCATTCCATGGACCACTGGAATTATCAGCCTCTTATAATTCAGTTTTGCCCATTCATAGTCCCTGGTGCTAGTTATTCTGGATTAATCAAAGCAATCTGAACATCTACCTATACAAAAGTCAAGCCCCAAGGTGAGGCAGAGCCTGATCTCATTTCTGTGAGGTGCCTGGTGGTGCCAGCACTTGTTTTCACTGCTGCTCTGATCTACACTCTTTGCCCAGTAGTCAGAAGAGCCTTCTGAGCTTGGGCACCCAGTGTGCCACCTACCATCAACAGCTTTGTTGGCCGTGCTCACCTCTTCAACCTTCAGCCCCAGTCCCAATCAAGGAGAACCTGAGATCATAGGAGTCACATGTCATCCCCCTTGGTTTCAGCATTCTTGGAGATGGAGGAAGGAAAGTCCTTAAAAATTTTAGACCCCCTACTTGGGCTTTCAGCATGAGTGTTCAAGAAGAGAACAGTACATGTTCATGCCTGAGAAGAAGCATTCCAAACCAGCCAGAGTGTCTGATAACTTCTCCATGAGAATGCGCAAGCTATAAACAAAGCCTGCCTCACCACATCAAGAGGGCACAGCCATGACTTGCAAATTCCAGAGCAGCTTCTCGAAACCCTGGCAAGGCCTATAACTGGAACATGCTGGTGGCCTCCACATTGTGGGAGGCAGAAAAAGTCTTGGAATTGTCCTCAGAAGATTTCCATTGATGTGAGACCCCAAGGTAAGGGAGGCAACCAATGTCCTTCACAAGTTTCCAGAAGTTCTTTCGAAACTTCAGGCTGACAAAGGCATAGAGCACAGGGTTAAGGCAGGCCCTCAGGTATGCGATGGCCTCTGTCACCATGATGGTGTAGTGAAAGCTGGTCATGGCATAGTATTCCCAGTGTGTGCTGCGGATGAACTTCATGAGGTTGAAGGGCATCTGGGTCAGCAGGAACACAGCCATCACCAGGAAGATGATCTTTAGAGATCTGTGCTTCTGGAAGCCTCCAGCATGAAGCAGTGTTTTGATTATGACTGAATAGCAGACAATCATGGTGAGCAGTGGCAAGAAGAACCCCAGTGTCATCTGGGTGGCAAGAACCACAGTGGAAATTGCCTCGTCATGGTAACCACATATGAGCTTGTCGAGATTAAAGACATTGCCATAGATAATTTGGGGCAAGGAAACCAGCAGGGATATCACCCAGATGAGCAAGCTGGTGACCTTGCCCCAGGTCATCCTCTTGGCTTGCTGGTTGTAGGCCTTGGTGGCCTTAACCACTACAATGAAACGATCCACAGTGATGCAGGTGAGGATGAGCATGGACGTGTAGAAGTTAATAGTGTAGATGCCCAGTAGGCTCTTGCACATGACCTGGCCAAACACCCATTCATGGATGCCTGCATAGGCCCAGAAGGGCAGAGTGCAGACAAACACCAGGTCAGCCAGGGGTAGGTTCACCAGGAACACATCCGTCAGGCTCTGCAACTTATGGTAGAAGATGGATATGACCAGCACCAGAGAGTTCCCCACCAGACCACAGACAAACACCACCAGGTACATGCAGGGCAGAAAGACCTTGCTGAACTGCAGGAAGTCTTGATGCTCCTCCTGGCTGCTGTCATTGAAACTGCTGAACCCATAGTCTTCATGGTAATCATGCTCTGCCATGGTGTCTGTTCTGATGAACACCTGTGAGTCAGAACCCAGGAATTATATTTGGGGCTGAGGATGGCATTCTTTGTCTTCCTGCTATCCCATTGACCACATTTAGGGGGCAAATAGTCATCTTCTAAACCCACCCACTGGGATGTGTAGAAACAGCACAGTCCAGTATATTGAAGATAACCAATTCTGAGGGGAAATTGCTCAGACAGGATGAGGACTCTCCATTAGCCTGAAAATTCTCAGGATCTCACCCATCTGGGAGACAACTCATAACTGACCCCTAAGCACATTCCATAAAATCCTGTGCTCAATTATTTTGAAACCAAAAGTCGCTTTGCTGCCAGGTGGGCACAGTGCTGTTTGGAAGAGCAACACTGATGATGGATGGTTGAGCCCACTGATAATATGAGCTCATCAATGGAACATGCCTGTTTTCATCTCCCCCTGCCTCACCACAGTTGCCCACCCATCCTGAGCCCCATTTCCTAATAAATTGTGAAAGCTAAAGCAAGTGCCCCTACCAGGGGGCTCTCCTATCAAGGAGACTCCTGGAGACCACAGGTGTTTGGGGATGGCAAGACTGCTCTGCCTGGGTAGGTAGTCCTTCCTGCCTTTACTTCCCCTCAATTGCATAGATTTTCAAAGGCTACTAATGGGGAAACAAAGCATAGAAAAGCCCACGACTGCCCAGCACTTTGGCTGAGCTGGCTTCATGGTTAAAGCATTGGGTGGTTCTCCTCACTTCCCAACTAAACTTTCCCCTTCATCAGTTAACACAGTTTATGGCATTCTACCATCAGAGCCTCATTTCCTGAAGACTTCTGAACAAGAAGTCTCTTAAAAGGTAGATTTCCCCAAAGCGGAACCTTGCCTTAGCTCCTGTGATTGGCAGGTTAGGACTTAGGGGCCTCATTTAACAAGCAGAAAACCCAATTGAAATGGGATGCCAGATGGGCAACCTTTCTTACCCAGGGCACCAGCCCTTCAAGATGTCACTTCTCTCTGACCCTTCCCTCTGCCCTGTGACCCTGCCAAAGACCATGGACAGGACAAGGGATCATGTAACCTGTGGTGTGGGAGCAGGGGCAGCTGCGGCAACATCAGCCCATGAGTGCCAAGTCTGCCCTTGCTACAGGACTGCAGATACTCAACATGCAGCAGCTCATTTCCAGTGACCTGGAGCCATGTCTGGCCAGCACCTCTAGAAGATGTATGAAGAAGAGCAGGTGTTTGGACAGAATCTCTGCCAGCAAAGTCAAAATATTGCCTGACCAGACAAGTGCATATAAACGATGAGGTTACCTTTCCTAATCCACTCAGAAACACTTCTGTCGCTGACTTTGAGTCCTGACTGGGAGCAGTGTCTCCGATGCTGCTGCTTGCCTCTGTCTTTCCAGGGACCAAAGTGCCCTTTCTCTCTAGCAAGGAAGGATGCTGCCTTTGGGCTAAGACTGCTTAATAAAAATCCTTGCCCTTACGTCACAATTGTTAGATCTCTAAGGGTGATAGGTCAGCCAGTAGACATCCTGCCCCCCACAAGCTCTCTGGGGCACTGTATTAAGTAGGTCAGATGATGTGTATGTGTTATTGATTCACATGGGCAAAAACATATTTTTTCATCATTTAAAATATGAAACAGGTGGCTTTGCTCTTAAGAATAATGTTCAGCTCCCCATTATTGCTTGACTCGCTCTCGCCTTTTTTTGGTATCTTCCTGTTCCAGCTTTTGCTGGTCCCTTATGCTGCCATTACACATTTCCTCAAAGGACCTGTGCAAATTCATGTGTAATAATTGGTAAACTTTGATGTATAATAATTGGTAAACAGATTGGGCCTGGACAGTGCTGTGCAAATAGAGTATGAAAAATTACTTTCCCTTCTAGGCGAACTAAAAACATTCATTTCTTTATCCTCTATAATTAAAATCCTATTTTGTTTTCTGAAAATTAAAAAAAAAATCTACAACTTTGGAAGTAGTGTAAAAGTCTGATAATGATGAAGCAAATTACAATTCATACATAAAATAGAATATACTTAAATGTTTAGGAAGTATTTTTACTGATTTTGGAAAATGCAATACAGTTAAATTGCTAAGAACAGTGTAAACACAAAGTAAATATGCAAAATAAGTATTAACTATTACTATTACAACAAATAGATGTCAAAAGGATATAAAATTGTGATTCTTAACCTTTTTTGACCATAAACTCCTTTGAGAATCTCCTAAAAACTGCAGACCTTTTCTCAGAAATAATGTATATATATATACACACACACACACACACACAGACACACACGCACACACACAAACACCCCTACAATTCTGGGAGTCCATGAACCCCTTGAATCCTTCTGCCATGTATTCTGTGGGCCCTCACATAAGAGTTCATGATAAACTATGTGATTTTAACTGACCGTACTTTTAGAAACCTGGAAAAAATGATCACATTTTATTAACAGTTGGCCTCCAGCTGGTGGAATTATGGGTGACTTATTTCTTCCTTTTTTTAAAATAGTTTTCAAAGTTTCTACAGTAGTATGTTGATTTATATTGAAAAAAGAACATAAATGATAATCTGATAAAACAGCCTGTCTTATGCAAAAGAAATGAAAACAGAGATTATTCATTGAGCAAATATAGACAATAACTAGATTCTCCTTATCTCCCTGGGTGGGTCTGACTATGCCATTACTAGCAGTACCATCAGCCTGCAAGCACTAACTGTGTGCCTGGAAACATGTTCAGTAGTTTTCATGTTTCTCCAGTTTAACCCACACAGCAGCAAATGGCAGTGATGGAATTTGAACGAAGAGCAGCTGAGCTCCATAGCCTGGCATTTTGCACTGTACCCTACTACAGACAGGAATCTGAGAATACCAACAATACCTGGGGTTAGTCCTCCCTGTCTTCTTTTCAATATAAAGAGTAAAACAAATGACTCACCAGCAGAGATGCTTTGCCAGTTTGTTCCAGAGATGAGCTTGCTCATGAAGCAAGGTCTGCCTCTACTTCTGTGATGTGGTTCATGTTTCCGCTGAACATTTTTTAAGAGCCCTCAGCTGGTTACTATAAGAGACCCACCCCCTACTCCCGTCCTTCAGATCAGAATCCATATGACCAACCCGCCCCTGTGTAACGCGTGGGTCAGAGATGGATGGGTGACTGATACCCCACACTCCCTTCATTCTGCTTTGGGGCTGATTCTTCTGTCAGGGCCTGACGAGCTTTATTCGTAAACTAAAGGGGAACAATAAGGAGGTTTGGCTCTGGCCATCCACCGAAGATGGTGGCATTTGTACCTTAAAATTACTTAATTCACTAGTCAGACATCTTTTTGGAACAGTTAGGGTCTGGGCCAATGCTGAGTCCATGGTATGGGCTGGGTTCTGCGTGCATATGCAGCTCCAGCATATGTGATAGCTGTTAAGCCCCATAGCAGCCCTGCAGTGGATATTATCCTGCCTTTATAGATGAGAACACTGAGGACCATAGCCAAAATAACAAGCCCTGGTGCACACAGCTAGAAACTGGAAAATCGAAGATACACACTCAGGTATCTGTCATTACCAGACCAATCAACAGCATGATGATGGGTCTGCCAGAGGGCCTGGTGCAGCCCCACCTCCTAAGCCCACACCACTCAGGCACTCAGCAGGCAGTGCCCACCCACCCTGCGTAGGCTGGCTGGAATCATCTGGTTTCCTTGGGCTGCCCTCTGTACTCCTGGAATTCCCCAGATGTTGACTACTTTGATCTCAGTACAGTTCTAGTTGTCAGTCTCCATGATCTAACATTACTGACCCTTCTGGGAAATAACGCTGGAAGGCAGGAATTGGAGGCATGTCAGCCTGGGTCACATGCCCCAGTGCCTTGTAGTGGAGAGGGTACTAGGGAGAGGCATGGACTCGATGTCTGCTTTCCCAGAAGCAGCTGCCTTCTTGTGGAGGTGCCTGGCCTGCCTTCTCTGGCTCTGCACTCCCATTCAGGCTGCTTCTCTCCAATGCTGTTGCTCTCTCCCACCTGCTAGGCAAACCTTCTCATGTGGCTCTTCCTAAGGGCAAATGTCAAGCATTGGGAGCAGGGACCAGGAGCAGCCTCAGGATCCAGAGACTAACACTCATTTCTACCGCAAGCCTGGCCCTATGCTGGATGCTTCTATGTACAGCCATCTAATCCTAGTCACGTACAGATAGGCAAACAGAAGATTAGAGAGATTAGCCCACTTGCCCAAGAACACACATCCCTGGCAGTCACCCAGGACTGTCAGGCTGCAAAGCCAGTGCTTCCTGCCCTGCTCTGAGTATGGAGCTGTGCCAGGGGGCCCTGATAAAAGATCTGAAGACCTCTAGTAGGTTTGCAGGCCTTTTTGAATGAATTCGTTCAGACTGTCCTTTCTACCAAACTGGTACAAATGAGTGAGGTGTTCCTTATGGGCATGAACCATGAGGCCGCATAGACTACATACCGATGGACAGATGGATGTAGGGAATGGTGGACAAATGAATAAAGGAACAGACTGAGCCAAATATGCACCTGTCTTCCTGAAAGAGAACTTTCAAGGCAGGGTGGCAATTTAATGTAACCCTGCCTGACATTTAGGAATCTTTAAGCTTTGAGAGCTGAGTTTTACCCAGGGACAACCAACCATGCCATTCAAGACAGGTCCATAGGGCAGTGTTAGAATGGCCTGAGCCTTGTCAAGCACCCTTGGCCATGCTTTTCTCAGCAAGCCTTTCTACTCCATGGGGAAAAACAAGCCAGCACCTGGGGCCCTCCATGACTGTGTGTACATGTCAATATGGGGATATGTGTATTTGAGAAAGCATGGCTTGTTTATCGTGGCCATTCTTTAATAGAAACTTCTCTATAGTACAAAAGACTTTCACCTAAATTTGAGGAGCTGAGCCACTTGCAGGTTTGGGGCTAAAATTTTATTTTAATCACTTTACAAAATGCCGTTTACTATCTGCCAATTTATAGTGTTAATTGTTTTAAGGGCATTACTTTTATTTGAAACAAAACTTTGAACTTCCTAAGGGTGGGAACCCAATCATATATGTCTTAGATTTCCCCAGAAATACCTAAACATTTTCTAAATAAAATTGAGGGAAGAGTAAAAAGGAAGTGGCAGACATACCTGCTGCAGATTTATCTTGGAAGTCAGACTGTTGGCCTGCTCTCCTTACCTGAAGACCTGGCAGAGCTGTTATCAGTTCCAGGATTCAGGGATGAGACATTTACAGTTGTTGGCAAGGCATTGGTGGATGATGGGCTGTGATCCACAGAAAAGTAGCCTAACCAGCCAGGCGTGGCAGTGGGCACTTATAGTCCCAGTACTCAAGAGGCTAAGATGAGAGGATCATTGAAGCCAGGAGTTTGAGGCCAGCCTGGGCAACATAGCCGGCAGACCTGTACCCCTGCAAGTCACCAGGATGAGCTGAGAGATCATCTGGTGGGAGCAGAGCCACTATGGCTGAGAGGAATTGTTCTGGAGGAACAATTGTTCTATAAGCAGGAGAGCAGGAGAAGGAAACCGCGTACAGGGGTTGACTACCTCCAGCGGAAGAAGGTGAGTTGTAGGAGTGTCTTACCACTAGGGAATGTGTCTGAGTCATGTGGCACCAAAGTATGTTAGCAGCAGCAAATCCATATGGGTCTGCAGCAACTCAAGTCTTGCCTCCTTGGAGGAAAGAATTTGGCCGAGGGGCAGAAGTAGGCTTAAGGCAGAGGGAGAGACTGAGGCAAGTTTTAGAGCAGGAGTGAAGGTTTATTAAAAAGTTTTAGAGCAGGAACAAATGGAAGTAAAGTATACTTGGAAGAGAGCCAAGCAGGTGACCTGAGAGATCCAAGTGCCCCATCCGGCCCTTGACTTGAGGTTTTATACATTGGCATGGTTCCAGGGTTTATGTTTCTTCTCCCCCGACTCTTCCCTTGGAGCAGGCTGTCCGCAGGCATGGTGGCTTGCCAGCACTTGGGAGGAGCTGCATGCTCAGACTGTTTACTGGAGGTGTATGCATGCTCATTTGAGGTGTTTTTCCCTTATCAGTCGTTTCTAGAGGAAGGTCACATACCGGTTAAACTGCCATTTTGCCTCTTAGTGTGCGTGCTTGAGCCCACTCGCCCAACTCCTGAGATCTTGTCAGGAAGCTGCTGATTACCAGCTTCAGATGTTTTCTATCTATTGGGAGACTCTTTCTCTGGCTCTGGCTGCAACCAGTTATTTTAGAGAGACAGCTTAACAATTGCCTGACCATTACTTGATGGTCACCTGACATTCCTGGGGGAGGGGGGCCCTCTCCTGCCCTGCTCATGTCTGCCTAGCTACCTACTCTAACACTAGGAATTTATAAGCAATGGATTAGCAAAGTAAAATCAAGTTAATACAATAATAATAATTTGATAGCAAAATTTAAAGATGCCCCCAGATCACAGAGTGAATATGATGTGTGTGGTGTGGTTCAGCCCAACCTTCCAAACCTGCACTGGTCAGTGGAGCCTTCTGCTGTGAGAGACCTGTGCTGTACCTGCACTGCCCAACACAGTGGCCACCAGTCCAGGTGGCTAGTGCCACTTGAATTGAGCACTTGAAATGTGGCTAATGCCACCAGGCAGCCACATTTTTAGTTAAATTTATCTGATGAATTTAAGTTTATATAGCCACATATGGCTAGTGGCTACTGTATTGAAGAGTGCAGTTCTAAACTGAAGACATCTCCATTTCACAGGAGACTGTTCACAAATGGAGGCTGACCAGAGGGACGATGGGAGCCTGTGTAATCAGGAAAACAACACTTCTCACTCTGCGGGGCTTAGCGAGGCTGAGGGGAGATGGCACCCTCTGGGGAAGATTGGCAGCAAGGCACCTTGGGCCATAGGGATTTTCCAGGCATCTGTTCCTCCCTCAGCTAGTTTCTAAACAAGCAGATCTGTACTGCAGGCAGTCTGCAGGATTAAAGTTGTGCAGTAATTACATAACAAACAGGCTGAGGCCATTTGAGTCGTGACAGGGAAGGACTATAGACTCCCATTTGTAGACACCAAGCTGAAGGGGCTCCACCATGACTCAGAGAGGTGTGGACTCCAGGACTACAGTGCCAGGGGCTGCCTGATTTGTGCTCACCACTTTATTCTGACTCGCTTCTAATGTGGAGCCTTGGGTATGTCCTCCTTTGGGAGCATTTGGGACAGAAGAAAACCTTACCCTGAGACAAATAATGTAGATATTCACTGGGCATGGGCTGTGTGCACAGCAGGCTGCCCAGGAATGCCAGGATGGCACCCACAAAGGGACAGACAAGTTGACGGACTAGAACATGTGCTCAAGAGATATTCACTCAACTGACCACAGGCTGCAGACAGAAACTCGGAAGGAAAGGGTGGCATGCCATCAGCCAAGCTAGCAGTAGGCTGCCATGACCAGAGCAAGGGGAGGAGGAAAGCCGCGTGGGCAGTGAGTATCTGGTATCTTTGCTGAGGCTGCCTCAATAGCAAGGAAAGGAAGCAGCTGTAGTAGGAGGTGGGGTGCCCTCTAGTGGTCATGCTTTGGTTGCTGTCCTTTCTCAAGCTCTTACATCCCTTGACATCCTCTGAGTTGCTTGAACATTTCCTACAACATCTCATGGTAAGAAATACATTTTGCACGGCTACCTAGTTTGCATGTGTGTATACATATGGTCAAAACAAGAGCCTCGAGGCTGGCCTCAGTGGCTCACGCCTGTAATCCCAGCACTTTGGGAGGCCGAGGTGGGCCAATCATGTGGTCAGGAGTTTGAGACCATCCTGGCCAACATGGTGAAACCCCGTATCTACTAAAAATACAAAAATTAGCTGGGTGTGGTGGTATGTGCCTGTAATCCCAGCTATTCGGGAGGCTGAGGCAGGAAAATCGCTTGAACCAGGGAGTCGGATGTTGCAGTAAGCCAAGATCGTGCCATGGCACTCCAGCCTGGCAACAGAGCAAAACTCCATCTCAAAAACAAACAACAACAACAAAAAACCCCAAGAGCCTCATAAATACTTATCCTCACAACATGCAATATACTATTGTATTTTCTGTTTTATTCTATTTCTCTTTTAATGTTGGTCATAACCTCCTAAACTGATTCACAGCCCACTAAATGGGTCATGACCTACAGTTTGAAAACCTATTGAAAAGAAAGCCCTCTGCCCTAATTGTCACCTTTGAGACTGCATCACCCACCTATCCCATTCCTACCTCACTCATGCAGGGCGTCTGTCGGGGCCAGCAAGGGTCTGGGAAACCTGCTCTGTGAATCATCTGCTTGCAGGTAATCAGGCGTTGTCTGTCATCACTGTGGTCAGGGAGGAGGGTGATGGAGGAAGAGAGGAAATTATAGATTAGGACATCTTTTATCCTGAATGCGGGAAAATTGGGAGAACCAAGTACAGCTTTCAGTGTCTCTCTCATTCTGTGTTATTTCTTTATCTCATTTATGGTATTTACGCCTTGGACAAGGATGAAAGCAAACAAAAGCAGGCCTGAGTGACCCTGGCCTGTCTCCTCTGGACTTGTGCTTCCCTGCTGTCAAGTGGGTGGCCGCACAAGCTGGCTCCTTGAGCAGCTTCTTGCACTGATGTTCCCTGTTTCTGTTTGTCCCGAGGTGAGGGTGCGGGCCTGGAAACCAGCGGCTGGAAAGCAAAAAGAAGGAGGTGTTAGGCAAGGAGGAAGACAGAGAGGGGGTTGGGGCCAGGAAGAAAAAGAAATGCCAGAGTGACAAGACATGCCCCTGGTGGCAGCAGGTGCTGCAGCCTGCGTTCTTCCTGCACCTTCCCTGAGAAGAGCAGCGGAGGCTGTGGGCAGGAAGCTGCTGACCAGAGCAAGCCCACTTCTTTCTGAGCCAGTGGGCTCACACAATGCTATCTCTGAGTCCTTTAAAACTTACAGCCTTTTCAAGCCATCAGAACCCAGAGTCCATCTGGTTACATTTGCTTCCATTTAGAGAAGGAAAACTGGGGTCTCAGGAGGAAAGAGCTCACCGTGAGTCACACAGTCACAGTGCTGAAGCTGGAACCACAATGGACCCCACTACAGTCATACCATGTCCCCTGCCCTTGGGGGCCACAGAGACCTCCAGCTAGAGGGAGCCCCACTTGCTCAGGGCTGGTGGCATTCAGCTCCTGGAAGAGCACAGATTGTTTCAGCAATTTAGAAAGAAGCCACACTGCATGGGAGATCTTCCTCATTGATGCCTTCACATGAGGGCAAAGCCATTTTTTCTTTTCTGGACCTAGGTTTCCTCTTTGGCAGAACTGGGGAGTGGAGCTGGTTGGGCTCTGAGGCACCTGAGATTGTATAAGTCCCTGGCTGAGCTGGACCTGGAACCCCACAGGGAAAACACTAAGTTGCAGTCAGGGTATCTAGTTCTGGCTCCAGTTCTGCCTCTGAGGAACTGCCTGGGCCTCTGTGTCCCCATCAGTGAAGTGCAGGGACTTCAATTTGCCAAAATGTTCTAAGGATCCGTAATTCAGAAGGTGTTAAAAATCTCCCCTGGGTGCCTGTTCTTGTGCCCCAGGGATAGGCCAGAGGCTTCTCTAGTTGTGCACTGGCACTGAGAAGGCAGGACCCAGTGGTGCTGGTACCTTGGTCCTGTGGCAACAGCTCTGCTGGCGTGGGCTAGGAGAGTGGTTGATTTGTGTTTCTGCTCACCCTTCCTATAGCAGGAGGTATCTTCCCTACAGCTGCTCCAGGGAAACTGCTGTAGCCCTATTGTCTTCTCCTTGTCCACCTGCTTGGCCCTGGCCCCTGCAGCCCTCCCTCTACCCACAAAATCTGCCAGGGTCTCTGTCATGGCCTCTATGATTAAAGGATCCCCCATGCATCTGGATTTGGCTGCCTGTGACTCCAAGACTGCGGACCCCAGGATGTGAGACCCTGTGTGTTGATAGCTAAATGACTGTGTTCTCATTTGTGACATTTCAGGGATACTACATCAACCTCGCTAACGCCTGAGGACACTGAAGACATGCCCGTGGGGCAGGATTCGGAAATCTGCCTGCTGAAGTCTGGAGAACTGATGTAAGTGGCAACTGCTGCCTGGGCCCTCCCCAGGTGTGGCATTGGGAGGAGCACTGGCCTCTCCAGTGCCGGCGCTGGGGACCACCTCGGGGGCTCTAACTTAATACCAGTGGGGCTTCGTTTATTCTTTTTTTTCAGGCATAGCTTATATACATTAAGATTCAAGCAAGTATACAGTGCTTGAATTTTCATTAATTATACAGTGTGATCACTACCGCAATTAAGATATAGAACAGTTCCCTCACCCTAGGAAGTTGCCCCTTTATAATATTCCTCCCACACCTCATGTTCTTTTTTCAAAATAACTTTGTTAATTTTTTTATTGTATGAGCAGTACACTTTCATTGTAAAAAATTAGGAAAATAGAGATAAGCAAAACATTTTGGCATATAGCCTTCCAGTCTTTTTTATACACATATATGCATATAATTTTTGACACAAACAAATATTCTAAATCTTATTTTGCAGTCTTTTAAAACTTCCTATAGCATGAGTATTTTCCCATATCATCGAGTTCTCCAGTGTTGTGTCCAGTGGCTGCATAATTGTCATTAAATAGATTCAGTCACTCATTCACAGATATTTATTAATTATCACAATGTGCCAGGTACTATTTTAGGTGCTTAGAGCATGTCAGTAAACAAAACCAAGAAAGGCTGACCCCTCGCCCTCATCAAGCTTATATTCCAGCAGGGGTTGACAGATGATACGCTATAAACATAATTAAATAAGTCAATATTGTATAAATGTTACAAGGTAGTGCTTGCTATGGAAAAAGATAAAGTAGGATAACAGGGAAGGGGAATTTGCCATTTTAAATAAAGTGACAGTAAGAAGATAAGACTTGAAGGAGGTGAAGGAGTTGCCAGGCATCTATCTGCGGGTATAGCATTTCAGGCAGAGGGAACAGGCAGCACAAAGGCCCTGAGACAGGACAATGCCTGACATGTTCAGGGGCTGAGAAAAGGGCCAGCGTGCCTGCAGCAGAGAGAACCAGGAGGTGGAGTCAGAGTGGAAATGAGGGTCCCAGCACATAGGGCCTTGTTGGCCATTGTAAGGACTTTGACTTTGAATCTGAGGGAAATGGGACCCCCAAAATGAGGTGTGTAGCATTAAGAGTGACTTAATCTAATTTACAGTTGAAAAAGGATTGTTCTGATTGCCATGTAGAGAATAGATGATGGAGGATGAGAGCCAAAGTGGGGAGACCAGTTGGGAGGGTATTAGAGGAATCCTTGTTCCTTGGACCAAGTGTTGGCAGAGAGGGCAGAGACCAGGGCAAATTCTGGACCTATTTTGAAGGTGGTGCAGACAGAATTTCCTGAAGGTTTAGATGTGGTCGTGAGAGAATAATCTATTCCACCAGTCCTCAGGTGACCTTGGACCACACTTGGACAAACACTATATTGAATTATGGGGCAGACCAAGCAGGAAGAATTAAATAGCTAGCCCACTCACAAGCTGTTGATGCTGGGGGAGTATGAAGTGTCAGGGCCACCCTTTCTGGAGAGCAACTTGGCTGCAGAATGTACCAAAAGTTCAAGAATTGCATTTTCTCTTTGATGCAATGGGCCTGTGTCTGGGAATTTATCCTGAGGAAATAATGACTGGAGGTGCAAAGATAAAGCTACCAAAATGTCCCTTGCATGCTACTCACAGCAGTGACAATTAGAAATAGTAACAGAGAACTTGGGTGGTCGTGAATGGCTGTTGAATTTTGCCAGATCTTTTTTCTACATCAATTGATAAGATCATAGGCTTTTTCTTCCTTAGCCTGTTGATATGATGGATTGCATTGATTGACTTTCATATATCAAACCAGCCTTGCATACCTGGGATAAATCCCACTGGCTGTGGTATATAATTCTTTTCACACACTGCTGGATTTGACAGAATATCTAAAGGATGTTTGCCAGATATAGAATTGAAAGTTCTTTTCTTTCAGCATTTGAAATATGTGTGCTGCTACTTCCCTCTGGCCTCCATGGTTTTAGATGAGAAATCCCCTGGCATTCAAATTGGTATTCCCCCATAGATAATAAGTTATTCCTCTCTGCCTGCTTTCAAGTTTTTTCTTTGTCTTTTGTTCTTAGACGTTTAATTATGATGGGTCTTGGCATGAATTTCTTTGGGTTTTTCCTATTTGGGGTACACTCAGCTCTTAAATCTCTAGGCTTATCTGTCATCATATTTGGGAAGTTTATAACCATCATTTCTTTGAACATTTTTTCAGATGCACTCTATTTTCCCTCTCCATTTGGGACTCCAGTGATACAAATGTGAGATCTTTTGTCCTTGCCTTGTAGATTCCTCAGGCTCTGTTCTTTTTCCTTGCACCCTGTCCCCCAATTCTCTTTTCCCTGTGTTGTTCAGATTGAGGAATTTCTGTTTTTCTCTCTTCAAGTATAACTGTCATCTTTATTCAGCTATTGAGTGTCCAGTGATTTTTTTTTTATTTTGGTTATTGTAATTATTTAGTTCTAAAATTTCCATTTGGTACTTTTTTATATCTTCTGTTTCTTTGGTATGAGTTTTCCACTGTTTTATTGTTTCAAGAACATTTAAAATTGTTACTGAAGCATTTTTTTTGATGGCTGCTTTAAAAGCCTTGACAGATAACTCCAGCATCTGGTTGATGTCAGTGTCGGCTTCTGTTGATTGTCTTTCCTCATGCACACTGTGATTTTCCTGGCTCTTAGGATAACGAGTGGTTTTTTATTATGTGTAGGTGGGGGGCTCAGAGACGCTAAGCTGTTGTGATTTTCCTCATATTCTGGGGGTCCTTAATCAGTCCGCCTTCCTTCTCCTGCCCTTCACTTTTACTACAACTGCTGAATCATTTTCAGTTTTTTTAGTGGCATTTAATGGGAAAGAACAGGGAAATGTTTGAAATCATTTATAATAAAACTGGTAAAAAACCTACCCTCAAGTAAAGGAATGAGGAAAGTTATGAGATTTAGAAATAACTAGACCACACAGATCCAAGGCAGGTCTTTGAGGAGAATAAGACAGTATGGAGAATAGGTCGGCTGGACATGGGAATAAAATGCAAGGAGAATGACAACACCTTGAAAGTTATTTTTTTCTGCCTCTTTCAAAGAGAGTGACAGCAAGCTAAGGATTAGCAACAACATCATGAGAGCATCTGAAAACATGTTAAAGGTTGGGATTATCTCAGAACACTGCAAATGTGTTGGTACCCCTTGACTCATGTAAACTGAAATTTCTTAGGTCACTCAGTGGAATT
This sequence comes from Homo sapiens, assembly GCF_000001405.40. NCBI lineage: Eukaryota > Metazoa > Chordata > Mammalia > Primates > Hominidae > Homo > Homo sapiens. Next base: position 45,933,200 of record NC_000003.12, on the reverse strand, counting down.
CACATCTGTGACATGAGCCTTATAGACAATAGGCATCTTAAGATTATATTATATTTGAGCAAACCTTTGATTTGTTTTTGTTAAGATCTGCTTTGGAGAGGCTGAGTATTGTCCTTGTCACTGAATAGATGATGTCTAGATGATGTCTAGACTAGATGATTGAGGCACAATCCAAATACCTGGGTGCCAGGGGAGAATTCTGGAGCATAAAATTATAAAATGCTCCAGCATTAATGTATTAATGGGGCATTATGTCAGGGTAAGTGACTTTTTACATGGTAATATGGTAAGATTTCCACATTACAAGAAAGATGTCTGTTCCAGAATGGACCCCCCAAACCTGCCCTCAGATTCTTGAAAATTGTAAATGTTGGTCGAGGGTTCTTAATTAGAAATAAAATTTAACACATGGAGAAGTATCGCATTGAATTGAATTCTCACAAAGGTGAGTATTGGAGCTGTTCTTTAAAGCATCCTGGTTTTTTAATCATTTCTTACCGTTCTCATTAGCTTTGGGGAGTCTGTCCATTCATCTCCACAGCTTTGGAGGCAGATGAACGCTCAGCACCACCACTTGCTGCGCAGTGTTGGGCAAGTTACCTAACCTCTTTGAAGTTAATTCCCTCCCCTGTGTTAAAGGGGATAGTAATACATTTTCTCCACAAAAGGCAGTTTGGTATGGTAGGAAGATGATGGCTTTGCCTCAGACCTGTGTGAGCCTGGATTGAATTTCTCAATCTTTTAGAATCTTAGTTTCCTCTTTTGTAGAATGGCAACAGTCATGCCTTCCTCAAGGAGCCATTGCAGTAACATGCAAAATTGTTGAGCACAGGGCGTGGCCTATGATGGCCGCCACCTTCCCATTTCACAGTTGAGAAACCGAGGTTCAAAGTGAGTGAGTGACTCACCCAAGGCCACACTGCTCCTAAGTTGCAGCTCTGCACTGGAGGCTCTGTCTCCATGATCATGAGCTAACCTAGCTGCCTCCAGAGTTGCACAGTGTAGGAGTGGTGCCACTCGGCCTGGAAGGGGCCCTGAGGAGCAAGCTCCCTGGGTTCATCTTGTAATCTAGTCCTTGCAGCAGTCCTGAGGCAGGTGTGGTTGTCCTTGTTTGGCAGATGAAGAAACTGAGGCTTATGCAGCAGGGATGCAGTGAGGCAGGTCCCTTGGCCCCTAACCTCACATTCTTCACGTCACACTCTGGGTCCAGCACAGAACCCCAAAAACAGAGGAACTCACTGTCAATGAACCTTATAAACTTCTTGAAGAAGCTTTTATCTACCCAGGGAGAGTAAGAACAAGCTTTTCTCCCCAAAACCGTTGTATTACTTGCACCACCCTTGCATTATAAAGAGTATGGGATGTTGGCATTTGAGGAAAGGTCAGGGTGTCCATGTGGAATCTTACAATGGACGCCAGATGCAGCTGAGAAGATGGACTATATCAGAAGGCTGGGAGGCTTGTACTAATTAGGTGAAAGGGCGAGGCAGGGAACTGGAAGGAGAAATGGCAGAGAAAAAACAGATGGCTGAGCAGCAGGGCATCTTCAGGAGAGCAGCAAAAAGCTGTGCCTCGGCACTTGCTTCCTGTCCATGAGGGCCGTGGAGCAGGTCAGGCCATCCTCAGTTCCTTAGTTCCCATGGGCTTTAACCTCCACACAGGCAAAGGTGTCATCTGTATTTTTTACTGCTGTCTCCTCCGTGCCTAGACCTATGCCAGGCATGTAGTTAGCGCTCAGGAAGCATTTGTTGGAGTGAGCTGCCCATCCCATAATTAAGCATGTTGGCCAAGGTTACCCAGGGCTTGTCCTCTCAAGAGTCTCCGAAGTCTCCAGCCACCTCTGAGCCACAGATGACCTGGCCAGTGGACACAAACACTTTGCCCAGTCAATCAGGTCCCTCTCTGTATTTTTATTTTAGGATCAAAGTACCCCTCACAGTGGATGAGATCGCCAGCTTCGGGGAGGGTAGCAGGGAGCTGTTTGTGAGGTCCAGCACCTACAGCCTGATCCCCATCACTGTGGCCGAGGCAGGCCTCACCATCAGCTGGGTCTTCTCCTCTGACCCCAAGAGCATCTCCTTCAGTGTGGTCTTCCAGGAGGCCGAGGACACACCGCTGGATCAGTGTAAGGTAAGGCTGGGCTCCCTGCCTGTGGGCTCCTTACACACACATCTGGGTACTTGGGCAGGCCTTTCTCAAAGCAGGGCAGTGGCCATCCTATCCTCTGCTGGGCAGGCCTCACTTGGAATGTTCTGGGCAGTATCATGCAGAGAAGGCAGAGCACCTGGGCCTTGTCCAGTTTGGGGAGAGAAAGACCCAGAAGTTCTGGAAAGCTGTTCTCAAATGTCTGAAGGTCACACCTGTGTGAAACAGGTACAGTCTGCCCTTGGGATAGATGGGTAGGTGAAAGAGGAATACAGACGTATGACTCAATTTAAGGATCATTTTCTAATAGAGCTGTGCAAAGCAGGAATGGATCACCTTGGGAGGTGGTGACCTCTCTTCCTCTAGTTTTTAGCTTAGGGTGCATCTCAACCCGGAAAGGTGTCAGTAGAGACAACCCCAATGTCACTTGGGTGGTCGAGCTTGAAATCTTGGTGGCAGGTACCAGTTTATAAATTCCTAAGACATTCTAGGCATGGAATGTTGACAGTGCCCGGACTGTTGTTCTCAACCTTGGCTGCAAATTAGAGTCTCTAGGGGTGGGATCCAGACATCTCCAAGTGATTCCAATGAGCAGCCAAGGTTGAGAACCACTGGTGTAGATCAGGGGGTTGAAGCCAAAGTGGAAAGGATGAGGTGGAATCCAGACCACAGGGACAGAGGTTGGGCAGGGCTCCATGGGTGGCTGATTCAGTATGGGGCAAGGAGAAGGGAGACCCATGCCTGAGGTCTGAATTTGATGCCTGCATCTCTGCAGAGAAAGGGTGTAGAGGGATATGGGAGGGAGAGATGGTTTGCATGGAAACACAAGTTCCATTTGAATCATTCTGAGTGAAAGAAATGGTAAAAGCCGTTGGGCCTGCTGGACTGGAGCTGAAAATGGATCCTAGTCTGGGAATATGACTGCAGAAATCTCCATTTTGCAAGAATTGCAAGGATCAAGATAGGGAAAAGCTAGCTGAAGTCATGTGAAACAAGAGTTCTGTGAAGTCTTTGCAGAAACATCTAATAGTCCCTTGTGTGTTTGGTCCACTGGGTGCCCTCGAGGGGCTTGAGGCTGAGGGATGAGGAGGGCCCAGAGCAGGAGAGCCCAGCTAGGAGACACATTGGGCCACACAGCAGTTCCTGCTGTGGCGCTGGCATCCCATAGAGGAACACGTACCCGTTTGGGTTTGCTCTCCTGCCATCCTGCCCTGTTGGAATCTGCTCAATGCAGGGATCGCTTTTGTCATTTCTCTGCTTTTCAAACTCACTCTCAAAATGTAACTCTACTCCCTTGGGTTGGCCTTGTTTATTGGAATCTCATATTCTGTCTTATTTAAAACCGCTCTGCCCATCTTATTCTTTTGGGGCTTGTAGCCAGCTCCTCCTACCTACCTCTGGAGCCCTTCCTTCTTGAGCAGTTCTGAGCCCCCACCCAGGAGGTCCTGGTGCGGCCAACATGCCTGTCAGCTCCACACTAACAAACGGCAGCACTGCCAAGAGCTGCCCTTGCCACTCACCATCACGTTCCCCAGACCCACCAGGCCCCCAGCCCTGAATCCACCCAGATCAGACACCGTGAGTGTTTGTGGCAGGGAGGGAAGGGACGAAATCAGGGATCCAGGCCTTTGCTGTTTTGCCTGCCCATATGTGGCTGGGCTGTGGGCCTCTCCCCTTGCTCAGTCCCTACCCACCGAGTCCTCAGCAGCCTGGGGTTCCTGTGTGGCTCTACCAGGAATCAGGAACTTGGGGACCTACTGAGCCTTCCTCCTCTAGCTTCCAGGGGGCCCCACTGCCTTTCCCCACAGTGACACCAGGGGGCAGAAGGGGCCCGTGTACAGGATGCTTAGGTGCTCCTCTGCCTTCACAGGCCACTGTCACCAACCACAGATGGGGGTGGCTGTTATCTCTGCCTGAGGTCCCCCAAAGAGACCATGGCCAGGGTAGCCTGTTTCCAGACATGTGCCCTCAATATCTATCCCGGGGACTCCCCGAGTGCACTCCTGACCAGCCTGGGCCTTAGAGGAAATGACAGATGCAGTGCAAATTGCAGCACTCAGACTTCATGATTACGGAGGTATAGACACAAGGAATTATGCTGTGTATTTGCAACCATTTATTGAGTGTGTCCTGTATACTGGACTCTGTAGGGCCCACGGGGGATAGAAAGATGAAGGGATAACATGGGATCTCCCGTTGAGGAGCTCACTGTGTAATCAGAGAGAGACTCTAATAAATAGACATTTGTGATTCCAGGTGGTTTCATGACAGGGGTGGGTGGGCACTGTGGGTACCCCTGGGAAGGATGCCTAGCCCAGCCTGGGGAACAGAGATGAGGAAAGGAGACCCCTGGGCGATGATGAAGACCACAGTGGAGGAAACCAGAAGCAGCATTGTGAGGTGAGGCGAGGGACCTGTGGGCTTGAGGAGAAGCATCCAGGTGGATGGAATAGCACAGCAGAAGGCCAGCCCCGTTTCTAGGGGCACCTGTCAGACACTCTCCACCCTGTGCCACCCTCTCTCCAGACCCACTTCCTCCATTATAGTCATAGACTCGACACTGAGATTGGAGAGTGTGAATCTAGGGGAGGCACTTGATGAAAGAAATTATGAACCAGGTTACCAGTGTACACACCGCTGGCCTGAGGCCCAGGGACAAAGTGGAGAATTGGATCCAGACTCTGTCCTCTCTCTGGGCAGAGGATCCGTCTTTGGCCAGAGGTCGATGGCCTGTTGGGGTGGGCTTCAGAGGGAGTCAGAGGAGGAATCAGCTGACAGCAAGGACCCTTGACTTTGTTTTTTAAAACAGCTTTATTGAGATATAACTCACGCACTTGGAATGTACAGTTTAATGGTTTTTAGTATATTCACAGAGTTGTACCACCATTACCACTGTCTAATTTTAGATTCTTTCCATCACTCCAAAAAAGAAATTCTGTGCCCATTAGCAGTCACTCCCCAACCTCTGCCCCCAGTGACCACTAATCTATTTTGTGGATATGCTGATTCTAGATGTTTCATGTGAATGGAATGAATGAAAAACAGCTGGAATGAATGAAAAGGCTACAGAGTAAGATGTTTTAAAGAAATGAAGAGTATCATTTTCAAGAACGCACATTAATCTATGTTAAACATGCCCTCTTCAGGGGACCTGCCTTAAGGAGCTCTTGATGTTGCTTGTAATCAAGGTAGTGAGTGCGAGGGTGTGCAGGGTGGGCACACCAAGGTCCCCATGCAAACAGCAAGCCTTCCCCTCCAGCAGCTCCTTCCCATACACCCCTGCTGCAGTGTCTGAGACCAGGCCAGAGTTGTTAGGTTGTGGATCACAGAAACAGAACCAACCCCTCACTCTCCCGGGATCCTTAGTCCCTGGTGGAACTAGAATGTGATAGAATATTAATGGAAGTAAATGAGACGCCGTGTGCAGAAGAGGCAGCACAGAGCCTACGTGTAGCAGGCCCTCAGTGTACACTCTTTGTACACCTTTGTCCCCTCCAGCCTTGTCAGGGGCCCGTCCTACTCCCTCACCACTACCAGCTGCCAGCCTGAGCAAGCACACTGTTGTGTTAGGAACACAATGCTCGCTCTCCCTCCCATGCCTTTTTGATTCCCCTTTTGATTTCCCTTCGATCCACACGTTTGAATTTGTTATTTAGTTTTCAAATATTTTGAGATTTTCCAGAGATCTGCTCTTGATTTCTAATTTAATTCCATTGTAGACCTAGAACATACTTTGTATAACTTGAATCCTTTGAAGTTTGAGAGGTGTTTTCTTAATGGCCTAGAACAAGGGTGTCCAATCGTTTGGCTTCCCTGGGCCTCGTTGGAAGAATTGTCTTGGGCCACACATAAGATACACTAACACTAACGATAGCTGATGAGCTAAAAACAAAGACAAAAACAAATAAAAAAACTCATAATGTTTTAAGAAAGTTTACGAATTTGTGTTGGGCTGCATTCAAAGCCTTCCTGGGCCGCGGGTTGGACAAGCTTGGCCTAGAATGTGACCTACCTGGGTGAATGTGCCGAGTGCACTTGAAAAGGATGTACCTTCTGCTGTTGTTGGGTGGAGCGTTCTTTTTTTTTTTTTTTTGAGACAGTTTCACTCTTGTTGCCCAGGCTGGAGTGCAATGGCGCGATCTCAGCTCACTGCAACTTCTGCCTCCCAGGTTCAAGCGATTCTCCTGCCTCAGCCTCCCAAGTAGCTGGGATTACAGGCATGCGCCACCATGCCCAGATAATTTTGTATTTTTATTAGAGATGGGGTTTTGCTATGTTGGCCAGGTTGGTTTTGAACTCCTGACCTCAGGTGATCCACCCACCTCGGCCTCCCGAAGTGTTGAGATTACGGGCGTGAGCCACCGTGCCTGGCCGGAATATTCTATTATAGATGCCAATTAGGTCAAGTTAGTTGATGGTGGTGTTCGTCTTCTGTTTCTTCATTGAGTTCCTGTCTACTTATTCTATCAATTATTAAGAAAGAGGTATTGAAATCTCCAACTATAATTGTGAATTTGTCCATCTCTCCTTGCAATTCTACCACTTTTTGTATCATGTATTTTGAAGCTCTGTCATTAGGGGCATAAACGTTTAGGATTATTGTCCTTTTAATGAACTGACATATTTATCATTATGAAATTATCCCTGGTAATATTCTTTGATATAAAAGCTGTGTTATGTAATATTAATACAGTCAAACCAGCATTCTTTTGGTTAGCATGCTAGCCTGGTAATCTTGTTTACATCTGTTTACTTTTAACCTATTTGTGTCTTTATATTTAAATTGCATTTCTTGTAGGCATGATAGGGTTGGGTGTTGCTTTTATCCAGTCTGGTAATCTCTGCCTTTTCATTGGAATGTTTAGGCTATTTTCACTTACTGTGATTGCTGTTAAGGTTAGGTTTGAGTCTGCCATCTTGGTATTCATTTTCTCTTATCCCATCTGTTTTTTGTCTCTCTTCCTCACTAAGTGAGGGCAGTTGTTGGGCTCACCCTATTCCTGTCTCTCAGGGATCACTATCCTGCATTGCCTGATAACCAGTGTCTTGAAAACTGTCCTTTCATATGTTTTCTATTTTTTGTTTTGTTGTTTTTGTTGTTGTTATTGTTGTGTTGTTGTGTCCTGGGAGGGTAAATCTTAGATATTCTCCCATGCCTTTAAATATGTTGTCTCCACTGCCAGGAACAGCCAGATCCCTTCTCATTGGCTAAATTGTCCTAACTCAGCATCACTTTTTCCAAGAAGTTTCCCCTGGCATTCAGCCTCCTCTCTCCCACCCAGATGCTAGAATGGCACCCCTTGCCGGTTCTCCCCTCATGGTACTCTCACCCCAGTGTAACTGAATGTTTTCTTCTCTGTGATCACCATTAAACCACAAGAGTCCTGAGGGCAGAGTCCTTTGTGGGAATTCACTTCACTTTGGGAACTGTGTACCCAACATGTAGAGTTTAGAGAAAGATGCAGCTGTGTTCAAGATTAAGTTGAGAAAGTAATCGCATCCTTATATTAACAACTATTTTGGATTCAGTCATTTTGTACAAGTTAAAAATGTTTAATGGGAAAAAATTAAAACTGAATTTAATAAAAATTGTATTTCTGAAAAAGAAGCTACATTTTATTTTGTAAAGAATAAAAATGGTCACTTCTGGGGAAGTTTACCTCATTAGGAACTCAAAGTTGCTAAGATGCTGCTTCCGTTGTCTGTAGACCTTCTGGTCCATATAACCATTTATGTGTAGTCAGTCTTAAATGGAAGGCTTAGGGACACTTTATAAGACAAGATCCTCTAGGTGCTAGTCACTTCTTAAAAAAAAAAAAAAATGTAAGGGCTGGGCGCCGTGGCTCACGCCTGTAATCCCAGCACTTTGGGAGGCCGAGGCGGGTGAATCACTAGGTCAGGAGTTTGAGACCAGCCTGGCCAACATGATGAAACTCTGTCTCTATTAAAAATACAAAAATTAGCTGGGTGTGTTGGTGTACACCTGTAATCCTAGCTACTCAGGAGGCTGAGGCAGGAGAATTGCTTGAATCCAGGAGGCACAGGTTGCAGTGAGCCAAGATCACGACACTGCACTCTAGCCTGGGCAACAGAGTGAGACTCCATCTTAAAAAAAAAATTTTTTTTAAATGTTGGTTGGCTCTAGCCTAGCATGGTGGCTCACACCTGTAATCCCAGCACTTTGGGAGGCTGAGGCGGGCAGATCACCTGAGGTCAGGAGTTCGATACCAACCTGGCCAACATGGTGAAACTCCGTCTCTGCTAAAAATACAAAAATTAGCTGGGCATGGTGGTGGGTGCCTGTAATCCCTACTACTCGGGACACTGAGAAAGGAGAACTGCTTGAACCTGGGAGGTGGAGATTGCAGTGAGCCAAGATCATGCCACTGCACTCCAGCCTGGGCAACAGAGTAAGACTCCATCTCAGAAAAAAAAAGGAAAAAAAAATGTTGACTGGCTCTGCCTTATCTCCTAGAATATTTTCAGTTTTAAAATGAGGCCTGTGTCTTAGCTGGTAAGTAGGTTGAAGAGCCTGCCCTGGTGGGGAAGAAGTGAGCCATTCAAAGACCTCCCTCTGAGCCCTGGCCCTGTCTAGCACACACCCTTTGCACAGATTTTGTCTCTGACAGTGAGGCCCTTCAAAAATCGTCTGAAAAAAAAATCAATATCAGTGTCTCCTGGGACTAATTTCTCATTCTCAGGGAAGGCAGAGAGTGAATAGGAGGCTGAGGCCCAGGCACGGGAAGATGAAAGGGTCCTGGGGCACATGGACCAGCCAAAGCACAGCCAGGAGACAGGCCTAGGTGGAGCCAGAGATGTCGAGCCTGGAGGAGAGTGGGCCCAGCAGCTTTGTGCCTGGAAGATTGTTATCTGGAAGGAGGTCTCAGCCTGTCCTGCGAGACCCAAGGGCAGCACCAGGACCAACAGGAGACAGCTGGACAGATGGATCCCACCTAGACTAAGCTTCATATCCTGAAGGCAGAAAAGGGCTTCTCCTTTAGCCCATGGAGTGTTCTAGCATCTTCTATGTTCAAGGCTAGGGGATCACTCCTTAAGGGTGCTGACCAAGTCATGATTCTGGAAGAAACTCATAGCCACGAGTCATCAACAGCCTCAGGTTGTGGGATGGCACTGTGCCACTACTGGGGCTGGTCACAGCTCCGGCTCTGCTCATCTGTGACCTCAGGCAACACACTCAGCCTCCTACCCCAAAATAAAGGGTCTTCCCTGAGGATGCCGAGGGCCCTCTCAGCCTCTGTGATGTTTTTGCCTACCTGCTTTCCCTCCCAGGTCCTCATTCCCACGACCCGATGCAACTCCCACAAGGAGAACATCCAGGGCCAGCTCAAGGTTCGCACACCCGGCATCTACATGCTCATCTTCGACAATACCTTCTCAAGGTAGGGCCACCTCAGGCACCAGCTCCACGTCTCCAGGCCTCTCTTTCACCTCTTCTAAAGAGCAGAGGTGGACACTCAAAACCAATTATTTGTCAGTAACTTATTATTAATTGTTCTTTGATTGTTGACCCCTCTCCTGTGGTGTTCCAGTGTTCTTTAGAGATTTTGTGACACACAGGCTCATGCTTGCAGAGTCTTACCATGTCACTGCTGAGGGGTAGAGGAGTGACACTCCTAAGTCACAGAGCCAGTGGTGGAGCTGGATCTGAACCAGGCGGTCTGGCCAGTCTGAACTCTTCATAACCAAGGTGCCCTTTCCCTCTCTCTGATATTGATTCCCACTGCTCTGCCACTGCCCTGCCCAAAGAAGGGGCTTAGGAAATACAATGGAAAGACTGAATGAATGAATGAACGAGAAAGGGAGAAATAAAAGAAGGAAGGGCAGAGCTTGAGATAAGCAAGCCCAAAACTGCACCACAAAGCCCCTGGCCATGTGGCGGGAGCGACAGGTGCCATCTCTGGGAAGCACTCTGAGAACCAGCTAAGGTTCAGGAGTGTATAGGTTGGGAGATGGGGGAGAAGCTGGACAAGAGAATGAGAATGGAGGGAGATGAGGCCAGAGGGATAGCAGGAGGGGAGTGGAGACAGGACCAGCATTGACTGAGTATCTGCCAATCATTTGGAGAGGGGCTGGGCACCTGCCCCTGTTTATGTCTTCTGCTTCAGCACAGACCCCTTAACTGGAACCAGCTCTTTAGAGAGAACTGCCTGATCTGTTTCTGGCCACATCCTCTCTGAGCAAGGTCCTGGGCTACCGGTCACATCCCCAGCATGGGTACTTGGCTCTTAGCAGAATAACTAGACAGGACACTAGGGAAAACCTGAGTCATCCCCTCACCACCTCCAGGCCTTGAACTGCCAGGGCTTGTGGCCAAGAGTGCCCACCAGAGGAGGGGTTGGAAGATGAACTTCCCACCTCACCCCCTCCTGCCCCTCCGTACACTCCCAAGTGGAAATGAAAGCACCCCTGGAGTTAGCAGGACCTCATGGCATAGACCTATCATGGCCAGAGAGCTCTCTTTGGAGCCACCCTCTACCCCAAGAGTGGACATGAGCCCCAGCCCCTCTTGAACAGGATAGGGCAGTGGTTAGGAGAATGGGTTGGGGACCACCAGGCCCAAGCTCTGCTCTTCCCCCAGCGGCCCTTAGTTGAGTCTCCATTTCCTACTCTGCAGTGGCAACCACACTGTGGATTGATGGAGAGACCAAGGAGAGATGTGATGAGGGCAGAGCACCGTCCCAAGCCCGAGCAGGCTCCCAGTTATCCCTAGAGGTGGCCATGGTGCTGTGACAAACTCTGGCCTTGGCCCATCGAGGTCATCTCAGGGGCCTACTTGAGATTTCCAAACTATGGATATCAGAACTGAGTTAGCTGCCGAGTAGGAAAAAATCCGTGCTGGCCTCCACCATATGCCTCCTCCCATTGCCTGCTCCTCACACCACCATACACACACTGTGCAGTCCCCACCACCAGCTGCTTCAGAGCAGCCAGGTGAGGGAGGTGATATTCACAGCCTGTGATCAAAAGGGCATTTCTGCACCCAAGCCTCAGGAGAGTCCACAGTGATGTCCCGAAACCCTCTGACCCTCCCAGGGAGAGAACTCCACTAGACAGACAGGAAATGGGGCATGGGGCTCCAGCACCCACACCCAGCCAGGTCACTGCAGTGACCACAGAGGCCTCAGCAGCAGCTGCCACCCCTCGGACTTTCAGCTCTCAGGTAACACCCTCCCTTTCCATTTCTGTTTCCTCAGGTTTGTCTCTAAAAAGGTATTTTATCACTTGACGGTTGATCGGCCTGTGATCTACGATGGAAGTGATTTCCTGTAGCTTCAGCACCTCAGTAACTTCACTTCATCCACAGGAAACACTGCTCTTCCTCACCTGTCACATAAAGCATTTTTTTAAAAAGTCAGCTGCTCCAAAATCATCAACTCAGCCCCTGGGCTGCCCCTCAGAGGCGGTGTCTGGGGAGGACTTTGTGCTCAGCACTCTGCACCGGCCACTCTTAGCCCCCGAGGCGTTGAAGGGCTCAGGCAATGTTTCCATTAAGTAGAGACTCAGCTGTTGTCACACCCAAAGGGATGCTCTGCCAAAGGTTTAAACACCCAGGAGACCATCAGCCTCTCCTGGGAGCACAGTTGGCTACAGGCCTCTTGTGGAGAGTTTCACGGGCAGGGGTGATTCCAACTTCTGCCTGTGGAGAGATTTTCTGCCCTGCCCCACCAGGGCCCTGCATGTTGGAGACTGAGCTGGGTGCACTGGCCATGCCCTGTGAATCCTCAGGCTGTGACGCCCTCAGGTACTCCTGGGAAAAGGAGGTACACAGCCATCATGCGAGTCGGTGCCAGGGGACCCCCCGGAGATCCTGACCAGCTCCTCCAGTCATGCTCTTGTCCCTCACTGCCCCAGTAAGCTGGAGGCTGCTCCAGAACTCAGCAGTGTTGGAGGGGCCTCTAAGCTGCACTCTCTTTCTGGCCCTTTTGTCTGGGTGATTCTGTCCTCAAATAAAGCCCTTCACTCAGCCAGACCTCTCCACAGCTCAAAGCATTGCCCTAAGAATCAGAAGTAAAGATAATCCAAGAGCAAAACCCACTGTACTTGGGGCCTGCAATGGCTGTGTGTACACTACATCTAATGCCCAAATGCCAGCCAGTGTGGATGTTGTGACCACAGAGCAGGATTGTGCATTGGCTTTAGAGCTACTCCTCAGCTGATGGCCCACTTTTGTTTATATAAATAAGAGCTTCTGCCCCACCTGCAGACATGTTTACTAATGATCATAGCCAGGATTAGAACCACTTTCAAACATTGGGGCCTTCTTAACAAAAGTCTTTGATAACTTAAGAACCAAAGTAACAGAGTAAACAGAGGCATGATGGATCCCTGGGCCCCACTCCCCTCCTGACAGGTTCCCCAACAGCCCATTTGCCCACTTCCCACTGCTCAGCCCACACCAGACCTCCAGGAGACATCCCCCCTTGAGGCAGAGAGATCCTGTTCCCTATTCCCAGACAAGAATTATTTAATCTTCCCTGTTCTCTGTGGTCCTTTTCTTCCCCAACAACAGATAGCTCACCTTGGACAGCTCTTCGTCCCTTGTTCATGGAACCAGCTGCCTGCAGTCAGGCCCCAGGTTCTTCCATGGGTGAACAGAGCATCTGACAAAAGGTCCCAGTTTGGCCAGGGGTGAGGGAGAGAGCACCAGACAGGCTATCCGAGAATCTGAGAGCTGGGCCCGGCAGTTCCTCCAGCTACCCTTGTGACCTAAGTCCAGTCACACATTTCCCAAAGTTTCTCTTTGTCATAACCCTGGTCTGGCTGGTTTTGAGGGCTTGAGAATGGGTCAGGGACTCCAGGCCAAGTCCAACAGAGACCCCAAACCCACCACACACCAGCAGCCACAACCTCACCACCAACAAAGAGGACTTTTGTGGGGCCACAAGTAAGAGGTCATTTCTGGAATGGACTCAGACCTTTAAACAGGAGAGTTGAGCACTTCCAGTCAGTTTTTAAGCAAGGCATGGGGAACAGGGAATAGAACCTTTCAAAGAGGTTGCCCAGAGAAAAGCTGGGCCTCTTGCATTCGGCTTCCTTGGAGCAGCCTCTTCTGGCAGAAAGCCATCAGGTGCTCAATCATCTTCTCCTGGCCAAGGCTCTGACCATGCTTAGTACTGGAATAGAGGTGGCCAGGCCCCCAGCGACTCTTCTTGGCCTGATGTTTGTCCTCACAGGCATGCCACGTGGCCTGAGATGATTCAGAACAAATCATGCTAACTTTGAATCCATCCAGCCACTTGCAAATGATAATCAGAAGTCAGCTTGTTCACTGTTAGAAAGAAACTAACAAAAGAGAACCCAGAGCAATCTAGAATCTTTGAGTGCTTGGCTTTCCAAGGATACTGCGGAGACTCTGGCCAAGCTGATGACCTTCTGAAGTGTCACTGGCACCATATGCAACAAGAACCACCATTCACTGAGTAGCTAATGGGTTTGGGGCCTGGGACATTCCATCTGAGGTCCTTCCTGAACATGTCACTCCACAGCAGAGGACCGGTTGCAGCTTACCCAGAACCACTCCTCCAGGAGAGCTGGATGTTTTGCGTGCAACACCTTGAGCACTGACTGCTATTGTTCAAAAAAAGCCTTTGCTGCATTCGGAGGACTGCCCCGTGCCCTGAGGTGACTTCCTAACTATGTGGTTTCATTAGCGAATTTATTTTTTGTGCTGGGTGGACATTTGTATTTTGTTAGGTTGCTGTTTAAGCTCAAGTTTGCTGTGCTCTCTGCAGCTACAAAACATCTTGGCATATTTAAGAGTGGCTTTTATAAATAGCTTTATTCTGATATTAATCAGATTCCCAACTTTACTGAGAATTAAGGACTGGGGTACTTTAAAGAAATGCAAATAGCAATTGAAGAACCACTGCTGCAGGTGGTAGCCCTGGCTAGACTGAATTACACTAGAAATCAGCCAGAAGGAAGCGTCCTTGGGATCCCAGATCACTCTTTTTTTTTTTTTTTAAAAGGGGCAGCCCCTTGATGGCTCATCTCTCTGAATAACAGTTACGTCTTCATATCGATACCAGATGCCTTCTTCATCATGCCACTGAAGCCACTCACCACCTTCAAGAACATGCCAACCTCTGTCAGATTCACTTACCCACAAACAAGGAGGCACGTTTGGCACAAAGTGTTGTCCTCCAGGTCCAAGTGGACTCTACAGAGTGCTTGACCTCAACACACTGGATTCCAGGTGGACTGGACCAAGAGCAGGCAAAGACACGGGAACTGAAAAACTCCACAGGGTTTGGAGAATAGAAATGAAAAGCCACGTCATATAACTCAAGAATAAATGGTGTTTTGGAAATTTTAAAATTATCATCGAAGGTGGTGAAACTATTTCAGGCCCAAATGAAAGGAAATCGCCAGTTGGGGATGAAATCACAGAGCCTGTGTTTTATGATATGGTTGGATGTCCACTGATGAAATTTTAAAGGAGTTTCAGTTTTAAAAGTGCGCATGATTCTACATATGAGAATTCTTTAGGCCAAGAAACTGTCCTTGGCTCAGAGGTGTTGGGAATTAAAGCAGAGAGAAGCCATTCGTGATGCTTAGAACCAAGGATGGTCATGTACACAAAGACCATCGAGACGGCCATTCTTGTTTACAAAACACTTACCAAGAAAGCACTTTGTAGGGGAACTTTAGTAAGTTCTTCTCATTTCATTATGTTTCTTCCAAGGAAACAGGAGAGACTGAATTAATAATTCTCTCTTTCCTCTTAAGCACTTTTAAAATAATAAAGTACATCTTGAAATTTGGGGAGGCATCTCTGATTTAAAAAAAGAAAAAGGCTGCTTGATGTATGTTATGCAGAGACACTCTGCCTCTGGTGGCTGCAGAGCAATACCCAAGCCTCATTTGGAAGGCTCAACATTTGGAATTGCACTTTAATTGATTAATCCTCAATTCATGTGGCCTTACGGGATGGTGGGTCTGGGACCCCAATTCATTCTTATCTGCCAAAGAATTATCTAGAAGCACATCAAATACCAGCACCCCACCTGCTCAATGGGGGTGGAAAACTTTTGTATCCCTAAGCATATTATTTTATAGTGTCTGCCATGCCATGTGGAAATACTTTATTTTTAACCTCAGGATTTAAATAAAGTAAACACTATGACATTTAGACATTTGTCTCTCATTTTTTTGGGACATAAAGTGCACCACGAAGTTATACAGAGCTGAGTTGGGGTTGAGCTGTGCTGCTGGGAAATAGAGCATCTTTTATGGTGGCTTTTCAGGAGGACTTGAGCCAGCAGATGTTCTGGGAAGTTTCCAGGTGGCCTGGCACCTGGCTGCTTCCTGGCCTGCTGTGAGGGTGGTGTTTAGACCTGCCTGAGACAGCCTGTCTTTCAATCCATGCTGTTGTGCCCTATGGGCTTCTAGCCTCAGCTCAAATGTCCAGATCTCCCAGGGCACCCACAGAGCATGTTGAGCAAAGAGCAGACTTCTGAGTTTACCGGAACAATGGGGCTGGGGAGAAGCATCATGGATGGCCTAAAACCATGATTGGTCAATATGAGGTACAAAGCTGGGCAAGACTGCCAGGCTGAGATGGCTGGCAGAGGAAGAAGTCAGCCCTCCCATTCCCGCATACCTTTCTCTGGCTGGGTCAGCAAAGAGCCTGGACAGAGGCCCAGAGGGGCATGCCCTGGTCACTGCTGGATGTTGGACTGAGCTCAGGCTGGGCAGCCCACCCACACTCACCTCACACCCCCACTCCAGGGATGACCAGGGCTCTGTCCCTGCAGTGCTCTGCACCTCAAAAGAACACCTCCCCACACCACCCCTTCACCGCCCTTCCTCCGCCAGCCCTCTCCTGCTGCCAGACTTTCGTTTGGCCTCTTCTTTAATCTGTTACTCCATGGAAGAAGTCACATTTTCTGTAACTCTGGTTCTCTCCCAAGGATAAAAGACAGTGAATCCTTCATCTTTATCTTCATCTCCCTCCTCCCTTCTCTCCCCACCGCAGCATCGAGCAACATGCCAGGCAGGAAGGGACTCAAAAAATACTGAATTGACCTCTCGGGTCAGTCCCAGTGCCCTGGGTCGCCAAAAAGTCATCAGCATTCCCACTGGCGACTAACTCTGCCAGGAATAGAGGCTCCTGAAACACTCCGGTGGCAGAGGAGGGAAAGGGTGGGCCTGCAGGAGGAGATACAGGCAATGATAGCTGGTCACTCAGTCCCACCCCCTGCACCCCCTCTTATGTCAAAGATGCCCTTGGGCTGGGCGCAGTGGCTCACGCCTGTAATCCCAACACTTTGGGAGTCCAAGGCAGGAGGATTGCTTGAGCCCAGGGGTTCAAGACCACCTGGGCAACACAGTGAGACCCCGTCTCTACATTTTTTTTTCTTTAATTAGCCAGGTGTGGTAGTGCATGTCTATAGTCCCAACTCAGTAGAGGCTGCAGTGAGCCAAGATCATGCCACTCCACGAGTGACAGAGTGAGGCCCTGTCTCAAAAAAATAAAAAGGTACCCTCAGATCAAGTATCTATCTAGTAACCAGATTGCAGTAATGGCAGATAGTTACTCCACCTGCCCCAAATGACAGAGCCAGAGAGTTTCTTTGTTAATACAACAGTCCTTCCTGAGGCTTGGGGGCCTCATGGGCTGGGGGCTAGAACAAGAAACAGTTGAGACATACATATATGTGTGTGCTGTGCATCTGGGGCTGGGATCTGGGGACCTCCAGGTCAAAATCCTCCATTCCACCTCACCCCACCCTGCTAAACTGCAGAATAACTCAAGATGACCCAAGTCTTTGCTGGAGGGTTTCCAAGCCCCACGCTTGATTCCAGGTAATCCGGGCCCAGTTCAGTGTTCACAGGCTCTGTGGCACAAAGAGGTGCCCCGCCCCTCCCTGCCACTCTGCCGGGTGAGGGCTGAGGATGCAGAGACTCCTGGGTGACTCAGAAGGCTCCTCACAGCAAGGTCAGCCCTTTCAGTTTGAAGACGCGTGGGAAAAATCTCCTCTTGCCACCCACACACATCTGAAGAGCAAACAGATGGTGAAACCAGTAGCCCAAGATGAGAAAACGGACTTTTTTTGAGACAGCAGTTGAAGCTGAAGCCTCAAAAGCCGGGCGGGGGGAAAGCATAGCAATTATGAAAGACATTCAAAGTGGGTTAGGGGTGAGGGAAAGGTCAGCCTTTTACTTTTCCCACACCCGCTGTTTTCTGAAGAAGGATGGTAATGCGAGCAGAAGGGTGATGGCCAACCTCTGGGCTTTGATGTGTGTCCCCTCCTCCCGCCCCCATCCTGCAAGCTCTGGGGAGGTCGGAGACTAGTGTGGTTTCCTCACACCTCCCACCATGCTGGCACTGAGGTTATCTAAGAGTTGACAGCCCCATCTAAAGCCTTGAATGAATTAAGTCTTTTTTAGCTAAAAAATGAACAAAACCTGAGATGCATGAGTGTCCTTACCAAAAGGAAGTCCTTGTTTCTAGGACAGGTCTGTCTTCGGGCCTGTGGGTCCATAGAATCATCACAGAAAAAATGATTTCAGGAGGTCTCCCCCGCTTTCTGCTCCCAAGGCCGACTCTGACTGAGCCTCGGAGGAGAGAAGGAAGCCATTTCTGGGAGGCCAAAACGTCCGTCTTCCAGGTCAGTGGGGCAGGTGCTGTCTTCTCCCTGGCTTGAGAGAGGAAAGCTGGTGAGGGAGAAGGGTGGGGCGGAGGTGGGCGGTGCGGGGATAAAAGATCGGAGAGCAAAGCAGTGATGAGAAAAGAGGGGTAACAGAAAGGGCCTCCCTAAAGGCTGCAAGGAGGGCTGGACCCAGGGCTGCTTAGCAGAAGCCATCTTTCTCATTGGAAGAAAGGGGCAGTGAGAAATGACGGTGTCGGTGTGGCTGAAGCTGCCCCATGCATCTGGTGGAGGCAGCACTTTAATGTAAGGAAGCCTGGACCATTGAGGGAACAGACACCAAAGGCAGTGACTGCTGATGTGGAAAGACAAGCCGGTTTGTTCCTCTGCCTCAGAGGTGGCTTCAGGGCCCTGCAAGCTTTCACAAACAGGGCCCTGCATGCTTTCACAAGCAGCAGGGGCAGCAGCCTCAGTCCAGTCCTCCCACGACGCTTGTGAATGAGCGACAGGGTTCCTATGTGGAACCCAAGGTCTTGGAAGAGGCAGCTCCTCTGCACCAGCAGGGACGCCACCCAGCTGTTGGGTGGTCTCAGAAAGAGGACCACACATTCATGCCCTGAAGGTGACCAGTGGAAGAAGGACAAGGAGACCAGAACTGGTCCTGGATCAGGCCCCCATCTTCTTTGGTTATGAAAGTTTCAGGTATTGAGCCATCAGGAAAAGCCCAAGACTCACCCAGGGCTCAGTTTTGCTCCAGAGTCAACTGTTCATTTATTAGGTGTCAGTAAATAAAAGGAAGTTGCAGAGAGATTCTTAGGAGAAGGTTCTCTTGCTTTAGTTACCTGAAGGCATATTAAAATGCAGATCCAGCCAGGTGTGGTGGCTCATGCCTATAATCCCAGCATTTTGGGTGGCCGAGGCAGGAGGATCACTTGAGGCCAGGAGTTCAAGGCCAACCTGCATAACATAGGGAGACCCCGTCTCTACCAAAAAAAATTCAAATATTAGCCAGGCGCCTCTAGTCCCAGCCACTGGGGAGGCTGAGGTGGCAGAATCCCTTAAGCCTGGGAGTTTGAGGCTGCAACTGTGATTGCCCCACTGCACTCCAGCCTGGGGGACAGAGTGAGACCCTGTCTCAAAAAAAAAAAAAAAAATGCAGATCCATGGGCACCACCCATTCCAATTCTGGTTCATCAGGTCTGGTCCATTCACAGGTCCTCCAGGTGATGCTGGAGCAGGTGGTCCTGGTGAACGTTGCTGTGTCACCACTGTTTTGATTAGAATTTGAGGAAAGGAGGAAATGAACTAATTGATCTGTCTCCTAATTTAACTCTACCTGTGATCCTTGAATCTTGGAACCAGGCCGTCTTCCTCAAATCCATTAGCCCAAGCACTAGGGCGCAATGATGGAAATTTCAGTCTTGGAGAGGAGGATGTTTCTAAATGAATCCCCTGGTATAAAACTATTCTAAGGGTAAAATAGTTTACAACCATAACTTTTTTATGGCTTATATTTTTATTCAAGGGTTCTGGTGCCAACTGGCAGATCATTTCTGAGTGGAAAAACATCCCCTTCCCCAAATCCAGAAGAGTTCCATACATGTCCAAATTTTAAGAAATGGAGAAAGTATCCAGGGGGTATGCGTTGGGGAGGTCAGTTTAGGAGGGAGTTCCTAAGCTGGTCGGTACACAGAATCAAAGGTCTTTGAAAATGGGTGGGGGAAAAAATGGCATCTTTACCCTAACTACTAATTAAAATTTAAGTCTTCCTTCAATTATGACTAGAGACAACATGCCACACTAGTACTAGCTAGACCTGTCACTTTGTCACCAGTAGAAATGGCAGATATTTTTGTATTACATGACAATTTCTGCAGACTCTCAAAGTATCATTTATGTTTATCTCCACTCGGAAATGAAGGTTGTCATTAGATCTGATAGATTTTATGTAATGCATTAGTAAAAAGACACATATATTACTAGTTCATATATCTGCTTTAATATTTGGAGAATTGTGTTTCAATTTAATTGGTTTGTAATTCTATTTTATTGTTTGCATTTTAAAGCATTCTGAGAAAGGGGCTATAGGCTTTGTCAGATTGTCAAAGGTGTGGATGAGGCCAAAAAAAAAAAAAAGTTAAGGATCTTTAGGTTGTGGCAGGTCCTCATGAAAAACAAGAGAAAGATCAGCTCATTGCAGCACTGGTTTGTTAATAGTAACAATAGTAGCATTGTTTAATTTGTGTAATTGTATAATTTTCTAGGCTCTTGCTGTAAGTCAGCCCACTTTTACAGATGAGGAACCAAGACCCAGGGAAGATGGTAAGTCTGAACCATTTACAGAACATATTACTGCTACTGCGTTATGCTGAGACAGCTGTAGGAGTGGTTTTCTCTAAACCATTCTCATTTTACTTGAATTTAGATTATCTGATGACTTATAAAAAGCTTTTCCATAAACCAGGATTTGCTATGGCAGCCCTTGACCTTCAGACCTTTATTATGATTGTTAATACAAAAGGCTGTATCAGTTACCTGTTGTCAGACCAAGCTGCATTATTCTGCGTTATTTGAAGTTGGATAACCTCAAAACCGTGGCTTAAATCACTGAAGATTTATTTTGCTCACGAATATGCAGGTTGACTGGGGGCTCTGGACTCTTGGTGGGCTCACTCCCTTGTCTGCCCGTGGTCAGCTACGCATTGAGGCTGTGCTCCCACATGTCTGAGGGTTGGCTGCTCATTGGCTAATCGTGGCTGGGGTTGACTCCTACATCTGTGGTCAGTTGGTCAAAGAAAGGCTGGCTAGGCTAGGATGGTCTTGGCCAGACAACTTGGCTGTACTCCATGTGGTCTCCCTGACCCCAACAGGATAGCCTGGGCTTATTCAGATGGCCACTGAGCAGGTTTCCAAGAGAGTGAGTAAAAGTGCCCGAGCTTCGCAAAGCCCAGTCTCAGACCTGGCACATCATTTCAACAGTGTTCTGTTGGTCAGAGCAAGTCACAGGCCAGCCCAGATTCCAGGTGTGGGAAAAGGGACTCCTCTGGATGGGAGGAACTGCAAAGTCACTTTATAAAGGGCACAGGGACAGTGAGGGGTAGAGAATTGGGACCATTTTTGTAATATTTCTACCAAAGAGTCTATAATCTTCCCTTCTTGCACATATTTCCACCTCAATTTTCATCTTCAGTAAAACACCCACCTTCTCCTCCAGATACACTCATACAAGTACGCAAAAACACACGCAACAATCTTCATGGCCACAATGTCTGTGATAGCAAAAAACAGGAAAGGATTTGTTCAAAGTGGGTTGGATTGAAGCAGTATATGACGGCACCCTGGGAGACTATGTGACGAACACTATTCACACCCATGCGACATTTCCTGACAAAGACGCTGGACACAGCAGTGGCTGCCTTGGCAGATGGAGCTGGTGGGGCTTTGGAGTTGGTGGCAGGAATAAGATGCTTTTACTTTTCTCTTTATACTTTTCTATGTCGTTTGAAGTATTTTTAGTAGGTGCCAGTTTAACTTTTAAAATGCGAAAACTAATTTCTAAAAAGACATTCACATCATCTTACGGCCATCTCAAATTCCCAGTAAAAAACCAAATGCCCAATTCCTATATGCTGGAGTCATTACACAGTTGTTGATGTCTTTCTGCATTCACCAAAGGGGTGACCTACTTACCAGCAAAGCTGAACGGCATAAAGCCATGAGCGGGGAGGGCCTGGGAGGAAGCCACAATATGGCCAGAGTTCCTCTTCCCCTGCCTAGGGGCTGGCCCAGCTAGGGCCCCCTGTCCTCCTGACTCAGGGCCTTTGTGAGAAGAGCTATATCCAGATCATATGGTGCAAACTGACCACTGGAACATCAGTGCTTGAACTTCAACTGGGGAGAAAGTACAACAGCCTCTAAGAGATTGGGTTCTAGAATCAGAAAGACGTGGATCCAACTCCTAGTGCCACTACCTACTTCCTCTGGCTTGGGACAAGTCACTTAGCTACTCTGTGCCTCAAAATGTGATAGCTGTTATCATTGAGAAAGACATCCACACCTTGTCCAATCCCTTTTACTCTCTTGGCTCTTTTGATTACTTCTGGGCATTAGTCAGCTAGTCAAGTTGGGGGACCGAGTGATTGGGATCATTGAAAGATGAGTTAATTTACAGAGTAGCCACCTTTGGTGATTTTAAAATATGGCCCTAGAGTTATTTGACACCCTTCCAATAAGAGGTGGAGTCTCGAGTCCCTTGACTCCGGGCTGGCCTCTGGCTGCTCTGACCAGTGGAAGAGCAGAGGGACACTGTGTGGCTTCCGGTGCCATGTCAGAAAAGGACCTGCAACTTCCCCTTGGTTCTCTTGCACAGGGGAAGCCAGCTGCCATGTAAAAGGTCTGAGTACCTTGAGCCCTCCCTGCTGAAGCTGCCGTGTGCTGGGGCCCTGCATGGCAGCCAGCATCAACTACTGGCCCTAAGCCAGTAGTTAAGCTTTCCAGTTAAGCTTTCCAGTGGCCACAGCCCCAGCCAATATCTAACTGCAGCCACATGAGAGACCCCAAGCTAAATATGCCCTGCTGAGCCCCTTCCAAATTCCCGGCTCACAAAATGGCGAATAAAATAAAATGGTTATTGTTTTTATACCACTAAATTTTGTGGCAACAGTTACCAGGACACAGCTGAATTGAATACAAGCAAGGTTCTTAGAATCACTTCTTTCATTTAATTGCAAATGAACCCAAAAGAGATCCATTTACATTTTTTTGTTGTTTTATTGGATTACTCCTGATACTTTATCATAGCAAACCTGACACAAGTTTCACCTACACATCCTCTTTCCACATCCTCACTTCCCATTGATTTGCTCCTCAGCCAATCACAGTCTGCCTTGTTGATGCCTGGGAAGCTGCTCCTAGCCAGGTCGCTGCCAGCCTCCACTCTCTCTTGACCTCAGCTCTTCCCATGCTCATGGCTACCATCTTCCGGGTAGCATCCCCAGACTTGCTCTCTGCTGATCCTCCCCTCCCAGGGGCAGCACCACCAACCACCCAAACGTGCAGATTCAAAACCCAAGTCATCCTTGATGCCTTCCTTTCTTTCAATTCTAATCTTCACCATTGTGTCTACCCCCAGAGTAAGTCAAAAGCCATCCATCTCTCTACACCACAACCACCACCGTCACTCCAACTCCGCCACCACCATCTTTTTCCTGAACAACTGCAACAGCTCCTGACTGGCATCCCTGCTTCCTTGCACCACCCCTAACCCCCAGCCACCACCCTTCTTCTCCTGGGGGCTTTAGAGATCTTTAAAACATGAATTGGATCATGCCACACCCCACTTAAAAATCTTCCTGAAGTGGAATAAATCAAAATTCATCATCTGCGCCTGAACAGTGCCCCTACCTTCCTCTCCTCTCTGACTTCCCTCTCACTCATAACCCTCCAATCACCAATGGCTCTTCTTTTAGCCACTTAACTCTGCTGATCACTTTCCTGTCTCAGAGCCACCTGTGAGAATTAGGGGTGATGGTCCCACCTTGTCTCAGGCAACATCAGTTTTCCTGTGGTCCTTAGAAACTTCCTGGTTTCCAAAAGTTGAACAAGAGAAACCCTGGAGCTCACTGCGGCCTTTATCAGCCTCTGTAGAGCATTCTGAGCCACCTGGAGATTACCCCCCTGAGAAAGTGCCACCCACGGCGTGAGGCCTTTCCGAGCTTGCTGCTCTATCCCCAGGGGACTCCGTCCCTCCTTCGGTTCCTTTGTTGAGTGGTGGCCTAACCACACAGAGGAAGAGTCCATCCAGTCTCCATTTCTTATTTTAATGTTTTAAAATTGTGATTTGGGGCTTTATAAGGATAAGAGCATGAGTTTTTAAGGGAATTGCATGATGTCTTGGATTTTCTTTAAAATACTACAGCAAACTTGTTTTTAAAAGGAAGAAGGTAAGGAAGGAAAAAGAAGGAAGGGAGCAGATGAAACAAAGAAGAGGAAAGGAAAGAAAAGTGGGAAGTGTAGCTGAAACCAAAAATGGACAGAATGTTAATCATTATTGAAGTTGGGTGAGGGGTATGTGCATCTTCATTATACCAGCGGTCCCCAACCTTTTTGACACCAGGGACCAGTTTTGTGGAAGACAGTTTTTCCATGGACCTGCAGCATTGGTGGAGAGGTGATTTTGGGATGATTCAAGCATGTTACATCTATTGTGCACTTTATTTAATTATTATTACATTGTAATGTATAATGAGATAATTATACAACTCGCCATAATGTAGAATCAGTGGGAAGCCTGAGCTTGTTTTCCTGCAACTAGACGATCTCATCGGGGTAATGGGAGACAGTGACAGATCACCAGGCATTAGATTCTCATAGGGAGTGCACAGTCTAGATCCTTTGCATGTTCACAATAGGTTTGTGCTCCTGTAAGAATCTAATGCCGCCACTGATATGACAGTTGGCGAAGCTCAGGCGGTGATGCAGGCGATGGGGAGCAGCTATAAATACAGACGAAGCTTCACTCACTTGCCTGCCACTCACCTCCTCCTGTGCAGCCTGGTTCCTAACAGGCCACAGAGCAGTAGTGGTCTGTGGCCCAGGGGTTGGGGACCCCTGCATTAATACTATTCCCTCTGCTTTTGTGTATGTTTTTAAATTTCTGTAATTAAAAAGTTTAAAAAGAAAAGAACATGAGTGGAGAAGTCCTAAACCAATTGCATGCATGGACACTTCACCAGAGAGTTGACAGTGATGTCCCACAGGCATGAGTGGTGCGGGGCCTTGGCACACACCGCCCTCCTCCCCTTTCTCCCCTGCTTCCTGTAGGTCATTCCTGTCCATTCTTCAGCTCTCAGCTCAAACGCTACCTCCTCAGGGACGCCTTCCCTGGCTCCCCTTTCCAGAGCAGATCAGAGTCCCCTGTCACACTCTCTAGCTTCCTGTACTGATAACCATCAGCTTGTTCCTGTGATGGTGTGACTTGGGTCTGTGATTGTGAGTTTCATGAGCACCACGCCTGTGTCTGCCGTTGCTCACCACCTTGCCCAGTGCTTAGCATGTACTAAATGCTCAATAAATGTTGAATGAGGCTAATTACAGCAACAGTTGAAATGCTGGGCCTACTTGTGGCCTCTCCAGCACGGTGGTCTCAGGGTGGGCAGCCTTCTGACACGGCAGCTTAGGGTTTCCAGAGCAAGCCTCCCACGGCACAGGATGTGGAAGCTGCCAGCCTCTTCTTCTGAGTCTGCACCCAGAAACTGGCACAGCATCCCTTGCACCAAATTCCACTGTTCAAGCAAACCCAGAGCCCACCCAGATTCAAGGAGAGGGGACATCAACCCCATGTTTTGATGGGAGGAGCATCAAAGAAACTGTTGCTCCTTTCTCCCCTGCTTCCTATAGGTCATCCTTAATCCACCCAGCTGACTCACTGTCTGCAGCTGTTCAGAGTTCAGTCCCTGTCTTTCTTGCCTAACTCTCCAAGTCTCCAAACATTTTCCATTGCTGTAGCTCTTTCTGGCCTCAAAGACTGTCATAACATCATGCAAATGCTAGAGACGCAGCTCTCATTCTGGGCACTGTACCTGTTGCTGGGCAGACACACGTGAGCAAGAACACGCACAGTCCGTGGCTGCTTGTTGCTGAGGGTCCAAACATAGGAGTCAGAGGATCAATCAGTAGGAAGAAGAATACTAGCGAATTACAAATGAGAGGAGTGCTGTGAAGGAAAGGGACAAGCAGTGTGCCACACAGGAGGATAACCGGGCTCTAACTGTCACTCTGGGACTTTGCCACGTCATCTTGCCATGCCCACGCAGCGAGCCACATCAGCAATTGCCATAGTACCTTTTAATACGAGAAGGGACGCTTCGGCCAGCTCTTGACTGAGGGTTGTTTACACTGTTTAGAAATTTCCAGATGACACAATTCAGATGTGCTTGAAATGTGTATTTGAGGTCTAGAAAGTGGAGAGTCTGCAGAAGGATGCTGCAGCAGATGCAGGAAGAGACAGGTTCCTTGAAGCACCTACCTGGCCACAGAGCCTGGCCTGAGCGAGGGCCGCTGGTGGAGCAGGCACAGTGTTCGTCCAGGTGGTGAGGGGCAGGGCCATCATCAGGCCAGGGAATCCAGGCAGCAGCCACAGCTTTTCAGGAAAGCCTGGAGGGTGACTCCCAGAAGGAGATGCCAGTCCCTGGGCAGGGGAGGAGGCTTAGGGAAGCTCCTCAGATCTGAGCCTGGGGTCTGGTGAAAGCCCCAGCCCAGGGAGACCAGGGACTGGGGCCTAAGCCTGGCCACCTAGACCCAGAGAGGAAGAGCCAGGGCGGAAGCCAGCCCTGCAGACCACCGGCCATGGGCAGGATGGACAGAGCCAACCTGAGAGGTCTGCATGCCCCTTGAGATCATCTGACTGGCTGCAGAGGAGATCTGGGGCCACGTGGGGACAGCAGTGAGTAATGCCTGGATCCCGCACAGGGAATCTGACCTAAAGCCACATCTTGTACCAGGCCCAGGAAATTTATTCATCGGTCTTGCATCTGAGAGAGAGGAGCCAGGGATGGGAGAGGCAGGGGAATGGGGCAGGGAGAAGAGGAAAGCCAACAGCAGGAATTCTAAGGTTCAGACACATGCCTAGGCCCAGGTGTTTGGTCCTTGGACCTGCACACACACACCTCCGGTGAAATCTGTGGCTTCTTCATGAAGGAATTAAGGCTCCACAGCCATATGTGTGTGGGGAAGAGCCTGGGAGAGGTAGCAGCTAGGAACCTTCTCGATTCTGTGAAGATGACACCATTGTCCTTTGCCAGCACACCTTCATGGTGCACTTTTGAAGAAGGGAGTCAGCAGGGCCTTGGCTGTGGCATGTTACCATTTAGCATTTGCATGACATGGTCAGTGAGAGGAGTGCTGGCCAAACTCGTGCCTGTCCATCTTTTCAGTCCCTGGTCCTCAGCACAAAGTCTGGCTTGGCAAATGCTGGTCAACCCTCCAAAGCAAGGGCTGGTTTGTCTGACCATGTCAGACAAAGCCAATTACTAACTGCATGGGCTCAGATGAGTTACTTGGTATCTCTGAGGCTCAGCTCCTTCCTCTGTAAATCAGGGTTAGCAATGGTGCTCAAAATTCTGGGAGGTATCGTGGCTGTCTTATACACCATGGGGCCCCTGGCATGCAGCTGGTGCCCAAGCATATCTGCTGAATGCTTAGGTTATAATGAGACAGGACCCATGCTCTCAGCCTTCTCAGAGGAGTTCTGTGACTGGCGCCCAACCACACTATGGATCTCCTGCATACCCAGTGTTCTTACCCATCCAGCCTTAGGTGGGCTCTTGGAATTGGCAGCCCCTGGTGAGAAAATTGTTGCAGGACGACTTCTCTAGGAGGTACTGAGCTGGAGTTTGGGGTGCAAGGTGTTTATTAGGAATCAATGCCTTTGGAGGGATGTGAGAGGAAGCATGATTGGGCAGAGAGAGAACTCAAACTGCCATGAAGGCTTCACAAAGCCCTGGCTTTGGAGAGTCGACCAGCATTTGCCAAGCCAGATTTTGTTCTGAGGACCAGGGGCTAAAAAGACTGACAGGCACAAGGTTGGCCAGCACCCCTCTCACTGACCATGTCATGCAAATGCTAAATGGTGACGTGTGACAGCCAAGGCCCTGCTGATTCCCTTCTTCAAAAGTGCACCATGAGGGTGTGCTGGCAGAGTGCCCTGGAGTGGATTCTGCCCATCAGAGTGCCACCATCGGGCTGAGATGACGCTATTCTCTGTCTCACAGGCACCAGAGACAGGTGACCCTGGGAAGGCCTGGCTTGGGCAGGGCGGCTCTGCAGTGGAGGCGGGCCCTGAAGAACTGGCAACCAGAGGGCCTGTGCCGACCATACTCCCTACAAGTTCTTTCTTGAGGCATCTCCATATGACCATAGAGGTTTTTTGCTTAGCTTGTGGTGCCACAATTGAGCGTATACAAGTAAATATGTGGAGAGGACCTCATAAGGAATCACCTGTTGGAAAGACACATATTTGCATGTCATTTTTAGGCTTTGATAATATAAAAGTCAAAGAAAGACATTAAATGGGTCATTAGCTGTCTGGGTTGTCTGTTCTAATAATGTAGGAATGATTAGAGAACTAGCTCATTGTCCCAGGAGCATGTTGGATAGGGACCTCAACTGGAAGGGAGGAGCACATGAGATGGGGAGAGAGAGAGACTTTATTGCAGAAGCACTATGGTGTGTCTTGGCTGGGAGGGGAATTCTAAGGCTGTGGTACTTACTAACCACACACAGTGACTAAACAATCAGTGACTACTCGTTGAATGGAGAGAAAGATTTTTTTTGAGTATCTAAAACATGTCAGGTGCAGGTGCTGGAGCCCATGATTACTTCTCTTTTTTCAAAGTCACGGGGAGCCCCTGAACAGACCTCACATTGAGACAAGCTGTCCAATGTATAGGAGAAGAACCCTCCGGTGAAGCTGGAGTGGCCAACTTCAGTGAGGGACAGAGATCTGTGGGCACTGGAGCCAGGCTGGTGCTGGGGGATGATTTCGGCTGTGCTTTGTTCTGGACCCCACAAGAAGCTCCAGTTCTTGTGAGGCCAACTTAGAACTGGAAAGCCAAGCAAACCCACTCAAAGATGGCAAGCACAAAAGAACCATCTGGAAGTGTGAGACAGCTTTGCATTGATGAAGCAGAAAGACTGTGGTGGTCTCCAAAGGTGTCAACTCATGAATGCTTCACGAAAGCCTTGGCTTTGTATTCAAGTCAACACCATCACAGAAACCAAGATACCACCCATAATGGCCATACTGCAATGGCGATGGCCTGGGGGAAGGTCCACAAGACCAAAATGGAAGGAGCTCACTGTGGACTGCTTCCTTCCTTGCTCAGGACTCTCTGTAACAACTACAATGGGCAAAGAAGAAGTTATAGCCACTCAGCTCTCTCAGGAGCTGTGTCAGCTCTCTCAGGATGCAATCAGGGCAACTCACAAGGCCAAAGCCTTGGACACCAAAGCTGGGAAAAGCATTGGCGTCCAGTCCTGGTCTAGTCAGTTCCTTCCTTGACCACCAGTCCCCCAGGCTGCCTGTAGATAGCAGGACAGCATCACTGCCCAAAGGATGTAATGTCCCAATGGTCAAGGTTGGCAATCTTTATTTTCTAGAAGTTTCCTAGCTGCTGAACTCTGACACATGAAGTACATATTTGAGAAATGATTAATTTTAAATGTTTATAAAGATATTAATTCATTATATTGTTCCTACCCCACACAAGAAATTTGTGTGTGATGAGGAGTCTGGGCATTTAAAACATGTACCAGAACAGGTCCACACAAAGCTACTTGCCCAGGCTCCCACCTGGGAAGGCTCCATAATTGTCCTGGTGAGGCTGCCCTGTGTGAGGCTCAGCACCACTGGGACTCCCATGACAGAGCATCAGAACCGCAGTATCTAAAAATAAAAGCCAAACTCAGCTGTGTTCTTTGCACCTAACTGCACAATGTTATTTAGAAGTGGCTCATGCATCTTTTTTATTCTCTCAAGTTCCTATAAGGGTAAATATCTGGGTCTCCTCTTGGAAATGGTCAATGGATGGCTGTGTTCATAAGTGACCTTGGAGAAGTTATCCTCCCTTTAACTACGGATGCAGTGCCAGTGCTGGGCCCACGTTGATCTGCTGGTCCCAGGCCGATGTTTTCTTCCCACCCACTGCCCCCTCACGGGCAGCATGTTGATGGGGTAGCAAGGCCTGCGCTTCACCCCTTCGCCCTCCCTGGCTGCTGCCCATGTCTGCTCACTTTATTCCTCATTCTCATGTGCTTTAGAAGTGGGCAGGGAGAAAAAGGGTGAAATGGCAGGGTCCAGTGCTTTTGTCTCCCCTTTGGAAAGGGATGGCGTTGGAATGGAAACCACAGCGATCCACAAGGCACTGGGGAAATTAGATGCTTCCTCTAAAGCAAGTGGCAAAGCCAGGGGTGGTTTACTGTGCTGTTCCAATAGTCCTCCTTGGAAATTCCATTTGACTAACACGGAAAAGCCTGAGGAGTAAGTTTGGACAGAGGAGAAATAAAAAGTTGTCAGCCATGATGGTTTTAAGGTATTTGGAGATCTTATTTCCTTATCCCTATTGCTTACTCTTCACACTTTTTTTTAAAGACTAGTCAATTGCAGTAGAGAGAAGCAGGGAAAGTAGAACAAGGAGTTCAATCTGTAACTGAGTGTGAACAATCCGATTGAGATAGCTCACTACCTTCAGACCAGCCTTCACACTCTTAATGTATCTATTTGATCTTTAATTGCACACACTTAAAATATTGAGACAGGGTAAAGAAAGTGACAAGTAATTAATGCTTCATATACACATTAAAAAGCACTTTTCCAATATGTGAAATATTTTCAAAGGTGATGCATTTTGCCAAATCATGATAAGAAAGACACAAAAGATGCAAAGGTGAATTCCATTACTTATTTTTTTCAGCCTAATCTCTAAGTTAAAAGCTTTTAAAATGTTGCCACTATAGAGTAAGAAAAGGAGAAGCATGGAAGTAAATAGCCTTCCAGCAAGGCCTGCGCTTCACCCCTTTGCCCTACCTGGCTGCTGCCCATATCTGCTCACTGTATTCCTCAGAATAAAGTGGGCCTCAGAAAGAAGAGGGCCAAAAGAACCAGCCCATTTTCTAGGGAGCAGACAGACGGTGGACCCAAAGCAAGTGCCACTCAACAGAACAAGCCTACAACAGGGCCAAGGCTGGCTCCTGCGAACCCAGCTGTTATAATCTCCCTGCTCAGGCCATGGAGAGACACTGTCACCATACCAAGGAATAAGCGGAATCCTTGTCTAGGTTAAAACCTCCAGCAGGACACAGAAATGGATTGGAAGCCAACAGACTTTGGATGCCTTGTGGGTGTGGTCAGTTGTCCAGGGGTTCACTGGCAAGACCTGCAGATCGTTTCAAAATCAGAACAAGGACCTTCACTGGCCCAGAACAGAACAAGGAGAACAGAAGGAAATTAGGTCTGAGATTGCCTGGAAAGGTTCTAGATCAGGAATCTATAAGACCTGGCATGGGTTATCAGGCTCAAGAGCAGGGTAGAAAATTTCCCAAAGATGGACATTTTCACGAAACTTTCTGCTTTTGCGGTCTGTAGCAGCAGCCAGTGCTTCTGTGTCCCCTTTTGGAAGAGGCAGCATGAGAACTGAAGCCACAGAAGTTCACAGTGCATGGAGAAAATCCAAGGGCTCCTCCAGAGGCAGCGGCATTGATGCTCCGGCGAGTGGCAAAGCCAGGGTGCTCCACAGTGCCGGTCCTTAGTCCTCCTTTGAGAATTGCGGGCATCACAGTCAAGAGCCAATCAACAGCCTCCTGCACTAGTCAGTTGATTTTGAAATATTTGCTTTGGCAAATTCTGACTACAAGTAATCATATAGTTCAGATTCATCCCTTTCTGAGTTTTCTTTTCTCTTTCACTCTCTCTGGTCCCATCAGTGGGGAAACTGTTTCTGTATTTCTCATTTCTTCCAAAAGAACCATGCACCTCAGAGAAGACCCCTCAGAGGGAGAGTGCTCCTGAGGTTGTCTCCAGCAACATAGACGACAGCTTCAAGCTTCCCTCTCTCCTTGTAAATGAAACCCACTGGGCCTGGCTGATGCAACCCAAGTTCTTCAGGGTTTTCACGAGATCCCGGCGGAATCTCTCACCCACAAAAACATAGAGAACAGGGTTCAGGCAACTGTGGAAGAAGGCGATGGTCTGGGTGACCTGGAAGCAGATGTCAATGTTGGTGGAAACGGCACAGTTGGAGATGAACATGGCATAGGCGTCAATGGTCTGCACCAACAAAATGCAGTTGTAGGGAAACTGAGACAAGACAAAGACGGTCAGGACAGTGATGGTCACTTTTAGGGCTTTGTGCTTGGAAGACTTCTTGGCTTGTATCAGGGTGTGAATGATGATGGTATAGCAGCAAGCCATGACCACGAAGGGAAGGAAGAACCCCAGAATGACCTTCAGGGTCAAGACAGCTGACTTCAGTTTGGTGCTCTCATCGCTAGGGTAAACCATGGTGCAGATAGCAATGCCGGATTCCTCCTTGATTTGGCTGTATAAGATTTCTGGGATGCAGAGAGCAGCTGCCAATACCCAGATGGTAAAGCAAACCATTTTGCTGTACAAAAGCCTTTTCTCCCTCCAAGTATGTGCTCTCATGGCCTGGGCAATGGCAATGTACCTGTCCACGCTGATGCACATGATCAGCAACACACAGCTGTAGAAGTTCATCTTGTACATGCTGTTGACCACCTTGCACATGAAGGTCTGGAACTTCCACTGGTCAGCAGCAGCAATGGCCCAGAAGGGAAGAGTGACAAGAAAGAGGAGGTCAGCAATTGCCAAATTCAAAAGGAACATGTCGGTCATGGTCTTCACTCTTGTGCAGTACCAGTAGACAAGGATAACAAGACTGTTGCCCAAGGCACCCACGATGAACACGAGCCAGTACAAGGGTGGGAGGAAATGGCTCGCAAACTGCCTGACATTGTTTTTCTCACAGTAGAAGTCAGTGAAGTTGAAGTTAACGTAGTCTTCCATGGAAGATGTGGATTCAGAGCCATAGTCATCAGCCATGTTAGGAATAGGGCTCTGCAAGGGGACACAAGATGGCATTAGGTCAAGGAAAATATTTTGAAGGTCCTGTCTGATGGCAGAGGCATGGACCTCTTGACCCTTCCAACCCCAAACACCTATGATAAGGCCAAAGACACATAGGCATTCTGAGGACATCTGCTTGGGTTGTGACATATTTATTTATTCAACAGATGTTTATTAAGCACATACTGTATGTTGGCTACTGTGCTATGTGCCAAAGAAACCATAATAAATAAGTCAGATGTGTGGCTTCACTCTCAGGAAACTTACCTACCCATAGAGCAACCAGACACGCAAATGAACATTTATAGTGTGCATGCCAAGTGCTCTGATGGGGTAAGAGTGCCTCCACACTACTGATGGGCAGTTTTATCAAACTGTGATATGACTGTGATCGTACTTCTCCTATCTATTCAGTTTTTCACTGACCCTAAAAAGGTTAGCAAGGGCTCTTAAACTCATCTGGATCCCAGTCCCCTGAGTTTCCTGAAAGCTCCGGGAGCACCAGCATACACCCACATACACATGCACATACACATACACACACAGACACTCTCAACCCTACATACACACACAAGCACCATGACCTGCTCTATAGTTAGCAGGACCCGTGGTCCAAAAATTATTAGGAATTTCAACACATCCAGCATTCAATCAAACAAGCAGCACTTCTAAGCACAGGGCCCCTATGTGACTGTGTGGGTTGCACAGCCATGAAGCTGGCCCCAACAAGCACACACACTCATATGTACATGCATACACATAATACATGCACTTGCACATGCTCTCGTACACAAACATGCCAACACTCATGCTCACATACACATAGGTACACACTCATGCATGCACACATATATACACACATATATGCGCATACACACACACACTTCTTACACTTTTTCTGGGTTCCTGAAGCAGAAGCCATCCTAAAACCCCTGCTACGGAAACAGGAAATGAGGTCTGGAAATGAGACCCTGAGATGTAAGCCCTTGAGTCAAACCTGGGGTGGGAGGTAATGAAGGATGTGGACTGCTGATGGAGGAGGAGGGGAGAGTCCGTGCCATGCCTGCTACATTCCTTCCAAAACCTCTGCCCACAGATCTTCAAGCGCTCTCACTTCCCACCAGTTTCCTTCTGAGGGCTCCCATTAGGACTCCCAAATTCCACCAGGGACTACCAGCTCTCACTCCCTTTCCTTGAGGGACATTCCTTGCCAAATCTCATCTCTACTTTTATTTATCCTGAGGCAAATGCAATAGTTCAATTCATCTGGATACATTTGGACTAGAAGTCACCCCAAATCCACAATAAGTTTTTATTTTGTTTTGAACAGTTAATATTAACAAATATATAAGTACAAAGATGATTTTGTGTACTTGAATGTTTATATTTAAATAGCAAAATATTCTCTACCTCCTGTTAGCTGGGCTCTCCCTATCTGTATACATTGTAATATCCATCTATTTCTAGTAGATCTGTCTAGCATTTCCCAAACCATGTTTTAGGTGGAACACTAATGGTTAAAATAGTTGAGAATCTTTGCATATTCCTTCTTTGAAATTCACAATACTCCTGAGCACATTGAAGGATCTGAAAAGTCCTACAAAACTTGTTTTATTTATTTGTTTGTTTGTTTTGAGACGGAGTTTTGCTCTTGCTTCCCAGGCTGGAGTGCAATGGCGCCATCTCGGCTCACTGCAACCTCCGCCTCCCAGGTTCAAGCGATTCTCCTGCCTCAGCCTCCTGAGTAGCTGGGATTACAGGCGTGTGCCACCATGCCTGGCTAATTTTTGTATTTTTAGTAGAGACGGGATTTCACCATGTTGGTCAGGCTGGTCTCGAACTTCTGACCTCGTAATCCACCCACTTTGGCCTCCGAAAGTGCTGGCATTACAGGCGTGAGCCACCATGCCCGGCCCAGAACTTGTTTTATTTTAATTGCACATTAGCACAGTAAAGACTCTGAGAAATCCTTCAGAATCTGTTGAATTTTGTTTAACAATGTTTTCTAAATTTATTGGAACATAGAACCTGTTGTGTGTGTGTTTGTGGAGGGCTTCTTAGATATCAGGGCTCACTGAATTGATTGATAAAGGACAGTAGATGTTAGTCCTATTTGGGCCCTGGCTGGCAGGAAGTAGCAGGAGGACCCAAGGTAACTTGGATGACAACTGGGAAAATCTGACATCTAGTCCTGACTCCATCTCCAATATGTGAGCAAGAGAAAATCCTATTGCAAAGAGAGGGACCCAGGAGCAGGATCCTGGAGGCGGCTCTTCAGGCCAGGGCAGCTGGAAATGGCCCACAAACGCAAAGAACTAAAGAAAACTCGTCTCCCTATTTTATATGTGATTAGTCCCTTGGCTTGATTAATCCATTTCAGTTTACACTTAGAGATGTTTCTTCTAGCATTGGCCCTTGTCTGGAAACCCAGTCTCTCGAGAGGACAGACCTCCTAGGTGACACACATTTTAGAAACATGCCAGGAGAATCCTCCCAACGCTGGACACGGGAACCAGCTGCAATCATGGCCCCACTAAGACAGTCGTCCTGTAGGAGGTGAGGTTTGAGTGGACTTTGAGTGAAAGAAGAACTTGAGAATAGAAGGAAGACTGTGAAGAGCATGGAGACCCCACAGTGGACATCACAGCAGGTTTAAGAGGTTGGGAGGATGACCTTTTGGAGGAATCTCAGTAAAACAATGCAGATGAGCAAGTACCGACTGTGAATCCACACAATGAATAAGTGCTAAACTTGCTTTTGAAGTTTTTTTTTTGTTATTTGTGGGTTGGTGTTTTGTGTTTTGTGTGTTTTTTTTTTTTTTTTTTGGTCAAATAGCTTTAATAGACTCTCACATGAGCCTGAGCCCACGGCTGTGAAGCAAATCGCAAGCAGCCTCACAGATGAGGGCCCAGGGGTCTTGCTGCCTGGAGTTGCTTCTCCGGTCCAGCAAGCCTGCTCTCCTCCTGCTGCAGCTCCAGGTAGCGAGGAGCAGCATGGATTTTAAAGACATGTTAAGAGGAAGACAGACAAGGAAGAAAGAAGAAGGCAAGGGAGGAAAGAGGGCATGCTTGGCAGAAGGACAAGCACAAGGGACGACTTTGGTTCCTGGGGAACAAATGAGAGGGGGCAGGTGGGAAGGCCAGCATCACTTAGCTGTGTTAGTCCTGGGCTAAGGTCCTGGAAGGAGATGGATTCCTGGGCCAGCGAGGGAAGGTGATCTGGAGCGGGGCCTGGAGGAGACTGCAGGAGCAGAATGGGAGAAATTGTGCAGAAATCCCAGGACCTGGGTGACCCAGCTTTCTCCACTGCCCGGTGAGCAGGCACAGCTAACACTCCCAAGACTGAATCCCAGACAAGGACATTGTGTCCTGCTGGAAGCCCAGGGGGCATAGTTTTTCTGCTGGGTGAGAATTAAGGACCTCGTGCTTTTGCATGAAGTTACTTAGTTAGTTAGGTTAGGGACTCCCCAGGCATATTTTTTAAGTGATTGAATTTTACACCCCAAATCTAGATTTATATAAAATTTGTCAGGACCACGAGAGGAATCCTGGAACAACACCCCCTGTGTCATGACTCACACTCATAGTTTTGCACATGCCTGATGGATCTTAGACATCAAATCCTCTGGAAATCCCTCAGTAAATGTAAACAAACCTCAGTGCACAGCCAGGGCAAGGGGCCCATCCTGCCTGTCTGTGTCCTGGCAAGCCTCTGAGCCCACAGGCTGTTGCTCCCACACAGGCACGTCCTCTTCCCTCAGGAGTCCTGGGCTCAGAAGCAGCAGCCCAGGCGTCCCAGTTGTGAACACCCAGAGCAGGAAGAAGGTCCCAGAGCTTTCCAGGGCCTCCTTCTCTGGCTCATGTGTTCTCTGGAAATCCTCAGCCAAACCCAGGCTCAAGATGCCCCTCTCTGGGGAATGGACAGAGAAAGGGCAGGGACTGTGCTTGCCAAGGCTTCCATTGTGCCTTAGCACCAAGAATGGGCACAAGGCAATGGGGGAGATGGAATAAGAGAGGGCACAAGAAGGAGGGAGGTGGGGAAAAAATGAATTTGTTATCAGCAGGGACTCTGGCAGACACCTTGGCCCCACACTTGAGAAAGTATTAAATCCCAACATTGAGACCTGGATTTCAGTGCTTTGACATTCACCCTGAGGGAGGAACCCAGCAAAGCTATGATTGCCAACAGCACCCCTCAAGGGCTATTCCTCCAAATTTCTATGAGACCTTGAACCCTCAAACCACCTTCCCCAGTCTCGGTCTCCTCATCTGTAAAAAGGACTCTGCCTTTACTGTGACGCTGAGGGAATGTGGGGCACCTGCATGGGTGACTGGCCCAGCACATCCTCAGAAAGGTGGCCACAGGGTGCCACGGCTACTTTCCATGGAATATGGGAGTCAGGGCCACAGGGGTCCCATCTTCTTCCCATTTAGATGGCGCCAGACTCCTCTGACAAGAGCAGGTCATTACTGAGGTGCAGTTTCCTTCTTATCTGGGGCTGCTTTGCAGAGTTGGCTATTATCCAAGATCCCAAATGATAAAAGCAAATGACTGGCAAGCTCAGAAGCAGCCCTGGCTCTGCTGCCTTCATCTACTTCTGTTTCCACAGCCTCAGGGATTGAAAGGTGAATTTAATGCAGGAGAAACTGAAGAGTCTACTTTTTGTCAGAATAATAGTTACTTCACCAGGACCAAATTAATTACTTTTTTGTTGTTATGGATATAGGTGCAATTAGGTAACTATACATATGTAATACTAATGAATCATTAGCATATCATAAATAATTTAGTTGATAAACTGTTTCAACCACCACTCTCCATAGATCATGGAAACCCACAATGTACTGTGAGGCAGTTTGTTAGCCCGCCTGCTAGGAAGTCTGGATTTCAATTATCTACATGTAAAACCCAGGCTTTCCCTTGGAGAAGAGCAAAATCAAAGCCCTTAGGTAATTTTATAAGGCATTTATGAATGTTACAAAAGCATGGGAAATTAAT
Source organism: Homo sapiens (assembly GCF_000001405.40). Taxonomy (NCBI): domain Eukaryota; kingdom Metazoa; phylum Chordata; class Mammalia; order Primates; family Hominidae; genus Homo; species Homo sapiens. Next base: position 45,895,802 of record NC_000003.12, on the reverse strand, counting down.
TTGATTCTACACTTAATTACATTCGGCTGTAAAAGAAAAAAAGATTCTCTGGATTATGATTTGACTCACTGATTTTTTTTTTTTTTTTTAAGACAGAGTCTCGCTCTGTTGCCCAGGCTGGAGTGCAATGGCGTGATCTTGGCTCACTGCAACCTCCACCTCCCAGGCTCAAGCGACTCTCGTGCCTCAGCCTCCCACGTAGCTGGGATTACATGCGCATGCCACCACACCTAGCTATTTTTGTATTTTTAGTAGAGATGGGGTTTTGCCATGTTGGGCAGGCTGGTCTTGAAATCCTGGCCTTGGCCAGGTGATCCGCCCGCCTCTGCCTCCCAAAGTGCTGGGATTACAGGCGTGAGCTACCACGCCCAGACTGACTCACTAATTTTTGCTCAGCTCTTGGTCTCTTTCAGGGGAATGTATACTGTTACGTGTTTTCATAAGGTCTACATAATGTTATGCAAGAAATACAACTAATGTGCCCACCATGGGTTTTTTAAAAGCAAATTACATGAATTCTCCCTTTGCCTCATTTGTCTGAGTTTTAGAACAGGCATATGGAACTAAGCACACCCTAGTTAAAGATGGTTAAAAATCCTTAGCTGTTTATAACACCACATTTTCCTCTGTCTCCACAACATACCCCAAAGCATAGCTGCCTCTTTGCATTTGCAAAACCCTCTGTGCTGGACAACAACCTACCCAGCAATGCGCATTGCCAGGCAGAGATCTTACCCTGGGAAACCACACAGATAAATCCTTCCCCCACAGTGGATCCTTCCCACACCCCCTAAAAAGGGAAGATGAGTGTGTGTTTTGAGGAGCCAGAGGAGCACGGCTGTACTCACTGTGAAGTCTGTGGGTGTCATGGTGGGTCAGTCAGATGCAAGCCTGCTCCTGGAAAAGGGACAAAAATCAAAAAGTGGACTGGCTTGTAAACGAATAGTAACAACCAAATGCCAAAAAGATGGAGATTAAATTTTAAATCTGCTTATTCTTCTGAAAAAAATATTCCAAGCAGGAGTTAGAGTCTATATAGTATTCTAGATTTCAGAATCATCTGAGTAGTCCACACAGAAATGAATGAACCTCTCCTTTGAAGTTATCATTCACTTCTTTGACTCTGAGGGTCACCTGATTCTAGCATTTGTTTTCTTTCTACTTAGACAATAATTAGTACATCTCCCATCCACAAATGAGGAATGGCAGGTGGGCTGTTACATTTTTCCCAGCTCATCCTTTCTACATTAGCTCCCTTTCCCTTGATTCAGCTTGTCTGTCAAGTCCTGTTTTGCTGACTGGTTCCCCTTCCCCCTGCTCTATCAGCTAAGGGACTCACCGAAGCTAACAGGACAGTGGTCGCTTTGAGAATGCCCTGGGCTCTGGACTCCCCAGGAAAAGGGCCTTTGAGTAACCAGGTGGCAAGAAGAACATGAGGGCTGGGTGGTGCCCACTGGGGTTGGGGCCCCTCCCTAAAAGACCCGGTGCCCCCAGAACCCACCTTTCTCCTCTTTACCCTGACTTCAGCAGGAAAAGGAAGTCCTAGGTTTGTGTACTGAAGAAAATGAGTTCTAGTTCCCTAATGCACAGGGCCTCGGAACTGACTGAAATAAATCTCGAGTTGTCATTTTCATGTGTTTTGAATTTCTTTAAAGCCCACCCCTACATAACCAAAGAAACAACAGCTTGACTGCCTTCGAGGACGAAGTCTGTGCCTGAGCTGGGGCATTTCCTTTTATACCCTTAGCGAGTACATTTCAAGGAAACCTGTCCAGCATCACACCCCAAGGTTCTCGAAAAAAATAGCCTCTTTCATAAATCCTATAAAGCCAACCTGTTGGCTTCCTTTCCATAACAACATCATGACCCCACCCTGCTTTTCTGAAAGTACAGTGGTTTCCAATGCATAATGTGTGGTAAAACCACTTTGGAAAACTGGCAGTTTCTTAAGACGTTATACATGCACTCACCATGTGATCCAGTCATCCCACTCCTAAGTATTCACCCAAGAAAATTGTAAGTATATGTCCCCATAAAGACTAGTATGTGAGTGTTTATTACAGCTTTACTCTGTGGTAGGCAAAAACTGCTAACAGCCTAAATGTCCATCAAGTAGTAAATGGATAAGTTAACTGTGAAATATCCGTCCAATGGAATAGGGAATGAATGACCGATTCACACAGCAACATGGACAAGTCTCCAAACAATTATGCCAAGTAGCCAGACCAAAGGGAGTTCATACTGTATGATTTCACTTGTATAAAACTCTAAATAATGCAAACTAATCTATACTGACGGAAAGCAGAATCACTGATGTCCTGGCAATAGAGAGAGAGAGAAGGGGAGGTGGCTGGGCATGGTGGCTTACGCCTATAATCCCAGCACTTTGGGAGGCCAAGGTGGGTAGATCACCTGAGGTTGGGAGTTCGAGACCAGTCTGGCCAACATGGTGAAACCCCATTTCTATAAAAATACAAAAAATTAGCCAGGTGTGGTGGTGTGCGCCTGTAGTCTCAGCTACTCAGGAGGCTGAGGCAGGAGGATCACTTGAACCTGGGAGGCAGAGGTTGCAGTGAGCCAAGATTGCACCACTGCACTCCAGCCTGGGTGACAGAGCAAGACTCCATCTCAAACAAAAAAAAAAAGAGAGAGAGAGAGAGGGAAGGGGAGTGTGGGAGGGCAGGAGGGCAGGTGGGTACAAAGGAAACCTCAGTGGGGGATAAATATGTTCACTGTCTGGGTTGTGTGAGAGCTTCGCAAGGGTGTATGTACGTCAGAACTTACATTCTGCATTTTAATATTTGCAGTTTATTATAATTGGACCTCAATAAAGCTGTTCAAGTAAGGCAGGAAAAAGCAAAGTACGATGAAAACCTTCTGGCACTTCACTTCTCAGTGTCATCTCCGGCTGTCAGCAGGCCCTGAGGAGGAAAGCAACCAGAACTTCCTCCTGGTAACCTCTCTGCTGGTAGCTTTTCAAAAGTGCACTGGAGTGCCTTGTGCTGTTGTAGCCAACTTGAGAGATCACTACGGACCCACGTGGGTTTTTTTTGTTTTGGTTTGTTTTTGTGGGTTTTTTCCTTTTATTTTAGCTTCAGGGGTATATGTGCAGGTTTGTCATATAGGTAAATTGCGCGTCATGGGGGCTTGGTGTATAGATTATTTCGCCACCCAGGTTAATAAGCATAGTACCTGACTGGTAGATAGTTTTTTTATCCTCACCCTCCTACCTCCCTCCATCCTCAAGGGGGTCCCAGTGTCTGTTATTCCCTTTTTTGTGTCCATATGTACTCAACATTTAGCTCCCATTTATAAATGAGAACATGTGACATTTGTTTTTCTGTTCTGTGTTAATTCACTTAGGATAATGGCCTCCAGTTCCATCCATGTTGCTTCAAAGGACAGGATCTTGTTCTTTTTTATGGCTGTGTAGTATTCCATGATGTATATGTACCACATTTTCCTTATCCAGTCTATCGTTGATGAACATTTAGGTTGATTCCATGTTTTTGCTATTGTGAATAGTGTTGGAATGAACATACATGTTCACATGTCTTTATACCCATATGTTTTTAAGATTAAATTAGATAGATAGATAGACAATTTGTATATGTATATGTATGTGTGTTTCACATACATATTTCCTGTCTCTGTCTGCTGAGAGGACCTAAAAGCAATGATACACAGCATAATTAGCACCTAGTGCCCTGATCTTGGAATCTAAATATCTTTCTCCACTAAACAGCCAGGGCTCCTTGGAGACATGTAACTACATGTTGATGGTGTTGGATTTGAAGACCAGCTAAGTTGGTCTTCAAACCCCATACCACCAACATGGAAGCAAACCAGTGTCACATTTGTCCTAAAGAGTTGAGGAGGGAAGACACATCATCTTTATTCCTGGAAAAAAGGTCAACCTAAATCAAAGAATGAGGAAGCATCAGAAAAACGCAAAATGAAGGACTTTCTGCAAAGTAATTGGCCAAATATCAAGGTCAAGTGAGACAAAGAAAAACTGAGAAACCATCTCAGGTTGAAGGAGACTAAAGAGACAGGACAAGTAGATGCAAGGCAAGAACCTGGATTTGGTCCTGGAGTGGGGAAAAAAAATAATTGTGAAGGACATTACTGGGAAATTAAGGGCATTACAATAGGTGCTGTGAATTCGATGATAGTGCTGCATCCGGATTAAATTTCCTGATTTTGCTGACTGCATTGTGGTTTTACAGGAGAATGCCCCTGTTCTTAGGAATTATCCCCTGAAGTATTTAGGGGCAAAAGAGAACAGTGTCTTTGGCATATTCTCAAAGGATTCAAAAAATAAGCAAAAAATGCAAAAAATTAATGAAAACATATGTATATAGAGAGAAGGAGAATAATAAAGCCAGTAGGACAAAATGAAAACAATGGTTTGGGTGAAGGGTTTATAAGCATTCTTTACACAATTTTTCACTTTTCAGTGAGCTTGAAATTAGATACAAGTAAGACTCACAATAAATTTTTAGAAGAGAAAAAAATATTTTGGCAATTGACCCTAAGACACAAGAAAGCCTGGAACAGGACTGTGTCTGAAATAAAAATGAGTAGCCCCAGCCTCCGGCCGTGACCTTACCCAGCCACCTGGGCATTCACCGAATTTCACTGCAGCCCTCTGGGGGCCAGGAAAACACTGACATTTATCTGAAAAATGACTTTTTTTGTTACAAAAGTAACACACGTGTTTGCAGGAAATTTGACAAATACAGAAAAGCCGAGAGGAGAAAATCAAAATCACCCGTAATCTTCCTACCCTAAAATAACCACTTTTAACTTTCTGTTGTTTTCCCTCCCAGCCGTGTTTCTATGCATTCGTACACTTTGAACTTTTATTTTCTTTTTCCCACCTAACGGATTATGAACATTTCTTTCATCATTAAACATTCTTCAGACAGGTGAAGGCATCAGCTACCTGGCATTCCGACAGGGGCTGTGCCCCAATTCATTTAAACATTCCCCTCTGTGGGGCAATTCACCTGCTTCTAACTTCTTTTTATAGTTATTTTGAAATATTTCTCAGGTGAATGAAAGATGCATTTTCTTCAGAAAGGTTGTATTCTGCCCCTTTCCTCCTAAGCCGAAGAACCAAGAACTTTCCCCAGGCAGTATTTCTGAACGGTTCTGACATCTTCAGCTCTGTGGAGTGATTGCTTCCTGCTTGGCATGACTCCAGGTGCCATCAAGAAGCCCAGTGAGCCTCTGTTTTGAAATAAGAAACTCACCCAGCAAGCAGAAAAGCAGCCACTTTGGAGCTGAGCATTACTCTTCTTTTTTTTGCCCCAGATGAAAAATGCCCAGTTGAGTTTGGAAGACCTCAACTCAGCAAATTTTATTTTATTACAGCTTGGGGAATACGGAGGTTGATTTTTGAGATATCAATTAGAAAACACTTTATATATGTTATATATATATATATGTTATATATATATGTTATATATATATTTATATAAATATATATATATGTTATATATATATTTATATAAATATATATATATGTTATATATATATTTCTAATACCCAGGGCTTATGTCACCTCCTTTTTGCTTGCATGAAAGGACTGAATATTAATCATGTAATACCTGAGAAAAATTCCCAAAGAAAGAAACCACAAAAAGAAGAAAGAATGGCTTTGTTATAGTGAGTGACAGCAAGTTTCAGATTGGAAATAGCAATAGATGGTAACGACATTGGTAAGAGTTTGGAAAAAAGGCCTCCACACTGCTGTGAGGAGTATAAATTTATGTGATCTTTTTGGAGGGTTAAGCCATATCTGTCAAAATTTACAAAGCACAACATCTCTGACTCTGCAGCGCATCTGCTTGGAATTTGCCCTACTGGTATTCTCACAAAAGAACACAAGGGTCCAGGTATAGGGATATATGTTGGAGCAGAACAAAAATTGGAAAACAACTTAAATATTCAGCAATTGGTAATATTATGACACATCAATCCAATAAACCATGTGTAGCCAATAAACAAGGATGGTCCTCATGCTGATAGAAAAGAGGTCCTCAAGACTATAAGATTAAAATGCAACATGTAGGAAGACTTATGTTGTGTGATCTTTAAAAAAAAAAAAATAGAAAAAGACATACACTGCACTGCTCACCAGCACCGAAACATTTTCTGGAAGGAGACTGAACCACTGTGACCAGTGGAAAATGAACTTTCATGTTTTCATTTAGATTTTGCAAACTATTTAAATATCTTACCAAGTGTGTAAAATTTTATTTTAAGAGCTGTCATAAAAATAACTTGTCAGATTTAAAAAAAAAAGAAGAAGAAGCCCAATGCTCTAACGTTCAGCACACCTGTTTACAAAACTCATCTAGAGGAGGAACTTGTAGCCTGCTCCAGCTACCGCAGAAAGAGCAAGTCTAGTAATTACATTCACCGAGGCTACTTTATGCAACTAAGTTGTACACTAGCTTTCTATAAAGGTTTCTCTTTATTTTTTTTTTTAAAGGTAATATATAAACACAAGCCAGGCAAGATGGCTCATGCCTGTAATTCCAACACTTTGGGAGGCTGAGGTGGGAGCATCACTTGAGGCCAGGAATTTGAGATCAGCCTGGGCAACAGAGCAAGACCCCATCTCTACAAAAAATTTAAAAATATGCCAGGCATGGTTGCCTACCCTGTAGTCCCAGCTACTCAGCTGGCTGACGCAGGACAATCGCTTGAACCCAGGAGTTCAAGGCTGAAGTGAGCTAACATTGCACTGCTGCACTGCAGCCTGAGTGACAGAGCAAGACCCTGTCTCTAAAATAAATAAACAAATAGTATATATCATGTAATATATTATGGTGTATAATAGAATGTAATATATTACAGTTTATAAAATATGCATCTGCTTCTGGCTCATAGAAAATTTGGAGAGAGCCAAAGAGTAAAAACAGGACATACCCCTCCCTAGAGCCCACATCTAGAACCTCCACAGACAGCCTTGCCATCTATTTCTCTTTCATTTTTGTCAGAATACTTCTCAAATATTTTATTCTCCCAGCTACTAAGTCTCAGTGCTTGCTTTCATTTTTGTCTTGCCAGTGAGAAAGCGGGAAAAATATAGGGGGGAAAATCCCACATATGACCAAACATACTGAGAGTGAGGACCATCTCAGCGGTCTGTCGGGAGTGGATGGGCAGTTGACTCAGCACTGTGGCAAATCTCTCCCTTGCTGCTCAGTGAGGCCTTGTTGCAGGTGCCATGGGCCATCCATCGAACCCACTTATTCAATGTGCCTTGAGTACCTGATACATTTATTTGGCTTAAACAATGTGTAAGACATGATCCATGTCCTCAAGAAGCTTGCATTCAAATACACTGAGTAAGTCATGGCTGCAAATAACAACAAAGGGAAAGTGCTATGAGTTGTGGTAGGAATTGGAAGAAGGAGGTCATGTCTTTAGCTCTGGGGAGAATCCAGGAGGGCTTCATTGAAGAGGTGACATTTTTGCGGGTCCTTGAAGGCCGAAGAGCATGGAGACATGCAACGAGGGGAGGGAACATTGCTCCAGGGTGGGAAAACATATGCACTAAGGCATGAAAGTCAGAAAGCATGGGGTATGTGCAGGGACCTGGGAGATAAAGGAAGGGAGAGAGCTGCTAATTCTCCAAAAGAGAAAAGTGCCTATTAGAAAAGTTAGCTTGGAACCTATTATTATCCAATCACTATTTTTGTATTCTCTAACATTCTTACGTAGCCAACATGAAAATCAGCATGGGGTTATTGTGCACACAGCATCTCCCCACACTTATAGCCTCTGATGCTTACAGCACTAACATCAAATCAGATACTAACATGAGTCAGGAATGCAGGTCCTTACTTTGAACTTTGTACAATTTGCTACACGGAGCTTGAATCATCTCTTACATTTTTTCATAGCTCTGCTTTTTGTTCCCTACACGAGGCAGGGTCTCTGAGCCATCTATCAGATCCATCCACTCACCATGCCTGGATCAGATGCCTGCCAACCGCCCAGCAGGGGCTGCACAGGGCCCAGGGGCTCCCAACACAAGCCTGTGAGTGAGGCCTACACAAAGAGGCTTCAGAACAGATAAGCAGATATTGGAAGAAAAGGACTCCGAAATTCCAGATGCTGAAATAGTAAATTAGCTTTTGCTCGTTCAGGAAAGGGAGTAAGGAGATGGGATCCCACAGACTGGCTGCTGCACAGCCCTTCCGGTTCAGCACACAGTGACCACTCTCTGGATGGACTTGCCAGCCGTCTATGGAGTAACAGCTAATTCAGAACTAAAGAGGGTAGGTGTGTTTGAAAAGGCAAACCAGCATCCACTGATGAGTCATTTAAAATAACTTTTTGCTTTACTCTGATCATAAAGGAGTATTTTTACAATGCACAAAAAATCCCCAAAATGCCAACATACATAATATAGAAAATAAAAACTCCTGAAGCACCCTTTCCTAGTTTAGCCATTGTTAAGTTTCTGAGATACTTCCTTTCTGACTTTTTCTCTGTAACACAACCTCACACACACACACACACACACACAGACACACACGCACTTAATAGAAAGGAAATCAGACTACACATATAATCTTCTATCTTGCTTTCTAATTGCCCATCTTTCATGGATCACCTTCCATGCCAATTCAACATAGAACCGTATCATAGAATTGGATGGCTGCTGTGTATTCCATTGTCTAGATACATCACAATTCATTTAACCATTCGCCTCCTGATGCATAGTTTCCTTGTTTCCAGTTTTTCACTGCTACAAAGAATCCTTTCCATGGGGCAGTGTCTCAGACTCAAGGACCTCATGGGTGTGTCCTTTACCCCTGGCCACCATCTTGTCCCCCAGCACCTGCTTCTCCTTCCTTTAAGGTATAAATCACAGACTGCCTTAAGCCTAAGCTTCATGTATGTGAAGGGGGAGGGAGTTTTATTACTCGCCCTACAAGAAACCTGGGTTGGGCATCACCAATTCCCATTTACCTTCCTGGAAGTTTCTAGAAAAGTGCCTGGTGCCCATGACCTCTGAACAAATGAGTGCAAGCCCAGGTTTTAGAAGCCATCATAGCAGCACACAACTGAGGGCCAAGATGACACTGGGTTGGGGGCAACAAGAAGAAGAGCAATACTCACTGTGGAGGGCGATGCAACTCTCCCTGGGACAGCAGGCACCACCAGCTCTCAGTGTCTGGGGAAAGAGCTGGGTTGCTCTCTGCCTGGGATGAGGGGCAGGCTTTGTGGGTTCTGAGCAGGCAGCTACCCGATAACAACACGAGAAAGGAAGCCAGGCCACCCCTGCCTGTGTTGTCACTGGTGGGGTAGCCCAAGAGGGTGGGGAGTCACCTGTGTAGCTTCCAGCAATCAGCGGAGTCAATCATTTGCAACCAGAAACAAAAAGCTGAAAACTGCTGGGATAAGGGGAAACTGTCTCATCTGAAGACGCACATACAGACTGATGATCTAAGAGCAAATTCTCTTCCTAGACAGCACAGCTGCTTACAGGGAATGGGGAAATTGGAGGATCCCATCGAGAGAAGTCAGCCTTGTCAGGCTTGCCAGAGGTGCACACTGATGAGATTTCTTTAGGTGGTGTCACCTGAGCAGGCCTGTATCAGATTACCACCCAGTGGCAGATGTAGCACTATCCATCGCAACATACCTTTTCTGGCCTTGACAGACGTACCAGAACCCGGAGGGCTGTGCTATCCAACACAGTAGCTACTAGGCAGATGTGCCTATTTAAATTCAAATTAATTAAAATGCTAACTAGGGCCAGTGCAGTGGCTCACCTCTGTAGTCCCAGCACTCTGAGAGACTGAGGCGGGCAGATCACTAGGCAGAGCCTAGGAGTTCAAGAACAGCCTGGACAACATGGTGAAACCTCATCTCTACAAAACACACAAAAACAATTAGGCAGGCATGGTGGCCCATGCCTGTAGTCCCAGATACTCAGGGAAGCTGAGGTGGAAGGATCAGGAGGCAGAGGTTGTAGTGAGCCAAGATTGCACCACTGCACTCCACCCTGGGCAACAGACTGAGACCCTGTATCAAAAAAGAAAAATGTTTTAAGTGTTAACTAGTTTCTCAGTCATGCCAGGTACATTTCAAGTGCTCAATAGCCACATGCAGCTAGTGGCTATCCCAATGGACAATGCAGATACAGAACCTGTCCATCGTCGCCAACAGTGCTATTGAAAGGCACTGCTTTAGAAAGTCTGCCTGTGAGATGTAGCTAGGAACACATGGAGTGCTGGAAAGCCACAGACACCTTCAAATTGGGGCAAATCTAGTAAGGTTTTGCACATCAGATACATTAACAAAGATAATACAATAAATTGTATTAATTACAGGTGTTTTGGTAAAACTTTGAAAAAAGCTAAATATACAAAATATTGCATTTTTAATGAAGATCACAGACGAAGTCTTCCCATCCACTGCTACAGTGGGGACTTCAATCCTGATGTGATTAATGATTTCCTGTCATTGTTATGACAAAGATCCCTTTTATATATTTGTTCTGGGGGAAAATCATGACTACACTCTTGTGGATGTTAATTTCCACCTCTTGGTGTATTGATTGTCCCGAGGACTCAATGCCGCTCTGTCATGGCGTGGTACTCCCAGGCGCATGTCCCCTTCATCACCCTCAGTTCCCGTAGAGCAAAGGGATGCAGAAGGTGCACTTGGGTTTATTGTCTAAATGGAAAAAGGCCAACAAATAGGTCATCTGAAAGGTAGAGGGCATGCACAGTAAGAACGAAAGAGGTGTCTGATTCATCAGCCTTAAGGAACGGCGGTGCGAGGGAGCCGTGAAATTCCCTTCCCTCGGCGGGCGCTCATTGCAAATAAATGGTGTCTGAAACTATACATAGCTGAGAACCAGCCAGATGCTCTGGCATCTCACTCCTCCCTCTCACTTGGCAAATAAAGACACAAAAGGAACTGGTGCTAGAGGGAAGAAGATGTTCCCTTACTTGACTTTCTTGGCTGAATTTGTTTCTCCCCCGTGTTTGATTGCGTCCTTGGAAAGCTTGCAGCGAGGTGAGACACGCACTATTGCAATTGCCATGGGTGAGGAAAAGCCTGTGCTTCTCCCTTCTCTTGACTCAGGCTGTTTCCTCATCAGGTAAGAGCATACAAGGTAGACACTGCTTGCCCCTAGACGTTGGAGTGAGTCTCGGGGGAGGAAGGAAGGTGAGGCTGGCCGTCAGGGAAGAGGAGAAGGGGTAAATGCACCGGTGTGGGAAGATTCCCTCCTCTGCACGGGTCCCCGTGGTCCAGGTGAGGTGGGGAAGCTTAGGTAGGTTCTTCCATCCAGGTCTGGAAGAGCTGCTCTAGAGCACTCACATGCCCTCTCCTGGGATGCAGAGAGGATCATGAGGCTGGGGAGAAGGGAAGACGCAAGGAAGTCATAGAGAGAACTTCCGCTTTCTCAAAGGAGCTTGTGCAAATGTGACTCCCTTTGCTGCAATCTAGTTTAGGTCCATTCCTGAAAAAAGCCCTATCCTCTTGTTTTCTTTGCTGTGTTTCTTTCTTTGCAACTAGAATTCAGAGCTGGGTGACTATAAAAGGTTGCTGGTCCCCTTTTCTAAGGGCTATTTCTCTCTTGCATTCTCACCCTGCCAAAGGTGAGTTCTGGAGGACAGGGCACTATAAGCATACTCTGAGGGAAGAGATGGAGGTTCTCTAGAGGCTGAGTGCCCTCTGTGGTGCCCAAGGAGGCTGAGCTCTGTTCCTGCGAGCCCCAGTTGTCAGACCTGCTCAGATCTCAGGATTTCTTCAGGACCCAACCTACCCCAGAATGGCGTGGAGTGCAGCACATTCATTTGTCACTGAGCCACCTTTCTGGTTCCAAGGCTGCATCTGTCCACTGGACTAGTGAGAGGATTGTCAGTGTTTTGCTCCTGGGCCTGCTTCTAGCTGCTTAACTGAATCCTTGCTCTGTGATGGCCTACTCCGTGGCTGCAACTCTCACTCTTCATGGTCTTGGGGCCTTGGACAAGTTGTTCCTGACTGTGTTCATGGGGATGCATTGCAGAAAGCTGCCAAGGCAGGCCTTTTGGCACTTTCAGCTTTAGCCTTTTCTGGGCTTTGCTCTTTCAACTATCATGATGTGGGCATCTGCAAAGATACTGCCACATTGTAGAAGCGCTGACCTTTTTGACTTATACTTTGAAGAATTAATGCATGCCTCTTTGCCTTCACTTTGTCACGCCATTCAACTCACAATAAGGAAGAAATAACAGATAAATCCATTGGTGGACAGCCATCTTCTCTTAATCACCAGACTATTTTCAGAATTTAAGCTTTGAGGAAAAGGTTTGAGAAGAATTATGTCCAAGAAATTGTGAGACTGAGGTCTGTATTCTGGTGAGTTAACGGGGTTGCCTCCCAGCTTCTTATAAGACTCACATATAACTCAACATGATATATGAGCTTTTGCCTTTGAATTTATCAATCTCTTAAAGAGAATCCAGCTTTATTACTATTACTACATGATCAAATTTCTTCTGTACTTGCCTTGGGAATAATGGGCAAAGAGAAATACTGTTAATTCATGAATAAAAACTTTGCAGAAAATGAGACCGTGTTTAATTTTCAAAAACTTCCCTCTCTATTCAGTAGACACCAGCTACTGATGGTTACATATTCTAGGGGAAGTTGAAAATTAGGAAATGCTGATATCTCACATTATGAATTTCTAAATCCTAGGAAGAAAAGCTTGGAATGCTTCTGAGTATAGCAAAGTTCTGTTTAAGGGCAAGGTCCCCCTTGTAGAAGTATCAAAATATTACAAATTCTAAACTGAGACTTCATTCTCAAATGTGTTTTACTTGTTCTAAAACGATCTGTCCACAAATATAGAACTATAAGTAATAAACTGTTATTTTCCCACTAGAGGAATCTCTAATACAAAAATGCATTCTATGAAAAGAAATTTTTAAAAAAATGTTAATAATAATAATAATAATAATAATAATAATAATAATAGTATCCCCTTTGGGTTATGGACCAAGTGCTGTACCTGGCAACTGAAGAGCATTTCAGGAATAACTGTGGACTAGAAACAGCAATCCACAACGCTGATACCTGTAACAGAGAAAAGACCCAAGCTGACTTTGTTGCAGGGGCCAACAGGAGTGCTGAGTCTGTTCATTACAATATATGATCAAGTCGGTTACCTCTTGTTCATTCCAATATACCAAGTATCTAGCACAGTCTCTGGCACAGAAAAAATTAATTTTACTTCAGTCCTCTACTTTTTAGGTTCCCCAAATTGAAAACTACTATAGATTTGTAATCTTGTTCTCCTCCTTCCTTAGCCTCCTGTACATACTGGGAAAGTCATATTTCAAAAGCATATTGGGGTCTTTGGAAGAGGACAATGCTGTCTTTCTACTTTTCATTGATTAACGCCTTATCTTGACTTGGAAAGCCAAAGTGTCTGGAGGCAGTTAGTAGTTGGTGGTGACATTATGATCAGTGCAGGTAAAAAGAGTCCTAGGTCCAAATTTCCAAGGAATAAAGTCTGCAAGGACCCTTTTTTCCCCACTAATCCATGAGGAAAGGGACTATGTGGATACTGGCCATGGTTGAAGCCCAGCAGCACATTCTAGGAGAATATTAAACATCTTCTGACTAAATTAATGCAAAAAATTCACCTGATATAAGTCTTGAGGATCTAGAATAGAGCCATCTAATAGCACTTTCTGCAATGTGGAAATATTCTATAGCTATCTGTCCAGTGTGTGGCCACATATAGCTAGTGAACATGACACTGTGGTTAGTGTGATCTTTTTAAAATCGTTATTTAATTGGAATTAGCTTAAATGGAAATGTAAACAGCCAACATGGCCAGTGGCCACCCTAGTGGATTGTACAGGTCCAGACCAACCTGCTATTCAGCAGCTAATATTTCTACCTCGGCTCTAGCCTTAGATAGCTCACATTATGATGCAAGCCAGGGCAGCTGGCCTGTGGCAGACTCACTCCCTTCTGCAAGGGGGTGAAGGGTGTGAGGCTGAGCTCTTCCTTCCCCAGTAGCACTCAAGCCAGGGCAGGCTTTAGCTATACTGGTTTTCTAGAATACCTGTAGATACTTTTAAGGGCAAGGTCCCTTAAAAGTATTTTTACACATTCTTCGTGTGTCGCAGTTAGTAATCAAAACCCTTAAAGGACAGGAATGAGGAGAAAGTAGTCATTTTTGCTAAATTCAGTTACCATGAATAGCCCTTGAAGGTCGCGGTGTCAGCTAGGAGGCAATTCTCAGAGAGTGAGAGAGAGAGAGGAGGAGGGGGCCCGCACCCTGCAGCAGCAGCAGGAATGGGAGGGACAGGACAGACATGGCCAAGTGCCCCTCAGGAGCTGCCAAATGATGAGATGTTGCAGGAGGAAGAGAACAAAACCAGTTGGAGGCTGTGGGAAGACTTGGGTATCTTTAACTGAGCAAGTGTGTGGGAGGAAATGTTGGTTTTGGCAGATAGTGATGCATGTAGCACTGGATGTGATATGGCTGAGGTGTTGAAGTGAAGGTGTCTAGCAGGTCGTTAGATATTCCCCACTGCAGCTCAGAGGGGAGGTCAAGAGTTCAGTGGTGTGGCTGCCAAGCTGCTGCAGAATACAAGCTGTTTATAAGGGAAATATGTGTCATCCTCAACTCCTGAGGTTTTGTGCTTGCAGCACCTGAGTCATGAGACCAGTCAGAGGATTTTTTATTTTTATTTGTCTCATCTATTAATGATAAAAATCATCCCTTCTGCCCTCACACGCATTATCTCATTGGAAGATCTCATTGGAATCCTTCATTCAACATGTACTTGTCAAGCTCCTACTATTTGCTGTCACTGTTCTAAGAGGTTGGATGTAGCAGTCAGCAAGACAGAGCACATTAAATAGCGACAAATGCCATGCAGAGAATCAGTACAGACAGAGGTGATGGAGGGAGTGGCGTGGGAAGGGGGCCCTCACACTGGATGGTCTGGGAAAGGCCCACTACAGTAGTGACACTTAAGGCCTGAGTGACAAGAAGTTCCCATCAATGTGAAGATTGGAGCAGCCATTATCAGCAGAGGGAACAGTTGGCAGGAAGAATTTGACGTGTCCAAGGATGAGAAAGACCAACAGGCAGGAGGACAGCTTGCAGTGAGGGGCGGCCAGATAATTTGGAGGGGCACGAGCATGTTGGGCTTTGAGGCTGGGCCAGTAGTTTTCACCTGATGCCAGGTGTACAGAAAGCTACCCAAAGGACTTATATAGGTGATAACACGATCCGATTTCCTTTTTTTTTGAGATGGAGTCTTGCTCTGTCGCCCAGGCTGGAGTGCAGTGGCGTGATCTCGGCTCACTGCAACCTCCACCTCCTGGGTTCAAGTGATTCTCCTGTCTCAGCTTCCTGAGTAGCTGGGATTACAGGTGCCCATCACCACGCCCAGCTAATTTTTGTATTTTTAGTAGAGATGGGGTTTTAGCATGTGGGCCAGGCTGGTTTCAAACTCCTGACCTCGTGATCCGCCTACCTCGGCCTCCCAAAGTGCTGGGATTGCAGGCCTGAGCTACCTCGCCTAGCCTGATTTCCATTTTTAACAGATCACTGATTGCTGCATGGGAAACAACAAAAAAACAGCAAAACCTTTGGTTCTGCAGGCACCAGAACCAAACGTCTAAATGAGAGCCTTGCCTTGGCTGGGCTGGCCTAGGCCACCGCAGGATCCACCCTCAGCTCTGCCTGTCACTGTCCCTTCTCTGGACCTCTGCCTGTACGGAGGCATCATGGTAGATTCAGGGTGCTTACATCCCTCCCTCCTGCCACCCCTGATGGAAGGAGGACACACACACTAAACGTCACCCAGGGAACATTTCTAGTGATGACCATCATTATTCACTGAGAAGTGCTTATGGGTTTTTTTAAATACATATTTTTATCATTAATTCCAGTTAATAATGTTGGGTTTTTTAAATAGGCTTTGTTTTTTAGAGCAGTTTTAGGTTCACAGCAAAATTGTGCAGAAGGTACAGAGAGTTCCTATATACCCGCTCCCGCAGCACATGTGCCACCTTCCCACTATCAACATCCTGCATCAGAGTGGCACATTTGTTATAATCAGTTCATCTACACTCATACATCACTATCACCCAAAGTAGTTTACTTTAGGTTTCACTCTTTGTATTGAACACTCTGTGGGTTTGGACAAATGTATGACATGTATCCACCATTAAAATAACATACAGAATAGTTTCATTGCCCTAAGGATCCTCTGTACTCCACCTATTCGTCCCTCTCTTCCACCTTACTCCTGGCAACCACTGACCTTTTTACTGTCTCCAGTTTTTCTTTTCCGGAATGCCGTATTTGTTGGAATCATACAGTATATAGCCTTTTCAGATGGGCTTCTCTCACTTACTGATATGGATTTAAGGCTCCTCCATGTCTTTTCATGGCTTGCTAGCTCATTTCTTTTTAGTGTTGAATAACATAAACTATTGTCTGGATGTGTCACAGTTTATTTATCCATTCACCTGCTGAAGGACATCTTGGTTCCTTCCAGGTTTGGGCAATTATGAATAAAGTTGCCGTGAACATCTGTGTGCAGATCTTTGTGTGGCCATAAGTTTCAGCTCATTTGGGTACATACTGAGAAGCACGATTGCTAGATCATACGGTGAGAGTATGTTTAGTTTTGTAAGAAGCTGCCAAACTGTCTTCCAAAGTGGCTGTACCTTTTTGCATTCCCACCAGCAATAAGAGTTCCTGATGCTCCATATCATTACCAGCATTTGGTGCTATGTGTTTAGGGCCTGGGCTATTCTAATAGGTGTGTGGCTTTAATCTGAAGTTCCCTAATGACCTATGATGTCGAATGTATTTTCATACGCTTATTTCCCATCTGCATATCTTCTTCAGTGAAGTATCTCGAACTCCTGACCTCGTGATCTGCCCGCCTCAGCCTCCCAAAGTGCTGGGATTACAGGCGTGAGCCACTGCACCTGGCCCAGTGAAGTATCTCTTTAGGTCTTTTGCCTGTTTTTTAATTGGGTTGCTTATTTTCTTATTGTTGAGTTTTAAGAGTTCTTTGTATATTATGGATAACATTCCTTTATCAGATGTGTCTTTTGCAAATACTTTCTCCCAGTCTGGGGCTTGTCTTCTCCTTCTCTTAACAGTGTCTTTCATAGAGGGGCTTTTTTTTTTTTTTACTTGAGGGCCTTTGTGACCCTAAAAATCAGAACTTTACATGTTTAGTTTTTTAAATAAGAAATTACATTAGAAATGGGCCCCATCCCCCAGCCTCACCCTGCCCCACTTTGTCCATAGCGCCAACCCCTGCCCTGTCCCTGGCCCTATAGTATATTAACACTTGATCATTTTTTCAAAAGCTGAAAGTTCAGTGGCTAGTTTTTGAAAAGTCAGAAAATTTCCACAGCATCAAAATAGCTACATGAAAATAGCCTCAGTTTCTAAATGGCCACATCAAAACAATCACATCAAAAGGTCAGGCCCCTGCAAGGGAGACCCAGAGGAAAGCTTCAGGCCTCGGGCTGGTGCTGGCCATAGTTAATAATAATGTTTTGCATATTCCAAAATTGCTGAAAGAATAGATTTTTAAACATTCTCACCACAAGAAAAATGAGTAGGTGAGGTGAGGAAAATACTAATTAGCTTAATTTAATCTTTCCACCATGTAGATACATCACATTGTACCCCATAAATAAAATTATTATTTGTCAGTTAAAAACTAGTAAATGGGCTGGGCGCGGTGGCTCATGCCTGTAATCCCAACACTTTGGGAGGCTGAGGCGGGTGGATCATTTGAGGCCAAGAGTTTGAGACCAGCCTGGTCAACATGGTGAAACACTGTCTCTACTAAAAATACAAAAATTAGCCAGGCATAGTGGCAGGCGCCTGTAATTCCAGCTACTCAGGAGGCTGAGGTGAGAGAATTGCTTGAACCTGGGAGGCAGAGGTTGCAGTGCGCCAAGATCAAGCCACTGCACTCCAGCCTGGGCAACAAAGAGCTAGACTCTGTCTCAGGAAAAAAAAAAAAAAAAACTAATAAATGAAATAAATTATGCTTTAAAACAAAGACCCCATCACAGGACTCAGATTACTCATGGAGTTTCACCTTAGAAATAACAGCCCAATTTTCAGTATTAACCATATTTGGAAAAAATTTACCAAAGAAAAACCAAAACAATATCTAGCAGCCTTCCCAAACAGAGTTCTGTGGGCAGGTGTCCAGCAAAAGGAGGTGCTTTGTGGCCAGGCGCAGTGGTTTACGCCTGTAAACCCAACACTTTGGGGGGCCGAGGCAGGCGGATCACCTGAGGTCAGGAGTTCGAGACCAGCCCGACCAACATGGTGAAATCCCATCTCTACTAAAAATGCAAAAATTAGCCAGGCGTGGTGGCGTGTGCCTGTAGTCCCAGCTACTTGGGAGGCTGAGGCAGGAGAATTGCTTGAACCTGGGAGGCGGAGGTTGTGGTGAGCCAAGCTGGCACCATTGCACTCCAGCCTGGGCAACAAGAGCAAAACTCTGTCTCCAAAAAAAAAAAAAAAAAGAGATGCTTGTGAAAAAGGTGAAGCAGCACTCACAGGTTCTGAGAAGCCCTACTGGAAAGAGGTCTGTTTAGTATCTTTTAAACTTGGAGTTTATTTTTCAATAGTTTCACGATTTTATTCGCTATATCTTGGGCTGCAGGAGTTGGGATCCCTTCCTACTTTTCTCTTCCTCTGATATGCATTGAGGAAGCCTTCCCTTGCCCTATGTTTGAGATGACCTAAGATAGAGACAGCTGTTGTCTCGGCTTCCATCCCTGCTGTCTTGTGTCCAGGAGGCTTTGAAGAGAGCCCGGAGGAAGGCTGGGGGAATAGTTACCCTTCCACTCCCCAGTCCTGTGACTAACCCAGCCAGGTCCAGCCTTCCTTTCCATCTCAAAGATTTAGCTCATTTCTCTTTTCATTTTAAGGTTTCTACCATCTACCAAATTTCTTGAACTTTTCACCACCCTGCACCTCCAGGAATGGACACAGGTGAACTAAGCCAGGATCACAGGCTTTGGTGTCAAGACGGTGCTTTACTAGGTGACGCTGGGCAAAACATTTTCCTTATCTATAAAATAGGATGATACTACCCCCTTCAAGGGATTGCTGTGAGAGGAAAAAGAACTAATACAGGAAAGAGTCGAGCCAGCGCCTGGCACATGGCAATGCTCAGTAGAGGTACTTTCTACTGAAGTGTGTCAGGGTATCATGATTACCTCTGGGGTCTATCCAGCTCTACACTTGCTTGCAGGGTGGTCTGTGTCTCAGAGCCTCAGATTTCTCTTTTGTAAAACAGGGACACTAATAGCTATTCCCTAGGATTGCTGTAATCTGTGAGTTTGGCACCCACACGGTGCCAAAGCAACAATGCTTGCCCTTTTGTTATTAAAATATTTCATTTCTAAACACTACAGAGAAATCCAATAAATGACCAATGCAGGAACATCATTCAAATCCAACCAAATGAAAGGTGTGTCTCACTAAATTACCCTGGGTTCCTCCTTCAAACAACCCTCCTTCTTAAACATCCCAAAGCCTTTGAGCTGTCCTATGTCCCTGAGCGTCAAGAGCCTCAGGCTTCACTTGACTGTGATTCCCACCCTGGTCCAGGAAAGAGAAAGCAAATGAATGGTCTGAGCACTGAGTTTGTGCCAAGAGCTTTACGAACTTTATCTTATTCAAATCCCGTAATAAGTTGATAAGAGAGTTTGCATCCTTCTTAGAAAAGAAAGTTGAGTCTTTGAGCAGCTAACCGAATGTCCTAAGATCACACAGTAGTGGTAGCTGGGATTCAACTAATTTCAAAGGCCATAATTTTTTCCTCCCCTTCCTTTCTATAAGTCACATCCTCTAAAGAGACACTTGGTTCCACAAATTTAAAAATTTACATTAGGGCATTTCTTCACCCAGAGAACCAAAAAGTAAGAGAATAAAAAAACCTTCTACTCTGGGTCAAACTTAACAAATAAAATTGGTCCAATATTTCACAATTTGCAAAATAATTTTCACGTTTGATCTTCACAACCACTATGTAGATGAATATTGTTTTTGCTTTTGTTTCTTTCTTTCTTTCTTTCTTTTTGTATGTTTCATAGAGACAGAGTCTCACTATGTTGCCTAGGATGGTCTTGAATGGCTGGGCTTAAGCAATCCACCTGTCTTGGCCTCCTAAAGTGCTAGGATTACAGGCGTGTGCCACTGCACCTGGCCAGATATTATTTTTGTATTCATGCTTTGCAGACAATGAAATTGAAACTCAGAGAGATCAAGGGATTTGTCCAAGGTCATATAGCTAGTAAGTGCTAGAGCCAGGATTTGAATCCAGAACTAATTCAAAATTCTGCTTTTCTTCCATTACCTGAGTTATTAGATACTCCTCCTGATATATAGCAACACACTAGGCATTTGCAAATGGTATGTTAATTCATTTATTCATTTACTCAAAACTGATTTTGCACTTACTATAGTCAGACACTATTCTAAATACTAAGAATACGGTAATGAACCAAACAGACAAGGGGCATACCCTCATAGAGCTCACATTCAAAGGGAGCAGGAGAGAAAAAGTAAACAAAGAAGTTAATGTTAGACAGTGATAAGGGCTCTAAAGGAAATAAACAGGATGTATCAGTAAGCTATTGCTGCAGAATAAACTGCTCCAAAATGTAGTGGCTTAAACAACAATTATTTATTTAGCTCATGATTCTACAAGTTGTATTTTAAGCTGGGCTCAATTGAGAAGTTCTTCAACTAACCTTAGCTGACCTCAGTTGGGCCTGCTAGCCCAGGTGTTTGTAGCCAGCTAGAAAGTTAACTAGGGGTTAGCTGTACGGGATGATGTTACCACTGGTCCACGTGCCTCCCATCCACCAGCTGGCTAGTCTGGGTTTGGACAGATGGTGATGATGATAAGGTTATAGAGAGAGAAGTACACAGTGACTCTGAAGGTCTGGGCTTAGAACTGCCACACCATCACTTTGTTGCATACTATTGGTCAAAGCAAGTCACAAAGTCCGCCCGGATTCAAGGTGTGGGGAGACAGACACTACCTCTCAATGGGAAGAACTACAAAGTCCATTTCAAAGGGTATGGATACAGGGAGACTATTAATTGGAGACATCAATGAAATTAATGTACCTACAGGGTAATGTGATAGAGAATGGCTGAGTGGTGGGAAGGGAAGGGAATAGAGCTACTTCAGATGGGAGAAGGCCTCTCTGAGGAGGTGACATTTATTCTCAGAGCTGAAGTATGAGAAGGAAGAGCCATTCAAAGCCATAGGAAAGAGCATCCCCTAAGAAGAAGTTATTCTAAAAGATACACTCCCCATAGCAAAATGTCCACATCCTGCACACAGACCTGTTGCATGGTCATATATTAAATAAAGGACTTAGCAGCAAGTACACGGGAGAGCAACATAGTATAACATCAAAATGCTTATCCCTTCACCTCCCCACAACCCCAAATGGCCACTGGAAGCACGCAGATTTTTTCAGTGGCTATCATTTTCATGAAATAGTTGTGGACCCTTAGAGAAATATGTCTCCCAAAATAGAGATGTAGGAAAGAGGAGGATGCAAAGGAAGCAAAGCAAAGGGAATATTAATGAAGAATGAAGATGGGAGAGATTAACAGCAAGAAAGGAAGTGGAGATGGTGAAACAGGCAGAAACATCTTTGACATGTAGTAAACTCTTAATAAGTACTTGTAGAATTAGTGAGTGGATGAGGCCCCCATATGTATATATATGCATGTGTGCATGCATGTGCACATGTGATGGAGGAATAAACGAGGTAAAGGGAAGCAGAGGGAGCCATCACTACTGATGGTGATAGGGAAGCAAACTGACTACAAAGGTTATATTAGATTAGAGCAATGAGTAACACTTCAACAGGTGGCACGTAAGCCTGTTGGGGAAGATTATAGGAGGGAGGAGACGGTATCCTAGAAGGAGTGAACAGCTTGTGGAATGCTCAGAGGCAGGAAGAGGTTTTGTTTTGGTTTGGTTTGGTTTAGTTTGGTTTGAATTTGTGGAAAGATGGAGGTCTTCCAGAGAAAAGAGGACTTTATAGATGAGCTGTTATGGTGAGCTTTATCGAGGGGAGAGGGGAAACAGAATTATTATGAGCAAGACATTGTAAGAAGAAAATAAATACAATTAGAAACTCCAGGAAAAACAAAAGGCTGTATGAGAAATGAATTATAATAGTTCACTGCTTTACTATGCAGTAAACAATTTTACAGTCACTGTACTATAGCAGTGTTTATTAATATTAATAAAAATACTAAATATAACTGTAATGTAAAGATGGGAAGGCAAGTAAGGCAAGTAAGGCTGATGGAGAAATGAAATGTTCATAAATTATTGCAGGAAATAAATGAAGAATGTCTAACATTGATTAGCAAAACACACAGCTAAAAGAATTATTTAAAACCTCCCAGTACAATGCATGGCCCATAGAGCAACACTAGCATCACCTAGGAGCTTGTTGGAAATGCAGAATTTCAGGCCCTGCCCTAGGCCCACTGAATCAACTCTGCCATTAACAAATCCCCAGGGTTTGTGTACTCAGTAAAGTTTGAGAAGCTTGAAAAATTGGTTTGGGGAATAGGACTAGCAGTGGGGAAATTAGAACAAGGAACAGGTTTGTCTTAAGTCTTATTTTATCTTTGTTTAGCCATGGTCATGGTATTTGTTAGTTTGATTTTACAAGTTCCTTAATAATTTAAAAAATAAGTACCTGGGTAGAATATGCTCTTTTTCTCACTAATACTTAATCTTATCTTGGCCCTGGCCCTCAGTTTAGATTAGAATACTCTTTCTAAGACATCACAGCCCTACTTCAGCCTCACTTGCCTTTAGAAGCACCTCAGGCAAACATTGTTCCTCATCTGCCATCTGCAAACTTTGTCATAAAAGCATTTCTCAATTCCTCTGATTATCTGGAATCCCCTCCCCCATCAGCCTGAGAGGAGACCACAGCCACCAACTATCTACAAAAGGTCACAGCATCTGTTGTCTCCCCAGTTAAAAGTTTCTTTAGCCAGTCATCGCTAGCCTGATGGTTCTCAAATTGTGTGCCCCAGACCAGCAGCATCAGTATTACCTGGAAATTTGTTAGAGCTGTGAGGTGCCTCAGACCTAGGAAGGAGAAACCCTACGGATGGGGCCCAGTAATCTGCACTTCAACAAGCCCCCCAGGAAGTCCTCATGCTCACCAACCCATCCCCTGTTCTATTCCTGGGCTGGTTTGTTGCAAATCTCACTACGCTCATAAATTAGCATCTCCTCAGTGAGAGTTTCAGCTTACTAGCCACATTCACAAAGAGTGGAAACACAACCTACCCCACAGATGTTTTCTAAAATGTCCGGACCTCTCCCTTGCCAATCTTTTAAAACACTATTTAAACAAAAGCTTAAATGGGTGTGCCACACACCCCAAGTACTCGATCGACACCACAGCCCCGCTTTGGGGTTTATACTTGTATTTGCTCCATAGCCTCCTCCACATGCATCAGAACACACTCCAGAGAGGATGGAGCTCCTTCCCCTTCCTTTCTGGCCCCTCTGCACCCCTCATTCTTACACCTAATTTTCTCAAGCCCCCAGACTTCAGCTTTCCCCCAAGAGATGCACTGTGGCGATAAATTCTGCTGTGGTTGAGGGTGATTTGATGAGCCTAGGCCTGCCATTCCTTGCTGCCACCTGGCTGCTTCTCCGTCTCAGTCAGTACCAGTAAGCGATGAGCCCCTCAGATAACCCCAGGTGGGGGCCACAGGCTGACATCACTTCCTTACGTGGGCAACTGATAAACACCAGCCAAATCCCAAGCTCCCACTATAGAAAGGATTTCTACAGGAAATAGTTGGCCCTGGGAAGCAAACAAAGCCCTCTGCAGAACATGGAAGCCAGATTTCAGATGCTGGTTGCAAGTCGCTTTTCTTGTTATAAAGCGCCTGGTAGAACTGCCTTTCTTTTCTTTGTCTTTCATCTTTGCCTTTGCAATCTTTGGGGGCTTCACTCCATTTGCTAAAGGTGTGTGGGTGTTAGCGTCACTCTATGGAAAAAAAAAAATGCACATACACATACCACAGACTTTTTTCTCTATTTCTATGCAAGCCATTGCTTTTATGACTTTCTGAAATAAAGAAAAATGTCTAGTATGTTGCCACTTGCTTTTTGCAATTTCTCTTAGAAAAGAACTTCTGCTCCTGCAAAACAAAAATAAAAAGATAACACATATTTTTCAAATGTACAAAAGTTTTCTTCCCAGATGAGCGGAAAAACATATGAAAAGGTGCTCTATCTAGCTAGTAGTAGGAAAATGCATATTAAATAAAAACAATGTTTTCACCCTTCAAATAGGCAAATGATTATGAGTTTAATATCAAGCACTGTGATTGGGAATCATGGCCTCTCACCCATTCCTGAGGGTGCAAAAATGGGTTCAGCCACACTGGAAAGAGATGACAGCAATATCTGCTAAGATACAAAGTTTGCATTCCTTGTATCAAAGCAACTCCATTCTGGCATCCCCTCTGGAGAAATTCAATGCATTTCTTTAAGGAGGCATTGTAACAAAGATCATGGCTGCCTTGCTTATGTGGGTGAAGATGAAATACCACCTACATGTTCATCAAGGAGATGGTGATTACATAAAGGATGGTACTTTCATTCTATGGAATACTATGTAGCCATTTAAAAGATTTAATGTGGATCTACATGTACTAACATGAAAAGATTCCCAGGGCATGTTTCTGAACAAATAAAGCAACTTGTATAATAGATGGTATGTTCAATATGATGGTATTTCTGATAAAAACAAAACACTCAAGTATTATCCATTTGTCTGGGAACATATACATGTTTTTAAGTGCAGAGAAAGCCTTTAGAAGGATTAATATCAAATAGCCACAGTGCTTAGCTCCTGGAAGAAGTCAGGGGGTGGTGGAAGGTGGTGAAGGAGACGTTTCGTTTGTCTGTAATCAACGAGTGCTTTACTATGAGAGTGTTTTCAAGAATAAATTGCTTAATTGTGTAATTAACATTAAATATTTTAGGATTCCTATAAGTATTTCTATCTGTTGAATAACATTGGAAAATCTGTTGCTTGTCTTAAATGTTAAGTAGGCTTTGTATTTGTACAAATATACAATTACTTCTCTTTAGACGTTATTATAAAATCATCCCATTTGTCAAAAGCACTCATTGTTCATCTGATCATCAAGAAGAAAGATAGTTTCTCTGTGTTCAACCACAAACACACACGCACACATGTGCACACACACAGAGACACCATAACTCACCCTGAGGATAGCAATTTCCACCCTATGCCACACTGTGCTACCACCTCAGGATGTCTGAACCACATGCAAGCAGGCCTTTCTGATTAACTGATAACTTAGTTTCCAGGCTTCTGTGCCATCTGATTGTCAACTCATAATTCTAGAGCAGCGAAAACCAAGAGACACCTGACTTGGTGGTGATGCCTGGGTCTGTGGGTGTAGCCTGACAGCCAGGCACCTGGTTTCCTGACCCCAAACCACATAGCTTTCTGCATGCCCTCGTGAGCACCCTTGTAACATGCTACCCTGCCCCTCCTGCCAGGCTGAGCTTGAGAGCGGGCACTGGAGAGAAAGTGGGTTGCCTGGAAGGTTGCTGCTCTGCAGAAATCATTTCAAGAAACATCTTCATTACAACTTTCTAGTTTATACCCCTCGTTTAATGAGGCAGTGTTGTATGACAAAATGACATGGAGAGTTGGAGGAAAATGCAAAAGCAGATGTCATGGGAACTCGAGTACTTTTGTTGACATAACTGGTCTCTCTCCCTCCATGGGCAGACCCACTGGAGGAGCCAAATTGCAATCCTGAGGGAAATAGTTTTAAACCAGAGGATTGATGATGACATCATCTTTCATCTTGGGTGTCATCTTGGATGTCCCAGATTTGGGGGTGACCTCTTCTGTCTGGACCAGACATACCTGAATTTCTTTTTATTTCAATAAGATGGGGATTTTATGGCTCAAAAAAGACACAGACGAATCATTCCCTACCAAGGCCATGCCCAGCCATCTCCAGGCATTACCCACACTGCTTCCAGGCACCTTCCACAAAGGAGGGGTACATCAATGACACAAGGGGGTGTAGGCTCAGAGTTGGCTGCGTTGTCTTAAAAGTTAGAGATGGACCAGAGGAAGTATGCTCCTTCTTATAGCTGTGTCCCATCCCAGGCTAGGGAGGGCAGAACTTGGGGGCCCAGGGTAATATCCAACCACTACTTCATTGAAACGTTAACCGTGTTTTCTAAATGAAATATAGAAGAGCAAGCAAGCATGGCTTTAAGCAAGCATGACTGGAAGGCATGGCGTCTTCTTTTTCCTGCTTCTAGGAAAGTCTTCATGAAATGAAAAATAAAAATTGATTACATTCTGCCTAGTCTAGCATCCCAAGGGTTTCCCATAACAAACATACAGCATCAGTAGACTTGGTTGCCCATGCACTCCTTGCACAGCAGGACTGACCTTGCCAATGGCCTTTATCCATGGTCCTCCATCCCTGAGCAATGCCAGTGGTGATCTTTGTGATCTCGTGCTCTGCCCATCCCTTCCTGCCCATGCACATGCACTGTCTTTAGCTCTTCAGTCAGTGTCACACAAGACCTGCTAGCCTGAGGGACACTCTGCCTTCTCTCTGCTGTGGTCATCATGTGTGCATTTCTTGTCTGACTTTGTGGGAATGCTCTTCAAAGTGGGGATCTTATTAAAATACAGATTCTGAGTCAGTAGGTCTGGGGTGGGGCCTGAGAGTCTGCATTTCTAACAAGCTCTCAGGCAATGCCCATGATGCTGGGCCAGGACCACATTTGGATGTCAAGGGAGAGTCTTATATCCACGTTTGGGAGGTGTGGGGAGAAGGCCTGCCCCATGGTAGCCTTCTAAACAGAGAAGGACCATAAGGGCTTGATGAGACAATGTATCAGAGAGGCTTGGAAACTGTAATATGTTGGGAAAATATCGGCTGTTATTATGATTTTCTATCATGTAGATGATATACTTGCTTTGGAATCAGAGAGAGTTGGGTTTACCCCCCCTACCACTGACTGAGAATTTGAGCAAGTCACTCAATCTTGTTAAGCCTCACTTTTCTTAACTATAAAATGAGAGGCTATTATTTAAACAAAGCTATATTTGCAAATATTGACTCAATACATATTTACATATTCATTTCTCTCTCTGTTGACCTAAGTGAACAAAAGCTTTACATGTGTGTATGTGAGTAACTCACTAAACATTTCTGCTAAATGCTGAGAATCTAGAACCAGAACTTGGCTAAAAATCCACTCTAAAACTGTTTAATGAAACAGCTTTGTTAAGAGTCATCTGGCTCTCTAAGGTTTGAAAAACTTCTCAGGGAAGCCAGAATGATTTATGGTTTGCTACCACAACTCTACGAAGCGAGTGGTTTCAATCAAGTTTCACTTGCACAGGTTCAGTAGAAAGCTGGGGAAAATCCTCTTTTTTTTTTTGCAAAAAAATTAAAATACTTTTTAAAAATTTATATATATATATATTTTTATTATACTTTAAGTTCTAGGGTACATGTGCACAACGTGCAGGTTTGTTACATATGTATACATGTGCCATGCTGGTGTGCTGCACTCTGGATAGCTCTGGTGATGAGAAGGATTCAAGGGCAGCAATTTTCTTTCAAGAGGATTTTCCATTATATATATATAGCATTAAGAGATATACCTAATGGAAAATCTTCTTGAAAGAAAATTGCTGCCCTTGAATCCTTCTCATCACCAGAGCTATCCAGAGACAGAACATGGAACCCATTCCAATGGGGCTGACATTTATCTTTGGCTAATATAGGTTTTCTTGTTCGTTGTCGTTGTTGTTTTGAGACAGGGTCTTGCTCTGTCACCCAGGCTAGAGTGCAGTGGTGCGATCACAGCTCACTGCAGCCTTGACCTCCCAGGCTCAAGTGATCCTCCCACATCAGCCTCCCAAGTAGCTGGGACTACAGGCATGCACCACTGTGCCCAGCTAATTTTTTGATATTTTGTAGAGATGAGGTCTCACTATGTTGCCCAGGCTGGTCTTGAATTCCTGGGCTCAAGGAATCCTCTCACTTCCTCCTCCCAAAGTGCTGGGATTACAGGCATGAGCCACGGTGCCCAGCCTAAGATGAGTTTTCTAAAGAAGTGCTAAATAGTAACAATATAAACTTCCAGCCTTGCCTTTTAATTCCAATTCACCCCAAAGATTCTTTAAGCAAGGTTGATGGATGTGTTCAGACTAGCAGGTGCAAGAAAAAAAAAACTTGAATTGCGGGAATTTGGCAGGAGCCAAGGACAGTTCTGGCACAAGAATGGCCCGGAAGTGCCCATCATTACAAGTTTACTCTCTGCCAGCATTGTCATAAGCAGTTTTTACACCATATTTTAAAATTTTAACAACACCTTGAGAGGAAGATATTATTATTACTCCCATTTACCAAAGGGGAAACTGAGTGAAAGAGAAGGCAATTAACAAATTAATTTAAAAGATGAAAAATGTAACTATCTTTTGGGTTTTTTTTTTTTTTTTTTTTTTTTGAGATTGAGTCTTGCTCTGTCACCCAGGCTGGAGTGTAGTGGCATGATCTCGGCTCACTGCAACCTCAGCCTCCTGGGTTCAAGCGATTCTCCTGCCTCAGCCGCCTAAGTAGCTGGGATTACAGGCATGCGCCACCATGCCCAGCTAATTTTTGTATTTTTAGTAAAGATGGGGTTTCACTATGTTGCCCAGGCTGGTCTCGAACTCCTGACCTCAAGTGATCCGCCTGCCTCAGCCTCCCAAAGTGCTGGGATTACAGGCGTGAGCCACTTCACCTGGCCGCAACTATCTTATTTTTAGCTACACAATGTAAAACCAAATTGTTAACCTACTTAATTGGATCCATTAATTGTTGTGGGATAGCCTCTATGGTGAATACAAGTCTTCTGTGGTATACACAAAGCTGAATATTACAGCACTATTGGTTATATTGAAAGACTCTAAACAACCCAAGTCTAAAATCAATTACTGTAGATCCAGGCAGTGGAAGGGTGTGAAGCCATGGTATGTTTTCAAAGAACTTTTAGTGACATGAAAAAGCCCTCATTATATACTATGAAATGAAGAGGGTAGGCTCTTTTACACATTCATTTATTGATCCAAACTTAGTTATCCCACAATTGCTTTTCCAGCATAGTTCTGTGAATACGGCTGGTGAATCAGGCAGGCTTGCCCTTGTAGAGCTGACTGTATGGTGGACGTGAAACTTTCCTGGAAGAAAAAGCCCCAAAATGTTAACGGTTTTCTTTTTGAAAGTGTAGGGGCTTTTAAATTTTTCGTCTTCATTTTTACATTATTTCAAAATGTTCTATATTAAGCATGTATTACTTTTTTGTAGATTCATTGAGTTATGATTAGCGCACTATAAACTACATGTTTAAAGTATGCAATTGGATAAATCTTGCTGTAGTACACACCGGATCAATCATTAGCACAATGAAGGTGGTGAACATATCCATCACCCCAAAAGTGTCCTTGGACCCATTTGTTCTTCCTTCCTCCCACCACGCCACCACCCCTCGCCACATTCAACCACCGATCTGCTTTCTGTCACTATAGTTTGGTTTGCATTTCTAGAATTTTATATAAATTGTAATACATAGCAAATACTCTTTTGTCTGGCTTCTTTCACTCAGCATCATTTTGAGATGCATTCACGTTGTCATGTGTACCAATAGTTGTTTCCTATTATTGTGGAATAGTATTCGATTACATGGCCTATACCAGTTTGTTATCCATTCATTGGTTTGTAGACATTTGGTTGCCTCTGATTTTCGGTTATTACAGACAACGCTGTTATAAACGCTCAAGTATTTGCAGGAACATATATTTCTTTCTCTCTTGGGTAAACACTCAGGAGTGAAATGGCTGGGTCATATGATAACTCTATGTTTAACTTTTTGAGGAACTGCCAAACTGTTTTCAAATGACTGTATCATTTTTACATTTCTACCAGAAGTGTATGAATTCATCGTTCCCTCTCTTAAAATTACATAAGAACTAAATGTTTACCTCCTGTTATAAAAAGAAAATCCAAAAACTTCAGAAATATAGAGTAAGAAAAGTGAACGTTCCCTTTTATTCCATCCCTTTCCTAGTTCGTCATACATATTTATCATTAAAAGTTTGGTGTGTGTTCATCTTTTCTTTGCAAGAGTCTGTGCATGTGTGTGCATGTGCACGTGTTTGCATGTGGAAGCATGTAGTGCGTGTAAGTGAGATTTTGTGAGCTCTGTTGCTCTAACTCTGGTTTCACTCACTGAACAATGAAGCTTGGAGGTCGTTCCTCATCAGTGCATGTAAACCTCAATCTTTTGAATTGTTGCTGAGTATCCTACTTCAATAAGCAGAGGGAAGAGGTGTTTTAAAATGTGGTTAGAATTCTGTTTACCCTTCCTCTGAAAGAGGCAGGTCTCTTCAACATTTTCTACTCATGTGACAATTAGAGAAGCTCCTTCTTCTCCTCAGGAAAGGCTGCCTGTGGGGAAGGATTGCATTTCTTTCGGTGGATCTGGGTCTTCTGGGAGCAGCACAGGCATGATCACCCTTCTGGAGAGTGATAGAACGGTCAGTGGAAATGTAATCGATGGCCACAAGGTGTGACAGCTCTGCCATCACATTCGGTTTATGCTTGTTTCACGTTCCTCAGAGCAGAATTGCCTTTCCAGGCCCACCATTTGTTCTGGTACTTGGTGGTGAGGAAGCTCACTTTAAGTGTAGTCATTCTGAGAAGGGCAAAAGGGCTTCAACTCTTCAACTTTCAGCTCTGGAAATGAGTAAAACTGGGAGTTTCTTTTTATCATGTTAGAAAATTTACCACATTGGCTGAATGTGGTGAGAAAACCTACTCCCTTGTTAAAACAGACAATAATGCAGCACTCACTTGGTCAGCTAAACAGTTTTTTACTGTCTCCTCATGTGTGTTTTTTTCTCTCTTATATTCTTTTAATAATTAATGATACTAGGACTACATTAAATGGTACTTATTTATCCCTCTCTCAGCAATAACCTGGGGGCTAAATCTTTTACACTTATTAATACATAAAATTAGGACTATATTGTAATAAAGTTGCATATTCTGCACTGAACATTGGCATAAATGTTTTCATGTCATTAAATATTAACCAAATATTAAATCCACATCTTAATTGTTAATGACTTCATAATATTTCAGATATGGACATACCATAATTTATAACAGTTGCCCTGTGGTTGATTTTTACTAGTCGATGAAGATTTTGAGTAGCAATAAGTGAAGAAAAGTTATAAAAATTCTTCATTATGACAAGTGGAAATTAGGTTCTAGTAGCAATATTAAAATTAAATCAGGTATCACGTATTAAAATTTTGTTATCTTCCTATGATAATGCCTTCCTCATTATTTTGAACTAATATGCTACTCTTTTTTACTCTTTACTCTCAAACTTTAGAAAATGTTTCACAAAACTTTTACTCAGTAATTTGATAGCAATTTATAATTACACATTACCTGCTAGTCTCTGACAAGTATGTTGGTTAAATGTCTACTTTTGTTCAACCTTTCCACAGGGGACTTGAACATCACAGTCAGTCTCCCACATAGTGTCCAGCTGTGTGTTATGTTAGAGATATCATGCATGACATTGCCCCCAAAATACATTTCTTAAAAAAAGAACACTTTCCTGCTTGACAAACAACAACATTATCACACCTAAAATTAATAATCATTCTTTAATATCATCTAATAGCCATTATATTATTCAAATTCACCAAATGTTTCCCTGAATGTCCTTCCCAGCTTCTTTGTCCAAACGAGGAACCAATCCTGGACCACACATTGCACCTGGCTTTTATGTCCTCTCTCTATCTTTTAATCCAGCCTCCAGTCTCTTCATGGGTAGCTTCTTATTGCAGCTGCTTGGCCAGTGGCCGATAGAGGCCCCCTACATTGCTTGCCAGTGGTGTCATTTAGCTTGTTCCTCTCTCCCTTGTATTTCCTGGAAGTTACATCTACATATTGATTAGACCCAAGTTAAACATCTTTGGCTAGACTGCGTCACAGGGGATGCTGTGACATCGGAATTCATGACCCCAGGAGACATGGAATAACTGGTTGTCCCACTATTCCTGATGCTAGGATCAACCTTTAGGTGAGGGTGATGGTGGTCTGATCCATCCATTGTACAATTCTGTTTTTCTCCTGAAGACCAGAACCACATCATCATACTGTTATTTTGGCACCATACAGATGTCCAAGTCCCATCAACCACTCCCCTGAGGTCCTCAAGCACAGGTTGATAGTCCTTGCCTGGATCTACATTCTCATTAGGAATTGCAAGATTATGACTTTCATCCCTCTCATTAGGAATTGCAAGATTATGACTTTCATCCCTCTACATTTAGCTGGCATTCTTCAAGCTTTATGTTGTCAACTGGAGCTATTTGTTTACCTTGAAATATAGTTCCTACCTGAAGGACATTAGACGCACTTTTCTTTCAGTTACACAATGTCAAAATAAGACATTGGTATTAGCTGCCTCGAATGAGTTTCTTCTGGCAGTATTCTTTTTGAGTATCATTATGGACTCATGAATATACATTCAATGCATGTGTTTTTATTGAATTATTCTTGGGTCTCATAATACTATTCTCACCAGAAGCCGAAGCAGTCAGAACTGAGTTTGATTTAAAACAAAGTTTCAAAACAAGAGTAGCTCCAAAGATAACATTCTGGAAAGAACTACTTTCCTAGAGAACAAAGGCGAGATCATCTAATAAATTACTGTCATTATTACTTATATCTGTGCTCCCTCCACATCTTCAAGATATGGGAGAATTCCAGAAGAGTGCCTGAGGGAAGGCTGCAAGCCATGAGAGTTCTCAGTACTGGTTGTCAGCAATGTTTCAACTGCGGCTGGCATAAACTCAGATCCAATGTCAAAAGCTAGTAGATCGGCCCATACTTTAAGATGCTTCTAAGCCTCCAAAGCCATTACTTTCTTTTTTCTTACTTACAGCAAGTAAGATTTCTTTCCCACAAAACAGATTGTAGAACCAGGAGGGTCAGAGCCCATGTCAGACGGTCCCTCAGTAAGTCACTGTTTCCCCGCGAGGGTTGGTGGAAGAAGTGCTGAAGAGAACAGTGTTGTTGTTGTTGTGAAAATCACTCCTGAGGAGGATAATGTGGGGAATCCCATCTCCTCCATGCCCTGCATGGTCCTGCAGGTTGCACTTTGATTTTGTCCTGTGTCATTATTGGTCACTTCCCTGGGAAGCAGATCTGTTTGAAGGGAAGCCACCACATCCCAGATCCTCACCTCGTGCATGGCCAAGGTTTGTTCCCCTCCAGTGGAGGCTGAAGGGTTTTTCCAGCCTGGTCCGCCTGTTCCTGGCTGGTACAGATGGAGGATCCAGAGGCTACAATTAATTTGTAAGTTTCTTCAAAGGAAGAGCAAAATACATAAAACCAGTTCACACAGCTTTAAGACTCACTTTACCTCCCAAGAACAGAGACCATGTCTGTTTTCATCATTGTGACACCAGAGTCTAAGATGGTGCCTCACATATATATCAGGTGCTCAATACACATTTGATAAACGAGCTTGATTACCAAAAGTCCATAGCTGGTCGTATATGATTTTTATTTTCTCAGGAAAAATGAGCTCCATAAGAATGACAAAGATAATGACCACCAGGTGGGGAATAAAATACTTTGACAAAAACTCGGTACCTTAGGCAAGCCACATGGCTTTTTTGGATCTTGGTTTTCCAAGGGACAGGTTTGTAATAAATGATATAAACGGCCCTCACAGCTTTTGGCTTCCATAAATAGATTTCATTTTTAGGCAAGGGGTAAGTAAATTCTTCTACTTAGTTACACTAAGAGACGTAAGTTATGAAGCCTAAGAAAGTGGTAGAATTCATATCAGTTATGTGCTTTACTGCTAGTTTATGGTCTCAGCTATGCTCCTACTTATCTGTGACTTTGTCCCTTGTATCTGCAAATAAGCAGGCACAAGAATGCAAACACACACACACATGCACAGAGAGGCACAAACACACATACACACATGCACACATATCTTTGCAAATATAATGCTATAATGCATCATCGCAAGGTCTACTTACTCATAGGACTTCTTTTAAACATTCCCCCACCCCTCCTCAGCACACATTAAAGCTGTAGAAAATGGTTTTTATTGTAGGCTAGCAGCCAGTTAGAAAAACCTTTCAGGAATAAGGCAGGTATATTTGGCTGGCTTCTGACTGAGAAAATACAAACATTCAGCAAACCAAACAGCACTTCTGAGCTTCCCGGGCTTTTGCATTTTAATCACTGTTCTCGATTTTACTCACAATCTCTTCTCTTTCAACATTAAAAATAAATCCTTTCTTGAACTTTTGCCCTCTGAAGTTTTGATCTGGAAGGGAGTTTTTGGGGTTTTTTTTTTTTTTTCGTTTTGCTTCTTCACAGTCTTTCAAAATAATTATAATACGCACAGGCAGTCTCTGTACTGATACTAGGCAGGCTTGGAATAAATGCCACTCCTGGGCCCTCTCTAGTGTCCATCGCCTCTCCTAAGCACATCTGCACAAGGCCAGTGTACTTCGACCCTGTGCTGAATAGAGGTATTTCATTTTCCCTTATCTTCTCTCTAAAAATAATCCTAACTAAAAGACCCAGAAGAAATATGCCCAAATGAGGGTCAAGCACAAACATGTTGGCAATGGACTAGATCAGAAGTCAGTGGGAAGATTTCAGCAGAAAATCTCTCCTAGCAGCAGGAAAAATATGTGATTTTTAAAATTAAGATGGGAAAAGATGAAAATGGTCAACGATTTCGTACTTATTAAACTCCTTGGGTTGGGTTTCCTTGCTGAGGCAACCCTTTAAGAGACTAGGTGAGAATGCAACCTCTTCCTACACTCCAAAGCTCCACCCGGAGCCTGTCCTGTCTTCATCATTCGTTTTTCAAGATGACACTGCATGTTCCATGTGCTCTGTCACATGGTGGCCTCATACTGAAGCATATGAGCCTGGCCTAATTATTTTGACAAAATCTAAATTAATGAGATTAATTTCAGGCAAAGAAAAAGTTTGCCTTCCAAAGGGAACCTCACAATCTTATTAAGAGAAAAGCAGATTTTCCACATTTGCTGGTGTTACTACTTTCACCACCTACCAAAAAACAAAAAAAAAAAAGCATTTATAAGATAAATGTCCATCCACCATCTGAATTACCTTAGGATTCCAAAGTCCTTTCCTTTTCACTGCTGTTCTTCCCAACTAACACACACACATATACACACACACATTCTTGCACATGCCTATATGCATATACATCCCTATATAGACTCATGGGCACACACTCTTCTCATGGCATAATTTCTCGAAAAAAAAAATTCTTGCAAGTATACATTTTATTTATTTTACTTACTTATTTATTTATTTATTTGAGACAGTGTCTGGCTCTGTCGCCCAGGATGGAGTGCAGTGGCGCAATCTCGGCTCACTGCAACCTCCACCTTCTGGGCTCAAACCATCCTCCCACCTCAGCCTCCCAAGAAGTATACATTTTAAAATCTACATTAAATTTTTCTTTTTCTCTCCCTTAAAGTTACAGTGGCTGGTCATCATACTGTGATCATTAGACACTATTAGAGTTGCATTCTATGATTAGTATATACTTAATGCCATTCTATTTCAAATTTCCCAAATTCTTATTTTTCAAAAATGAAGTGAATTTTATTTCAGTTCTGTACATTATTAAGAATGCTATATACGGGCAGATCACTTGAGGTCAGTAGTTCAGGACCAGCCTGGCCAACATGGTGAAACCCTGTCTCTACTAAAAATATAAAAATTAGCCGGGTGTGGTGGTGGGAGCCTGTAATCCCAGCTACTTGGGAGGCTGAGGCATGAGAATCGCTTTAACCTGGGAGGCAGAGGTTGCAGTGAGCCAAGATCATGCCACTGCATGCCAGCCTGGGCAACAGAGTGAGACTCTGCCAAAAAAAAAAAAAAAAAGCCATGTAATGTTCTCTGTGAAAGATCCACTTTCATTCATTCGTTAATTTTTGTCATTTAAAAATGAGAAAACTACTTCATTGGTGTTTTTTGTTGGTGAAAATACCAGCATAGGCCACATTCAGTGGCTCACATCTGTAATCACAGCACTTTGGGAGGCCAAGGTGGGAGGATCAATTGAGCCCAGAAGTTTGAAACCACCGTGGGCAAAAAAGCGAGACGCTGTCTCTACAACAACAACAACAAAATAGTCAGGCACCATGGCTAGTGCCTATAGTCCCAGCTACTTGGGAGGGTGCGGCAGGAGGATCACTTGAGGCCAGGAGTTAGAGGCTGCAGGGAGCTATTATCTCACCACTGCACTCAAGCCTGGGAGAGTCAGATGTCCTTCTGGTAGATATGAATGGAGTAGAATATTTAGACCAGACTTTTAAGTTCATTATTACATGAAAATTATCTCTGCATAGCAAATTTTTAAAAACAGGAAGAGATTAGTTCCCATTTCTGCCTTACATGTTGTGTATCATCAACGAGCACCATCCAGGAGAATAGAAATCCTGCCTTTTGTTTTAGATTCTACTGTCAGTCATTTTTACTTTTACCTGTGAAATAATTTTTACAAGGAGCAACACCTCCAACTATGTCCCTATTTCTTGGACAGCTTCCTAGAGGCCAGAGTTCACAGTGGATTAATCGCAAGGTGAGTAAATAAAATCAACTTCCTCTGAAAACCATAATTTACAACTTTAAGTGAACAAACACCGATTTCTGTGGCAAACATCTCATAACAAATATTTGTATCCTCAAGGTTCAAGTCAACAATTCTTAGAATTATATTTTTAATATGACATTATAGGAAAACTCTTTGCTCTTTTTAATAAAGACAGACTCAACTTTTTGGCAATGAGATACAAGTTCAGATTTAACAAAATTCTCTATCTTTCTCTTTTGGATCTAAACAAAGGCACTTTCAAAACAGTTGTGTCTATAGCTTCTTATTTTCTCAAGATTTCCATTTTTAAAGCATTGAGGTTGCTCATTTTTCATTCTGTAGTTTATAGAGCATATGAGTACAGTTTACAAAATACAGCATGTGATTTTAACTTTAACAAATGATAAAAAATATATTAGGGATATAATAAATTATTTCCATGACACTAGGTAAAAACGTAAATATGTATTATTCAGCTCAGTACCTGTCACTTTGACTGTTTCTGTGTCACCATACTTACCCCAGCATTCCTGTACACTAGTCCTCCAGATCTTCCCTTGACCTTGGAGGTCATATTGAAGGGTTAATTCCCATTCTGGCTACAGTATTTACAAGTATAAGCCTTGTGGAATTTTTCAGAGTAAGGAAGAGCAACACAAAATAACCTTGTGAAGCATGAGATGCTTTTTCTTGATAATACACCCTGACAGCTGTTAAAAAGAACCAAGTATGGTAACATTTATTTTTAATCTACTATTCATATACTTATTTATTCTTCTTGGAAATGGATATAGACAGGATTTTCCTTCTTGAAAATTGAATGTGTAAAGGAGTGAGATCCTGGAAATACTTTTTAAAAATTATGGTAAATTGATTTAATACATTTCTTAAGAAAAGCACAAAATTAGCAGACATTAAAACCAGCATTTCCTTTATAAAATTATCATTATGATTAACCAATTTGAAAAATCACAAAACCCTTTTTTTCCTTACATAGCAGAAATGAAAACCAAAAACAAATAAACTATGGACTTGGGGTGATAATGACTTGTCAATATAGTTCATCAATTGTAACACATGTACCATTCTGGTGGGGGATGCTGATAATAAGGAGTGGGAGGCATATGTGGAGACAGAAGGTTTATGAGAAATCTCTGTACCTTCCTCTCAATTTTGTTTTGGACCCAAAACTTCTCCAAAGGATAAGATCTACTTTTAAAAATTGTCTTTTGGCCTATTTGTCCAACCACATCTCTAGCGGGTTTTAAAAAATGTTTACTTTAAATATTTAAAATTGAGTTTTAGTCTATTAGGCAATTTTGTCAATGTAATTAACTCCTAGGTTGGTATAACAGTCCGAAAAGTCAGGTGTGAGGAAAACATCCCTTTTGTTTTTATTTTTAAATTTAATTTAATTCAAAGTCCTGGGACGTGCAGGTTTTTTACACAAGTAAACGTGTGCCATGGTGGTTTGCTGCACTTATCAACCCATCACCTAGATATTACACCTCACATGAATTAGCTATTTATCCTGATGCTCTCCCTGCCCCCAATCACCACCGACAGGCCCCAGTGTGTGTTGTTCCCCTCTGTGTCCACATGTTCTCATTGTTCAGTTCCCACTTATAAGTGAGAACATGCAATGTTTGGTTTTCTGTTTCTGTGTTAGTTTCCTGAGGATAACAGCTTCCAGCTCCATCCATATCCCTGCAAAGGACATTAACTTGTTCCTTTTTATGGCTGCGTAGTATTCCATGGTGTATATGTGCCATACTTTCTTTATCCAGTCTATCATTGATGAGCATTTAGGTTGAGTCTGTGTCTTTGCTATTGTGAATAGTGCTACAATGA
Organism: Homo sapiens; assembly: GCF_000001405.40. Classification (NCBI taxonomy): domain Eukaryota; kingdom Metazoa; phylum Chordata; class Mammalia; order Primates; family Hominidae; genus Homo; species Homo sapiens. The sequence goes on along the minus strand of NC_000003.12, from coordinate 45,857,076 downwards.
ATACACACATGCATGTATCTTTATCATAGAATGATTTCTATTCCATTGGGTATATACCCAGTAGTGGGATTGCTGGGTCAAATGGTATTTCTCATTCTACATCTTTGACGAATTGCCACACTGTCTTCCACAATGATTGAACTAATTTCCACTCCAACCAAAGTGTAAAAGTGTTCCTATTTCTCCACAGCCTTGCCAGCATCTGTTGTTTCTTCACTTTTTAATAATCACCATTCTGACTGGCATGAGATGGTATCTCATTGTGGTTTTGATTTGCATTTCTCTACCAATCAGTGATGTTGAGTTTTTTTCATGTTTGTTGGCTGCATAAATGTCTTCTTTTGAGACGTGTCTGTTCATGTCTTTTGCCCACTTTTTAAGGTTTTTTTTCTTGTAAATGTATTTAAGTTCCTTGTAGATTTTGGATATTAGACCTTTGTTAGATGGATCGATTGAAAACATTTTCTCCCATCTTGTAGGTTGTCTGTTCACTCTGATGATAGTTTCTTTTCTTTTGTGCAGAAGCTCTTTAATTATGTCCCATTTGTCAATTTTTGCTTTTGTTGTGGTTGCTTTTGATGTTTTTGTCATGAAATCTTTGCCTGTGCTTAGGTCCTGAATGGTATTGCCTAGATTTTCTGCTAGAGTTTTTATAGTTTTGGGTTTTACATTTAAGTCTTTAATCCATCTTGAGTTAATTTTTGTATAAGGTGTAAGGAAGGGATTCAGTTTCAATTTTCTGCATATGGCTAGCCAGTTTTCTCAGCACATTTATTAAATAGGGAATCCTTTCTCCATTGCTTGTTTTTATCAGGTTTGTTAAAGATCAGATGGTTGTATATGTGCAGTCTTATTTCTGAGATCTCTGTTCTGTTCCATTGGTTGATGTGTCTGGTTTTGTACCAGTACCATGCTGTTTTGGTTACTGTAGCCTTGTAGTATAGTTTGAAAGCCTCCAGCTTTGTTCTTTTTGCCTAGGATTGTCTTGGCTATATGGGCTCTTTTTTGGTTCTATATGAATTAAAAAATTTTTTTTCTAATTCTGTGAAGCATGTCAATTGTAGTTTAATGGGAATAGCATTGAATCTATAAATTACTTTGGACAGTATGGCCATTTTCAGAGTATTGATTCTTCCTATCCATAAGCATGGAATATTTTTTCATTTGTTTGTGTCCTCTCTGATTTCCTTGAGCAGTGGTTTGTAGCTCTCCTTGAAAAGGTCCTTCACTTCCCTTGTTTTCTGTATTCCTAGGTATTTTATTTTCTTTGTAGCAATTGCGAATGGGAATTCATTCATGATTTGGCTGTCTGTCTATTTGTGGTGTATAGGAATGTTTGTGATTTTTGCACATTGATTTTGTATCCTGAGACTTTGCTGAAGTTGCTTATCAGCTTAAGAAGCCTTTGGGATGAGACTGTGGGGTTTTCTAGATATAGGATCATGTCATGTGCAAACAGAGACAGTTTGACTTCCTCTGTTCCTATTTGAATACCCTTCTCTTGCCTGATTGTCCTGTCCAGGACTTCCAATACTATGTTGAATAAGGGTGGTGAGAGAGGGCATCCTTGTTTTGTGCCAGTTTTCAAGGGGAACAGTTTCAGCTTTTGCCCATTCAGTATGATACTGGCTGTGGATTTGTCATAAATGGCTGTTATTATTTTGAGGTACATTCCATCAATACCTAGTTTATTGAGAGTTTTTAACATGAAGAGATGTTGAATTTTATTGAAGGCCTTTTCCGCCTCTATTGAGATAATCATGTGGGTTTTGTCTTTAGTTCTGTTTATGTGATGGATTACACTTATTGATTTGCATATGTTGAACCAGCCTTGCATCATGGGGATGAAGCCGACTTGATTGTGGTGGATAAGCTTTTTGATGTGCTGCTGGATTCGGTTTGCCAGTATTTTATTGAGGATTTTTGCATTGATGTTCATCATATCCCTTTGATGTTTTTAAGATACAACTTATAATTTTTAACTCGAACTCTCATTTTCTAGGGAAGGCAGAGAAAATCCATCAAGTTGTACCCTACCCACCCTTTGGTGACTTTTCCAAGAAGCTGGGCTAAGTTCCAGGAGAAAGCTCTGTAAGTTGACAAGCGCATCTGACATATTATAATTATGTTTTGGTGGTGGTTGTTCCTGTTTTTTTATTGTTATTCCAGATTAGATGAATGGGACAAGGAGAGTAGCTCTTAGCATAAAGAAGGGAATGGTGATGATTTTGAGTTATTTCAGATGTAATCCTAGGATGTGCTGGAAGCAGCAGGAGAGAGAGGAGAACTCATAAGCAACTCTGAATCATCTCATTGGCAGATAGTGATAAAATGGTTGGTGGTAGAATGAGACCAAGACACACTGATGGATTATGAGTTCTCTTTAGATGTGTTGAATGTAAATAGTTTTTGAGAATCCCACTTGGAGAATACCTGTAAGCGCCTGCAAATATAAATTGGGAATGCAAATGAGAAGTGTGGTTGGGGATGCAGATTTTTTTTTTTTTTTTTGAGACAGAGTTTCGCTCTTGTTGCCCAGGCTAGAGTGCAATGGCACCATCTCGGCTCATCGCAACCTCCGCCTTCCAGGTTCAAGCGATTCTCCTGCCTCAGCCTCCTGAATAGCTGTGATTACAGGCATGCACCACTACACCTGGCTAATTTTGTATTTTTAGTAGAGACGGGATTCCTCCTTGTTGGTCAGGCTGGTCTCGAACTCCTGACCTCAGGTGATCTGCCTGCCTCGGCCTCCCAATGTGCTGGGATCACAGGTGTGAACCACCGCACCTGGCCAGAGATGCAGATTTGATGGTCATCCTCAGATGCAACAGATGAAACCCTGGGAATGAATGGAATTACACAGCCAAGGTTGATACATGGTAAAACAAAGCAGCTGAGGAGAATTTTCAAGGGATACCAATGTTCAGGGGTGTGTAGCAGAGGAGCCAAACATGGACAGCAAGAAACCACAGAAAGGAGAGGGCAGAGTAGCAAAAGCCCAGGAAACTGTAAAGGAGGAGGTGTCCATAGTGTAAAATGGTGCAGACCTGAGACAAGGCATTCAATCTGGCAGCCATCAGCTCATTTGATGGCTTTTGAGAAGTCTGTTTCAGTAGGGAGGAGGAGAAGAAAGCCAAAATGCAGAGCGAATGACAGGTGAAGTGCAAGAAGTCAATAGAGGCCACTCTCTGGAGAAGTTTAGCAATAAAGAGGAGAAGTTAGGGCAGCTGACTATAGAAAAGGTGTGGACAAAGAAAGGGTTGGTTTAGCATTGTTTATGGATTATCATTGTTTATGGTTTGTCATTGTTTTCTTTTTTAATGTGGAGGAGACTTGAGAATGACTTTAAACTGAGGAAGGATCAAAGAAAAGGGAAGAAAATGAAGATATAGAGCCAAAAAGAAAAATCTTAAGGGATAATTGATGGAGCTTGGTCCTAGCAGAGGTAGAAGGGCTTAGATGAGAATGGGATCTAGTTAACCCTGGACAAGAGTTCTTGCGAATCAGTAGAGCAAGAAGAGAAGAAAATACATGGGTGTCCTAGAGGAAAAGATGAGAGCTTAGAATCTTTTTGTAGCCCCATGACACTTATTACACATTTAATAATTTTGCTCTCTATATCTGTGAAAAGAGTAAATAGTAAACCACGAATGATAATCATTGCTCTCAAAGTAAGTCACACCAAAATTTCTATGCACCTTGCCCCAAAAAAAGATGTTTCCCCTAGTGTAGCAAGAAAGTGAACCTAATGTTCATAATATTCCTACATGATATAACTTTGTGTCCCTCAAAAAATATATGGTGACTTTCTGTTTAATTTTGCTATTAAATATCTGAATGGGACCTGCCCAGTACATCTAATTCAAATCAAAGAAATTTTGACAGGACTTTACCAAAACCAAGCATGCCTGCTCAAAGAAAGCTCATGAAAAGGGTTATGAAACAATTAATCGACCACAGGTAAAGCCCTTCCATCTGTTCCACCTACCCCACCTTCAGTGTGAAAGGCCTCGGTCTCTTCAGCCATCTGGAGAAAAAAAGAAGAAAAAGCTAAAAATAGTGGGCTGCAACCAAAATGAAAGTATCTAAATGTTGGTAACAGTGTTTGAAGAGGAAAGGGCATGTTCCTTTGAGTGGTTTCCAATCTAGGTCTCATGGCCTGAAATGTCTGCCTAACTTCTGATTTAAAGAGAACAGAAATAAATACTGGCTCTTAGAAAGAAGGTGCCTTGATTGGGGTGAGCACATAAAACAATGGAAAAAGTGACAAAAGCTGCTTTTGTCTTACCTTTTGTTTTCTCTTTTCATTATTAAACTGTAAAAGTAATGCCTGTCTGCTTAAGAAATAAATTCAAGTTACAGACATATATAAAGTAGGGATCAACCACCTCCCATCCCTACTGCCACTCTAGCACCTCTTCCCACATTTTGATGTGAGGAATTTATTGCTTTACCTTTCCAAATTTGCATGTATGTGTGTTTATAAAAATGGGATCTTACTATTCTCCAACTTGACTTTTTTTCTTTTCACTATATACTATGGAAATTTTTCCATGTCCGTGCACATGGATTCTTCCTTGTTCTTTTGACGGCTACAGAAAACTACTCTTTTATTGCTCCATAATTCATTTAGTCAGTCCCCCATAAGAGGATCATTTAAACTATCTCAAGACTTTTTACCACAGAAAAAGCTGCTGTAAACATCTCTGTACATACATCTTTGTGGTCTTGTTGTTTCTTAAATAAATTCTTAGAAGTGAAGGCAAATTGCTGGCTTAAAGGGTGTGTACCTTTTCAGTTTTGATGACAATTTCCAGACTGTCCTCCAAAAAATGTCATACTAGCTTATCCTCCTATCAACAGTTTTTAAGAGTGCCTTTTTCCTCATGCCCCAGACACTACTGAGTGTTAATACTCTTTAAATATTTCCTTGCTTATAGATAAAGGTACTTTCTTTGAGCAGAAGGTTAGGGATATTAAGGGAACTTCCCTTCTAGAAAAGTAGCAGGAGGATCATATGTTAAGATTTAAGAGAAGGGAGGGAGATGAACGTGTCAGGACTAGGAATGCTTTAGGAGATAGCCACTTGGGTGGAGTGGAGCAGGAGCTGACCCACAATGTCCAGGCATCTAAAAAGCCCAGAGAAAATTGGGGAAAAAATGTCAAAAAGTTTTTATGAAGTCAATATAGTTAGTTATGTGACTTCTCTAGTTTGGGAACAAGAACAAAAAAAAAATGAGAGACAGGGTCACCCAGGCTGGAGTGCAGTGGTGTGATCATGGCTCACTTCAGCCTTCACTTCCTAGGCTCAAGCCATCCTCCCGCGTCAGCCTCCCAAAGTGTTGGGATTACAAGTGTGAGCCACCGCACCTGGCTGGGAAAAATTTAAGGTTGGAATCCATCAGTATATTAAAATTGAGTGGTCTGGTGAGAAATAGAAACTTCTCATAGTTAAATGATTGCACAAAGGTTTGACTTGAGACCAAAGAGAAATGAGTCAAAGAGAAGGACTGATGGGCTAGAAGAAAATAGAAGTTTCGAAGATCACAGCTGGCCAGGCACGGTGGCTCACTCTTCTAATCCCAGCACTTTGGGAGGCCGAGGCGGGCGGATCATGAGGTCAGGAGTTTGAGACCAGCCTGGCCAACACAGTGAAACCCTGTCTCTACTAAAAGTACAAAACTGAGCTGGGCGTGGTGGCAGGTGCCTGTAATCCCAGCTACTCAGGAGGCTGATGCAGGAGAATCGCTTGAACCCAGGAGGCGGAGGTTGCAGTGAGCCGAGATCATGCCACTGCACTCCAGCCTGGGTGACAAAACTAGACTCCATCTCAAAAAAAAAAAAAAAAAAATCACAGCTAAATCACAATCAAGTTAGAGGCAAGGTTTAAGGGGAGTGAGAGAGTTAGAGCAGTGGTCAGAGAGTTGGTGATGATTAGCGAGAAGCATTTCCGAGTTCAAAATTTCAACAAGGCGTGGAACAGCTGCTGGCTATGATGGGGTGTGGGGAGCAGACAGGTCCTGAAGTGAATTGGAGCTGAAGGTTTCTGAAGAACAGCAGGTAAAGCCATGACAAAGGGGTGCTATGTGGGTCATGTATCAGGGATGGCAAGATAGGGTGGAGCCATTCTGCAGGTCACCTGCAGAAATCCCAAGGCCTGATTGAGTATGCTTGAATGAGTGAATGTTCTGGATGCTGAAGGGTTGATGGAGAAGAGGGAGCAGCAGAGCAAGAAACAAGAGCTTCATTGAGGGAGGGCTGGTTGAGCGGCTGGCTTCACTCAAGGGTCAGGAGGTGACTGTGAAGGACGCACAGACTACCAGCCACCCATAGGTACAGGTGTTGGGAGGGAGAGGGTGGAGAGAAGGAAGCTTCCTCTTTGGTAAGGAGTGTTTGAGGAAAAAGCTGATGATCTCAGGACATCAAGAAATATATTGTGAATCCCACAAGGCAGTCACTGGAAGCTGGAGAGGAAAAGTGTTGATTAGGATTTCTATCAGGCAATTTGGGGACACTGAAATGATTGAATGTGAATCAAGGGAATTAGGAATCAGGGCATCCGAGAATGGATAAAAGGAAGGAATGGTCCACATGGAGCTTCCCAGTGAAGGTGTACTGGTGCCTCTCCATGGTGGTGCTGCGGGGAGGAGGTGTGAGAGTGAGACCATCAAGTCCCTCCATTCTGCAGGGAGTGGGGAGACTGTGTATCTGGCTGGTAGCCTCTGCATACTCATGCATGTCCTTCCATCGACTCACTACATGACCTTGTAAAAGTTACCTACATTCACTTAGCCTCCATTCTCTCTTCACAAATAAGAGTAATCATAGTATGCATCTCATGAGGCTGTTTGAGGATTAAACATAGCATGTTAGACATGAAACATGTATTACTGGAACACAGTAAATATGCAATCAATTAAACTATAATTACTCACATTGTAGAAGGTTTTAAAATATATATCCATTTTGAAGGGGAAAGTTTTCAAAATATTGTAAATTCTAAGTAACAAATACAATGGGCACATGGAAAAATCTCTCAACACACAAATAGAACCTTCTTATGTGGACACGACAGCGATCCTAGTAAAAACAACTATCTCCATGGTTTTCACGGCTTCTCTTACACAAAATCAAGTATAGAAATTCATACATTAAATCTCTTAAAATGCAAATTTTTTCTGCCTTATATATGCAGATATTTAAGTTCATGTTGTCTTCTGGTTTATATTCAGTCTCACTATTTTAAAATAAAACCAAATTATATCACATAAGAACAACTGGGAACCATTTATCTTCAATTCTATACACGAAAAGTATCAGTTCTGTGTATGTTAGCTGTTCAAAGTTATTCTCCACAGTCTTTTTTGTGGATGATTTAATGAAGACATTCTTACCACGTTTCTGCTATCCCTGTACTTGGGTTAGTTTTGCAGGCTGACCGGGTGGAAGTCAGATAAATTCCCTCCATTCCTAGAAAGACATTCTCCAATTAGCTTAACACTAGTCCCTTAGATTGGTGTCTTAGCTTCAATGGTAGCACTAGACCAGATATGTAACTTTTCTTTATATCACCCTGGGTTTTAGTGTGTTCAGTTATTTTTTTCCCTGCCCAGGTCATTCATTTCCTGCTTAATATTTTTAGCAAAGCAGTGACATTTTGGCAATATTGACTTCTAAAAGTAAAAGCTCATCTAACATTTAATCTCTTAGCGTTTGTAAGGAGTCCACATGCTGGGCTGTTTCAGGTATTGGTGCCCGTGTTTGCTATGTTCCCTCTGTCCTTTCTGCCTTGCTTCTCCCAGGCTAACATTTGCTAATCCCTGAAGGTTCAATTCAGGGATTTTCCTCAAAGCTTTCCCTGAAACCCTAAATTGAGCTAAGTGCCCCTTGCCTGGTTTCCTAAAAGGTGATCACATTATGTTGACATGACATGATCCTCTAATGGGTCCGTCTGTCCTGCTGGATGGTTAGCATCCTTGAGAGCAGGGACCTTACTTCATCTTTGTTCTCCCAACAACCGATAGACACTTTAGACACAGGGCCGATGGCCTATAAAAATGTTTGAAATCAGAAATACACAGTTGCACCTGAACAACATTGGTTTGAACTGTGTAGGTCTACTTATACATGGATATTTTTCAATTAATATATTGGAAAAATTTTTGGAGATTTTTGACTATTTGAAAAAACTCACGGAAATATCAAAAAATTCGGATTTTAATTAATGCATAAAATATATGTAAAGGTTGGTCTATTTTATAATTCACTACCCTAAAATATACACAAATCTATTACAAAAATATAAAATTTATCAAAACTTATGAACAGAAACACTTAGAGACCACATGGCACCATTCACAGCAGAGAGAAATGTAAACAAACATAAAGATGCAGTATTAAATCATAACTGCATACAATTAACTGTAGTACACTTTGTACTAATGTAATAATTTTGTAGCCACCTCTTGTTGCTAGTGCAATGAGCTCAAGTGTTTCAAGTATCAGCTTAAAATAGCTATGAGGCTAATTATCTCCACCTGAGCAGTTCATCTCTCCAGTAAATTATGTGTCATAGTAAAAAAGTGATTTCCAGCAGTTCTTGCATATTTTGTGTGTAGCGCAATACTGTAAGCCTTAAATAACATCATGGGATCCATACAAAGTGTCACTAATGATGCTGGAAGTACTCCCAGTAAGCAAAGTCATGATATTACAAGAAAAAGTTGAATTACTTGATATGTACCATAGATTTAGGTCTGCAGCTGCAGCTGCCCTCCAGCATAAGGACCATTGTAAAAAAGAAGAAAAGGAAATTCATGAAGGCGTCACTGCATCTACTCAAGCTGCTGCAAAAACCTTGTACTTTTGGTGAACTACCTTTTTATCTTGTATTAAAAATGCAGCTTTTATGTGGGTATAGGATTGCTCTAAGAAAGGCATCTCTAATATAGTTTGAGAAAAAGTGAAGTCATATATGAAAACTTAAAGAAAAAGGAAGATGAAGGATCTAAAGCCAGAGAATTTAGTGCCAGCAAAGGATGGGTCGATAATTTTAGAAAGAGGTTTGGCTTTAAAAATATCTTAGTTGGCAGCTTCTGCCAACTAAGAGGCAGTAGGTGAGTTTCAAGACACCACTAAGAAAAGTATTGAAGAGAAAGGATAGCTGCCTAAACAGGTTTTTAATGCAGATGAAAATGCCCCATTCTGGGAAAAAAGATACCACAAAGGACATTTATTCATAAAGAAGAGAAATGAGCACCAAAATGTAATAGGAAAGGATTATCTAACTCCAATGTTTTGTGCAAATGCAGTGAGGTTTATGATCAGGTCTGCTCTTGTCTATAAAGCTGCAATCTCTGAGCCTTGAAGGAAAAAGGTGAACACCAGCTGCCAATCTTTTGGTTGTACAAGAAGACCTGGACAACAAGCACCCTTATTCTGGATTAGTTCCATCAATGCTTTTGTCCATGAAGTCAGGAGGTACTTTTCCAGTAAGGGACTGACTTTTAAAGTTTTCTTTTTATATTGGACAATGCCCCTGGCTACCCAAAACCCCATGAGTTCCATGTCAAAGGTGTTGAAGTGGTCTACTTGCCCCCAAACACAATGTCTATAATTCAGCCTCTAGATCGGGGGTCATAAGGACCTTTAAGGCTCATTGCACATGGTTCTTTATGGAAAGGATTGTCAATGCTGTGGAGGAGAACCCCAGCGGAGACAACATCATGGAGGTCTGGAAAGATTACACACCACTGCAGATGTCATCTTTGCTACAGGAAAAGCCATGAAAGCCATCAACCCTGAAACAATAGCTGGAGAAAACTGTGTCTGGATGTTGTGCATCAGCCAAACAAGGAAACCATGAAAGAGATTGTAGATATGCAAAATAAGAACAGGGGCAAAGGGTTTCAAGGTGTGAATCTTGGAGAAAGATTCAAGAGCTAATAGACACCACACCAGAGGAATTAGCTGAACACAAGTTGATGGAGATAAGTGCTTCCGAACCAGTGCCAAATAATGAGAAAGATGTAGAAGTAGTGCCAGAAAACACATTGACATTAGACAATCTGGAAGAATGGTTTCAATTATTCAAGACTGATTTTGACTTCTTTTATGACATGGACCCTTCTATTATGCAGGCACTGAAACATGCAAATGGCGGAAGAAGGACTGGTACCACGTAGAAACATTTTTAGATAAACAAAAAAGAAAAAGTCAGACAGAAATTATGCATTTCCATAAAGTTACACCGAGTGTGCCTTTCTCTCCTGACTCCCCTTCCACCTCCTCCAACTCTTTCTCCTCTGCCACCCGAGACAGCAAGACCAACCTCTCCTCTTCCTCCTCCTCCTCAACCTATTCAAAATGAAGACTTTTATATTATCCACTTCCACTTAATGAATAGTAAATATATTTTCTCTTCCTTATGATTTTCTAGTATTTTCTTTTCTCTAGCTTACTTTATGGAAATAATATAGTATATAATACATATAATGCATAATGTATGCTCATGAACTATTTATGTTATTGGTAAGGCTTCCAGTCAACAGCAGTCTATTAGTAGTTCAGTTTTGGGGGAGTCAAAAGTTATATGTGGATTTTTGACTGTGCATGGGGTCAGCACCATTATCCCTTGTGTTGTTCAAGGAGCAACTGTAAATGCTTGGGCTCAAAATATTAAAAGAAACCACAAAATATAAATTAGTAATTGTTTTATGGAATGTCTTCAAAGTGTAGCATTAAGTCAAAGTAGAACTCAAACAGTAGTTATATAAAAACATAAGGGTTAAGTCATGAGAACTAAATAATTCATTCTCAAAAACTCCTAAAAGTTATATAAATCACCTCAAAGTTACATTTAACATGGGAAACAGGGATAGCTGAATATGTCTGCTGCCTTATGATATGCTTTCCAAGAGAGGGCATGTCCAGGGCCAAAAGCAACCCACAAACACAGTATCTGGAACCCAGTAGGAACTCACAAATGTTTGTTGAGATGTTCCTGTTTATCTCCAATTTAATTCTGCAAGCATAGCTCAGAGCTTCTTATAGCCCAGCCATACTATGTTATTATATAATAAATATTTCTTCCTTCAAGGAGCTTGCAACATAGTAGTTGGGAAGACAAACTCATATAAGCTGGCTAAAAATGACATTTCCGTTTGAGTTCACTTTATTTTTCATATTTTATTTATCCATCCCATTGAGAAAACTTCCAGTCATGAACACAGCTATTCATGACACAGCTATTCAGCTCTTCCAATAGGACTACACAGCCCCAGCTTTGTAGGCAAAACTTTCTGAGCAAATTTAATTTTTTGTTTACATTTTCTATGATGAAATGCAATTGGTGAACACCCTTACATTGCCAGAAGTCCATGGAAACATTTAGTGAAGACCACAGATCTAGGAAGACCCACATTTCTGAATAAGACACTCTTAAAGGTGCTCCATCCTTGTATAAGCTGTCAGTATATCTCTTTTTGTAGTTTGCCACTTGTAATAATAATAAATGTACATCTCTGGACACTTCTACTGCAGCACCTGATGAAAATTCTGGTTCCCTGTCCAAGACAACTCTCAATTTCACAATCATCACACTCATCCCCAACTTTTCCACACTCCTGTTAAAACCTAGCCCAAATTCCACTGCCTTCTGGAAGACTTTTCTGAATCTCTCCTCTCCAGCCTCAACAGAAGTGAACTATCTCGCACCCTCTCTGAACTACCCTACTACTTACTGTCTACTTTGAAATTATTCTGCAAGCTTGAATTCTCCCTTCACTTGATTATAAGGCCATTTTTGAAAGAGACCAATCCCATCTTGTTCATTATTCCCTTCCCCATTGTGTCTTGCGAGTATCCAGATTTCCATTAACAGCTGCTGAATATACAGACTGAGCTTGTGGGTTTAACTGAAATGTATATGCATAAGGGAGTATGGAAAGAGGAGCTGGTGCGTATCATCATCTTTACAATCAATTTTTCTTGTACTTTACAAGAAGGTATTCCCCACAACCAATTCTTAAAATTTTTTGAGGTAGACTTCTCATTTTGATGGTTTCGGTGTTTGTTCCCTTTGGGGTGTTGTTAATGCATTGAGATTATCAGTGAAACTAATCTATCATTTGGGCTAAGTAATTGCCAACATCCACACATTCTTAGAGGGAGTTGTATTTTATGGTGAACCACTTCCTTGCTTGACCTGCTTTAATGCATGTGATAGTGATTTCACTAATCTAGTTTGTCAGCACTCTCCAATACCCTGCTGGTCACTAGGGTGTTTTGAAAGCAACTGAAAATAGCCTCTTGCCTACTTCAGGCCTACTCAAATGCATATCTCCTGTAAAGAGCCCTGTAATCTGGGCCCTTCTCTTCTATAAGGTCTTGGCTACTTTCTCAGCAGCCAAGGTGGGGCAAGATGGGGAAGTTGAAGAGAACTTGTATGGTAGAACTTCATGCAAGAAGCCATGCTGCAAAGATCCTGTCTTCTTAAGAATAATGTCCTAAAATAATTTCCCCTATTTTCCACCTACTACCAGTTCAATATTTATCAAACTTTTCTCTTTCCCATATAACCTTTCAGATTTTTACATTTTCTGTGTATCACCTATTTTTTTTTTACTTAATCATTTTCTTCATTTCCTCTTTCTACTTAAGTAAAGCCTCACCTTAGTCCCCCTGCATCCCCCCAAAATTTATAGTGCAGGGGCAGCTGGGGCTTTCTGAGTCCCTCCACTTCTTCCCTCAGATTTTCCCCTCAGATTTTTTCCTCAGACTCACTATCATGGCCACAGAACCTTGCACACAACAGGGGTTCTGTAAATAGTGGCAGAATGAGTGAATCTGTTGGCATCCCTGAGGAGGCCATGATCAGCTTTCCATTCCTCCTTTTGCCAAGTCTAGGTTGCAAACACCCTGAAACTGGTGGTCTTAGTATGATGACTGGGAACTTATAAAGTCATAAGTCTCATTTCATAATAATATAAAAAGAATTTATCTTCATTTTATTTATGTTGAACTCTGCTAAAAGGTAAAAAATGGACTTGTGTGCCTCCCTCCAAATTTACACACACACATACACTCACACATACACACATTTTAAAAAACTGTCACAGCAATTAAAATAAATAAAAACAGAGCCTAAGAAGATCACTAGTAAAGTAGGATGGAGCTGTTCTCCCTCACGGCTCGAATTGTTTGCTTTGGTGACCAACCCGCACTAGTAAACAACCTGAAGTACAAGTTCAGCCTTTTCATGAGCCAAATTCATCACTTTTGAGACTAAAATTCATGTTCAGATTTGCTGACACTATTTAGACAGCTTATGTAACAACACTCAACTCTGTTGGGTAGATTGGCTAATGGTGATTAACCTCCTTGGTATAGAAGATTTTAGATTAAAGCAGAATTTTAAATTACAATAACTAGCTGATGGAGTTTTGCAGAACAAATTTTAAAATCCCCAAGCCACAAATGTAATATTTGCATTATACACACGCTCCTTTCATTCCCTTGAATTGATAACACTTCGCAATCACAAGATTTGGCCTGGGAGAAAATAAACGAGCTTTTCAGCAGTGCAAGCTGATGACCAACTTTGTTTACTGATCAGTCATAAAAGTTTTTATGAACTTCATCTCGCACCCACAACACCTTGTAAAGTGACCCTCTCACTATGTGAACACAACGAATGTCTACAGAGGAAAGAACCACGTATTATGAGGATTAACTACTGGAATGGAATGTGTCTATTAATAGCTCATAGTAGGCACTAAATAATGGCAACCAAATTCAACAACACTCACTAAACAGAAATGGGGAGGTGGGATGGTAAAGGGGAAGTTTAACTGAGCTTGGAAGGGGTTAATATTCAGGGTTGAGAGAATCTGCCCTTAGGAATCTTTCAAGAAGACAGGGATCCTGCCCAAATGCCATTGCAGTGCCAAGGGTAGGGAGCCTAGCCAAAGCTGAAGTTGGGCATACCCACGCCACTGCCTTCAGGCCATCATTCCGTGCATTGGAATGCTCCAGGTGACACACAGGAGAACCTTGTTTACTGTTCTTGACCCAAGGCTTGAGATCCTTCTGTGGGCAAATGCCTGCACATCACCTCTGTATCATGTGAGTGAAGGACTCTGAGTCCCTGGTATTTGCAATAATCGATCTCATCCTACACTTGTCCTTCCAAGCCAGTGTTTCTAAGAGTGGTCCTGATCTGTGATCACTCCTGGAACATCGGTTAAAAAGTGCAGATCCCAAGGACCCAAGCTAGACTTGTGAATCAGAATTTCTGGAGATAAGGCCCAGGAATTTGTTCAACAAGCTTCCATAGTAGTTCCAGGCATATGGAACCTTTTGAAATTCACTGCTCTCGGAGAAAACCCATGCTTTTTGCATTTTTTTTAAATGGAAAAATGTTGCTAGAGACTTTTAGCTGGAAATATAAGAGAAGATAATAACAACACAGTAATAATAATGGGCGGAGTCATGGGGAGGGGTCGTTTGAAGCTCTATTTGAGAACCTGCTGGCATTGGTGTTGTTGGCCTGTCTCAGCCACCCTGATGCTCAGGTAGGAACTCCTGAAAAAAAAAAATGTCTGGGCCGCGCCCTATGAGACCATTGAAAGGTCTGGGATGTCCATTCATCCTTGGGGTCACCTATGCCACAGGAAGTTCTGGACAAGAACTTCCCAACAATCCATAAGCGGACGCCACGAGGCGCGAAGCGCGTTGGTGGCCACACGCAACTCCAGGCAGCCCAACCCTCCCGCTACCTTCTGCAACTGCAGTCAGCTCCCAAAAGTGAACTGGCACAAAAAGGTGGGACTTCCGGCCCTGGAAGCCAATGCGCATGTGGCAGTCAACCGGTTACGCAATACTTCCTGTCGCGTGATCCTGAGGACCAATGAAAATGCATAATTGCAGTCCACGTGCCTCGGTTTCCGTTAGCAACCAGAGGCTTCTAAACAACCTACCCTCCTTCCCCATTTTCTGTGGTCCAACTACCCTCGGCGATCCCAGGCTTGGCGGGGCACCGCCTGGCCTCTCCCGTTCCTTTAGGCTGCCGCCGCTGCCTGCCGCCATGGTGAGTAACCGACCCTCAGGCGCCGCACCGCGCACAGGAGAGAGCGCGGCCGGGGCTGGAGACACTGAGCGGGTGGGCCCGGAATGATTACGTGGCCTCGTTGGGTCTGGCCGCACCTCAGCCTCCCTGAGAAGGGGAGCTGCGCCGGGCGCGAGAGATTCGGTTAACCGCAGCCCAAG
This sequence comes from Homo sapiens, assembly GCF_000001405.40. Taxonomy (NCBI): domain Eukaryota; kingdom Metazoa; phylum Chordata; class Mammalia; order Primates; family Hominidae; genus Homo; species Homo sapiens. The sequence goes on along the minus strand of NC_000003.12, from coordinate 45,841,809 downwards.
CCCTTCTGGGGTAATCCTGGGTGAAGCCTTTTCCCAGCAGCCCAGCTCCGCCGCATCGCTTCGTTTCTCTCCTGCCTGCGGGGGCTGGAGCCAAGGCACAACTCTTAGGTGGCAGGTGAGGAGAGATAGAGGAAACTGCTGCCGGCCTAAGGTGCACGGCAGGGTTCTTAACTCTATTTCAAGAAGCTCCAAGTTTACGCACACACACACATTAACACATACGCAGGGTTCTCACTCAGTTTCAGGAAGCTCTAAGGTTTACACAGACACACGCGCGCGCGCGGTAACCAGAGGAGCAGGGAGAACGAATCCAGCTTTCTGTGTGATTGAAATCCAACTTTCTGATGTGGAGGTGACTTTAAGAATCCCAGCACCCCGTATTACAGCTGAGGAATTTGGGTGACATTTCCTTTGTTTTGGCTTGCTCAAAAAATATCATTAATCCCTCCAGCGAATATAGCATGCCATCTTAAATACCAGTCATACTTAGAACAGTGCACAGCACTGAAATGTTCAGGAAAACGGATGAAACCAGGGTTGAGAGCACCACCTGAAATAGCTACTGAAATACTTCAGCAACCAGAATTTCTATTTAGTCCACACTGTGTTCCAAGCGCTGTCTGGGAGCTGAGAAGACACCTGTGAGCTAAACAGATTGCTCCCTCCCCTTCTTGAGTTTAGAGCCTCTCCACTCATTCTCTTGATTTCCCTAAAATATCAGGAGAACACGTTGAAAACAAATCACAAAAAAATTGGTATCTCTTCCTGTTCTATCTTCTGTCATTCCTTTCCATCAGTTAACAACTGAGGCTTTGGAATCAGGCTCAGGTTCTTCATTAGTAAATTGCAGATAATAACTACACAAGACTGTTAATATGATAAGTAAGATAATGCGTGTAAACAGTGCAGTACCTGTGAAAATATTAAGCATTCAGTATCTGATAGGTATTATTAAACTGTGCTCATTTTTATCATTACAGTTTCCTCCTTGTACTTATCTTAAATTGTATATGGATTTGTGGGCATGGTTAAGAACAGGGAACCCTTTCTGGTACCTTACCCATTTCTCTTCTATCCCCTTCCCCCTAAACACACATACACAATTTGTGGTACAATTTCAAGACACTAGCTTGGCAATGCTCTGGCAGGATTTCTTGCTGTATGTTTTCAGCTCTTTTTATTATTATTTTAACGGAATATTTCTACAATAAAATTCAAACAAATTCTGACTTCCCCACTTGGATACCTCCCATTGTTTCTAACCATTTTAGGACTGATCATCATATCTACCTCTCATTTAGCAGATAGTAAAACTAATGTCATTGGGGTTAAGTGACTTGGTAACAGACTGTTACCAAGGTAGATAGTTGCATAGCTAGACCTAAACCTGGTTTCTAATCCAGTGCTTTGTCTATTATACCACATATCTACCTATTCCATTTCCTCTCTAATGATTTGACATAGATACATATAGTATATGTGTGGAAGTAAAGGTTTGTGAATAGCCGTTTCCTAGGCTGATGCTATTTTTCCTTTTGAACTCAGCTGTCCACTTTTACCCCCTTTCTTCATTCCAATCCATTTTAAAGGAACTTTTCTGTCATTTACCCTTCTCAGTTTGAGTAATTTTTCCTTCTTGGTCCTGGGACAGTCTTAACTTTCCTTGAAAGGAGGGAAAGGAATGAACAGATAGGAATTGGCCACCTGCTGGCACAAGGCACTATGCTAGGTGTTGTGCATTATAAGAAATGGTTCATGCCCTCATAGAGTTTACAATCTACTTGGAAGAGCAAGACCTGAAAAAAAAGATAATCAATAATACGAGGTAGTAATCAGCCTGTGACGGTACCAAAGAAGTAGCAGAGATTATATATGCTAGGTTTTGGAGGAAGGCATACCTATAGAGTTACTGAGGGCATATTGGGAGATGGCACAGAGTAGGTGAAACAGGTTAGGCCATGAAGGGTGGGTAGGAATTCAGTGATGTGGTGGAGCATGTGTGTACTGGCTGGTGAGATCCAATTGTATGCATTTCTTCTTACCTCTTCATTCAGTGACATTATATTGGTGGCTTGAAATCAGCCATGATGGAAGTATTTATGCCATGGAAATCAGCAGTGCTACAAATCAGGCCCCCCTACCTAGAAAACCTGCTGTTAAATATTTACCATCATACCACTGGGTAGGATTCAGATTCTCAAATAGGAATGGAGAGATACTTTAGGATCAGAGTAACATGAGTGAAAGTCAAGGCAGGAAATTTTAAGTCATGTTTCAGGACTGATGAGCAGACTAGTGTGGCTAAAGTAGAGTGTTCATTTAGTAGAATCCTGGGAAACAGGGTAAGAGAGTTTGGGAGGTTTTGGGAGAGCAAAGAGTGTAAATGTAATACTATAGACAGTGAATAATTATTAAGAATCTGGGCCGGGCGTGGTGGCTCACCTCTGTAATCCCAGCACTTTGGGAGGCCGAGGCAGGTGGATCACGAGGTCAGGAGATCGAGACCATCCTGGCTGACACGGTGAAACCCCGTCTCTACTAAAAATACAAGTAATGAGTCAGGCGTGGTGGTGGGCGCCTGTGGTCCCAGCTACTCGGGAGCCTGAGGCAGGAGAATGGCATGAACCCAGGAGGCGGAACTTGCAGTGAGCCGAGATTGCGCCACTGCACTCCAGCCTGGGTGAAAGAGCGAGACTCCGTCTCTAAAAAAAAAGAATCTGTATTTATGCTTTGTTTTTAGCAAATTGTGACATTGTTTTGTGATATTTCTAAATTGTGGGATATTCTTGCCCATACTAATGTGTGACTATCAGAGATAATATTGTCTCTAATGTAGGTAGTCAATTATTTTTAGTGTGTAATAGAAATCTGTCTTGTTATTCACAACTCAAGTGCATATATGACTGTAACCTGTTGTACTTGAGTACCTTAGAGATTTCCCTTTTGCTTCCCTTCAACTCTTGCTATCTCCATTCTATCCTCCAGACCTTAAAGACTTATGCCACCTAAACTGCTTTGTAAATCTCATCAGCAGCTTAATTACAAATCCAACTAACATGGCTGATGCCTTGCTCTTAGCTGACTGCTGACCTGCTCTGTTATTTGGGTGCTAGCCCTACCTCCATGGGCTTGCCTCTTAAATATTTGTCAAGCTGTCATCTGGTTTAAAGTACAGACCAGTTAGTGGTTCTTTCCAAATCAAATATACTTGTTAAAGCTGTATTTAATGGGGTAAGGGTTAAGCTGCTATAACAGAGTTGCTGTTTTTTGCTGTAAGGTTAAGTGGCTTGAAGAATACAGAAGTTTATTTCGCTCTCACTTAACAGCCATCTCACTGCTCATCTCAGTTCAGTGAGAGGGTCAGTGCCTCTCCATGAGGTAGAGACGTGGGGCCCTTTCATCTTGCGGCTCCCCCAGCCTCTAGGGCATTGATGTTGTCTGCATGATTCAGTCAAGTCGCCACCTCTTCCAGGTTTCAGAGAAACAGGGAGGGGCAGAGGTACACCCCATATCTTAAGACCAGGTCTTTGGAAGTAGACCACAACATTCATTGCTGAGAAGTAGTCAGCAGTGACTTGATTGCAAGGAGGGCAAGGAAGTGTCATCTAGGTGGGCAGCCATGCAGCCAGGAAGAAGGGAAGAATAGAATTTGATGGAGATCTAGCAGTCTCGACCACAGGATATCTTATGCATTTTCATTGTTGGCTCTTTGATCAGATCTTCAAAACTAACAATTAAATTACCTCTTTCTTTTTCAGGCAGAGTTGGGCCTAAATGAGCACCATCAAAATGAAGTTATTAATTATATGCGTTTTGCTCGTTCAAAGAGAGGCTTGAGACTCAAAACTGTAGATTCCTGCTTCCAAGACCTCAAGGAGAGCAGGTATCAGAGGAGGACTCTAAGCAAACCAAATAGGAACATGGATTCTTTCTGGTAGCCAGTATGGGGGTGCCATAGCAGAGGCCAGACAATTTCTGGGATTCATCATGATCAATTATTTGCTAAGAGCAGCTACACTAAGCCTCATGGATACAGGAAACAAAAGAAGTTGTATTGTGGTGAAAGCAATGAATCTATTGTCAGAAATGCATGTGATAATTGTAGGATAATTGTAGGATGGCAGAGTTTGAGAAGGAAGTTGCCAAGGGTTTGTGGATTAATGATTGGCTTGTTGTATTGAAGATTCCAGAACTTTAATTACTTGAGTTATTAATTAAATGGTTAGAGCTATAAGACATGGCAATTAGTGAGAAAACACTTCTGTGTTTCATACTGAATAATTAGTAGAGAGGAAAACAGCAGGAAATCATAATGCTGACTAGTACCAAAATTGTTAGTTGATTTCTAGCATGAGATGATAATGGTTGGACCGTAGCTGATTTGTAGCAAGAGATGAATGTCAAGTCAGATATAAGTGAAAAAGACCTCCAAGTGAGCTCCAGCTGCCATAAACTCATGAATGTCTCAGTATTAGAGGCCATCAGCCTTAGACCATTCAGTCCATTAAACTCATCTGGTAATCTGGTTTCCTATCCCCCAGCAGATGAAAGCAACAATTTAATTGGCGAGAACATATGTTCTATTGAAGAATATAGAAAGATTATTAATATTTTAATAAGGATTTATATTTAAAAAGTTGTGGTTTTTTGAGAATGACTAAATTCTGCTGGCTAGATGAAACATTAAAGAATTATAAAACAAATACTATTAACTTGAGTTTAACTATGATAATGCTTTAGTGTAACTGGGTCTTGCTTGATGATGTCTTTTTGGAAGTAGGGAAGAAAATAAAGCTGAGGTTGCGGTAGCTGCTCTTCATCTGCTGAGAATCTGAGGGAGAAGGGACTTTGGAGGGTAGAGGTAGGGAGAGGAGAGGACTGTGTTACTGTGATACTGTCATTGAAACTGGAAGGCACACACAGAAGCTTTTTCAAGGATTTAGCTGTTGGGCATGAATCCTTTGCCCAGAATCATTGCTGAAGATGATTGTGGGGTTTAGTCACCACCAATGTAACCATAGGCAAGTCATCTCCACTCTTCAAACCTGTGTTCCTATCTGTAAAGTTAGGGGATTGTAGAAGATGGCACCAAAGTTCTCTTCCAACCCAAGCATTCTCTATGTAAGAGTAGTTTTGTTTTTTTGTTTGTTTTTTTGAGACGGAGTCTCACTTTGTCGCCCAGGCTGGAGTGCGGTGGCATGATGTCGGCTCACTGCAACCTCCACCTTCTGGTTACAAGCGATTCTCCTGCCTCAGCCTCCTAAGTAGCTAAGATTAAGGCACGTGCCACCACACCCAGGTAATTTTTTGTATTTTTAATAGAGAAGAGTTTTTGCTGTGTTGGCCAGATTGGTCTCGAACTCCTGACCTCAAGTGATCCACCTGCCTCTGCCTCCCAAAGTGCTGGGATTACAGGCATGAGCTACCATGCCTGGCCCTGAGAGTAGATTTCTAATGCTATTGTTGATGATGATATTCATTTTTGTGGAGTGTTCAGTAGAACTTTAAGATAAGCTAGTTTTTATTATTATTATTATTTTGGGTCTCAAGAATGCAAAGAGAAGCAATATATATAATTACCATTTATTTCCCATAGACGTTTACTAACCTGTGAATAGTTCATACAGTTATTAAAATGTTAGAGAAATATTAGAAAGAAATGAGACTATGCCTTCCGGGTGACTTTTGAAATTATTAAATGTAATAAGACTGATTTCAGTGGAGTTTGAAATAAGACATTTAATACTAAAAAGTTAAAAAAGTAGATGATGGTTTTGGGAATGTGTTTGAGCATTTACTTGTATTAAAGGATGTGCACAATTTAATCATTTGAATAGATGTCAAAAATTAATTGAGTTTAAATTATTTTCAATGTTTATTAATAAAGAAGATAGTTCCCAGAGAGATTTTCACTGTAATCTTTGAATTTCTTAGATTACATGAATGTGGGTTTCTTAATTTTGCTGTATTTTGTAGATTTTTCTTGTTGTTTTTCTATAAGTTTTGGATCATGGTTGTTTTTCAGGCTGGTGGAGGACACCTTCACCATAGATGAAGTCTCTGAAGTCCTCAATGGATTACAAGCTGTGGTTCATAGTGAGGTGGAATCTGAGCTCATCAACACTGCCTATACCAATGTGTTACTTCTGCGACAGCTGTTTGCACAAGCTGAGAAGTGGTATCTTAAGCTACAGACAGACATCTCTGAACTTGAAAACCGGTAATAAAATTTGAACTTGCAACTGTGACAATAATGGCCCAAGCATAATCTTAAAAGTTAGTGAACATCTTTGGCTGCATATTTTCTTGGGGCTAGTGTGTGAGGAAATTTGGGTAGGGTAACAGCAAAGCATTGAGTCACTGAGTGATCTCTTGGGTACCACTAAGCACCCTTTTAAAAGTTCTCTGTTTCTACTGTTCCTAGGTATTACAAAGGCCATCGAGATTTATGAAATTGCTTTTCAGGCTATCATTAATTATTTCTTACAGCATTTTTGTTAGCTTGGTCAGTATTACCATCAGTCTTTATAGATTGGTCAACTAAGAAATAGAGATTATGAGACAGTTGAAAAGTCAATTCAAATATAATAAATACCATCAATTCAATCCAGTAGCATTGGAAGTTTTCTAAATAATGGAATTTAAAAGTATACATTTATTAACTTTGAAATAGGAAATATACAAAAAAGCTTATAATATGGACATCTAAGAGCTCAAATTCAAAAAATATGGTAAAATTGGTGAAGTTGAAACTCATTTTAAGAAAAAGCATGCCAGAAATCAGGAAGGACTGACCGCCAAGCCCCGTGAACTACTCTAAGCACAGTCACAGCACATCAGTTCACATGCAGAGTGTTGAACAACGCTGAGGACAACCTATGAGCTGGGGAGGAAAATCATTGAACTTCTGCCACTGTCAGTAGATGACTGGTGAGAAAACTCTGAGAAGGTGGTGCTTTAAGAAGCTTAGAAGCTGACTGCTGTTAACACTCTAAGCTTGTGTGTAGTCACTTCTCATTGGCCTTTGCAAATCTTCAGATGGCACACCCCCACTATCTGTCTTTCCTAGGAATTTGTGGTACTCTTTTTCAGTAGATACTATGGACTATTTTCATTTTTCTGAGACTACTTTATTAAGAATCTTTTTTGAACACCTACTAGCTAACAATACACATTATGTAATAAAACAGTCTCCTCATAGCACCTCAAGAATACAAAGTTGACTATAAATTTTCCTCATATTTGTATTAACATTATGGTTTATTTCTAGCAGTAGATATTGCATACCTAGTAGATACAAAATGCCAGGTACTGTGGATGATTACATTTGAGTCCATGTGGTTTAGGTTCTCAACCATTTGCAACTAACATTTTTGATATGGTGAAGTTTGGTCCATCTTGCTCTGTTCTCTCTGGCATGTAATGGGTTGGTACCAGTGATTTTACTCTTCTTGCGTGTGATATAAATCTATTTTAAATGAATAATTTTTATCTTTGCTTTCTTCTTCAAGAGAATTATTAGAACAAGTTGCAGAATTTGAAAAAGCAGAGATTACATCTTCAAACAAAAAGGTAACTTTTTGGTCATTCTAAATCCATATCTTAATAGCCAGTATTTAAAATCCTCAAGTTGCTCAAAGAATTCAGAGATCAAAACTGAGAACTCTTAAGGAAAAGCATTCAATTCAAGAGTAAAATTCAGAAATTGTCTATCATATTTTCAGGCAAAAGAAAAAATGTTTTGGAAGTAACTGTGAAAAACTGCTTTTGTCTGTGATGGCTTACACATACACATGATCCCTAAGTTCAGTCTCAATCCCACTCATAAATACTCTACTCAGAAGATTCAGAGCGCAGGCTGTAGGGTCAGCCACACCTGGGTATACATCCTGGCTCTGTCACTTCCTGGCTGTGTTACCTTGAGCAGGTTATCTGAGGTAGCTGAGCTTCATTTTACTCATCTGACAAATGGAGACAATACTAGTAGTTATCTACCTCTCTTTCTAATCATTCTCATTAATTGGAGTGGCCACTTACCATTCCACTTCACGGGCACACCGTAAATACTCCATTGTTGGATAAATACTGCTGAGATGAATCTATGTACATACACATGCAAAATACTTTCCAGTTATTCCTTTGGGTCATATTTATGGCTAAGAAATTTCTGGATCAGAGGGCATGAATTATTTTATTTTTAATATATATTACTAAACTACTATATTATTTGTGCCAAGTTATTGTTTATCTGTATTATACTTGCCTAGATCTTCATCAATATTATTGTTTTTCACAGAGTCTAAGGTTCATGTAGAAATCACTGTTTCAGCTCCCACAGGCTAAAATTCTAGTTGCTAGATGCTAGGCTCTATATCAGATCTGGCTTTGAGCTCCTTCCGTCCCTCCTTTCTTCCCTCATTTTCCTTCTATCTATATATTTTTAAAAGATACAGGGAAGATAGGTTTTATTTTTGTCTCTAACATGTATGGGGCACTGTAGGACAGGCATATCCTAGGCACTGGGAGTAACAAAGGATGAAACCAACAGAAATCTCCACACCTGTGGAACTGACATCGCAGTGAATATGTTTATATATAGTATCTTCCACTTGCAAAGTGCAAGTGTTCAATGATTATACATGCTTTATTCTGTGGTGATTTCAGTTTGGTTTCTTTATTTTGTTTCAGCCCATCTTAGATGTCACAAAGCCAAAACTTGCTCCACTTAATGAAGGTGGAACAGCAGAACTCCTAAACAAGGTAATATTATTATTTTGAGAAACGGAAAGTCTCTCATTCTGTCCTGTCATTGCCTAGGGTGGAGAAACAGAAGTGGAAGGTTTGTTTCAGGTCCTCTGAGGATAATTAGTCCATTGCAGTAGTTTTACTTGATGGTACCCCATGGGCCAGAAGAGGGCATACTTAACCTTCTAGAGAGCCTGAAGTAGCTCCTGATCACACCTTTTCAAGGTAAAGTGAAGAGCATGAAATTTTGGACAGCGTTTATTGATGGACATTTAAAGTTTGTGATCTGCGGTAACAAGGAGAAGGGTTTTTAAGTTTATAAAAATTATTTATCAATTAGCCGGGTGTGGTGGTACGTGCCTATAGTCAGAGCTACTCGGGAGGCTGAGGCAGGAGAATTGCTTGAACCCGGGAGGTAGAGGTTGCAGTGAGCTGAGATCACGCCACTGCACTCTAGCCTGGGCGACAGAGCGAGACTCCATCTCAAAAAAAAAAAAAAATTATTTATCAGCACAGGTTGAGTATCCCTTATCCTTGGGACTAGAAGTGTTTTGGATTTCAGATTTTTGAATATTTGCATTATACAGACCCCAGTTGAGCATCCCAAATCCAAAAATCTGAAATCTGAAATGCTCCAATGAGCAGTTTCTTTGAGCATCATGTCAGCACTCAGAAAGTTTCTGATGTTGAAGCATTTCAGATTTCAGCTATTTTTCATGACCCTTGTATTCTCAACATTATGCTAGATGTTGTTAGAAATAAAAAGCAGTGTAATACCTGCTCCCTTGCCCTCAAAAATGTAATAGTTTGGGTTTTTTATTGTTGTTTGTTGGTTTGTTTTTTTGAGACAGAGTCTTGCTCTGTCGCCCAGGCTGGAGTGCGGTGGCGTGATCTAGGCTCACTCCAAGCTCCACCTCCCGGGTTCACGCCATTCTCCTGCCTCAGCCTCCGAGTAGCGCCTGCCACCACGCCCGGCTAATTTTTTGTATTTTTAGTAGAGATGGGGTTTCACCATGTTAGCCAGGTTGGTCTTGATCTCCTGATCTTGTGATACGCCCGCCTCGGCCTTCCAAAGTGCTGGGATTACAGGTGTGAGCCACCGTGCCCGGCCAAAAATGTAATAGTTTTATTGGGAAAGTAGAACTGATGTTCTAGAAATAGAGACCAGAGAATATTCTCCTGTGTGCTACAGGTGTCATACTGGGTAGCAGAGAAGACTCAGTTGTGTGTGGATAACAGTAGGTGAGAACAGGCTCTTGGGTAAAGGGGTACCTAAGCTGGGCCTTGAAGGATGAAGACCAGTTAAATTGTAGAGGAAAGAGAAGTGAGTGTGTTGGGCAGGAGAACAGAACAGGCAGTGGTCAGACAGGAGGCGGCATGACTTGAAACAGAGTGCAGTGCCCTCTGACTGGGCTGATGTGTTTATTTGAGTCTACTGAAAAATAACACAGATGATTCAAATGTTTGAGCTGTATAAGAACAAAAGTGTTTGGCCTCACCTCAGTCAGAAGCATCTGTGGGCTTGAGCATGGTACTGAAGTGAAGGAGTTCTCAGGATAAGGGGCAACAGTGTGCAGTGTAGGCTGAGAATAGACCCAGGATTTGCAGGACCAGCTAGGAGAAAGTTGGCAGGGAAGCGGGTCTTTGGAAAAAAATTTGAAAACAGAAAACAGAGGACTGAAAGAGGGAAGATGTGTCTGAGAAACTGAAAGAAAAGAAACTAGATGTCTTAGATCCAAAGCTGACTCACAGATACTGAGGCTGATAGGCTGGATGAAATTGGGATATTACCAAAATATCAGTAGTACATTTTTGAGCTATTATGTAATTTAAATTTAAAAATTAGATTTTTAAGTGAAACAAGTAATAATTTCAAATATTAAAATATTTTGGTTAATATAATAAAATTTGAATTTACTCACAAAGGAAATTTTAAGACTTCAAGAAGAGAATGAGAAATTGAAGTCAAGGTTGAAGACCATTGAAATACAGGTAACTGAGAAATGTTTTGACACAATTATTGAACTGCCTACAGATTAAATACTGAAAGTGTTTTGTTTAAACTTCACTATAGGCTACAAATGCACTGGATGAAAAGTCAAAACTAGAAAAAGCACTGCAAGATTTACAGCTTGATCAAGGAAATCAAAAGGTGAAACAAGTTTTAGCTACCTTTCTCACATTTTCTAAGTAGAATGAAGTTATAAACTTAAAATTAAGTCTTAGTTACTGCTCACTGTACCCCACCCCTGCTACTCCCTGAGACAAATGCCTCTATTGTCATGTGTTGGGACATTCTTGCCCCCAAAAGGCCTGGTGAGAACCAGTGACCTTCCCTCTGTCCATCCTCTAGGGCAGAGGGGACAGTACATAGCTCACACACCTGCAGTTTCCCTGGCATGCAAGATATTCTCACATTTATTTTTTAAGTTTTTCTACAATCTTCCTGGTATGCAAGATATTCTCACTTTTTTTTTTTAAGTTTCCCCTCTCACTTTGACATCCAATTACAGTGGAGGGGAAAGAAAATGAAAAGAAAAGTTTTTAATTGGTTTATATTTGGGTTTTATTATACTGAACATTACTTAAGTTTGCCTTTGATGAGTGTGACAAAATGATTATGAATCTGCAGATGCGTCTGTACCCGCCGGCACCATAGAGTACAATGAAATCCAGTGTTGTAGTTCTTCATGCTTGTCTGAATGTAATGACTGAATGTCACTCCGCCTGCGGGAAGTCATTGTATGTACAGTCTGTCTCCTGTGGACTTTCTGTTGAGTGTGCATGCTGCAGTATGATTTCCTGTGAGCAGGACCATTTGGGTAGATATTCAGTACAGCATTGGCTTTTCTAGTGGTCATACTCTCATTGCAAATGTCTGGTAAACAAACCCAAAATCTGCTTCACTGGGCTTTTGCTAATCTTTTCTCTATGAAAAATTTCAAACATACACAAAAGTAGAGAGAATAGTATAATGAACCCCCATGCACTCTTCACTCTATTTAGCAGTTACCAATGCATGGCCAGTCTGGTTTCATTTGTACCTCTACTTTCTTCTTCCCACCAGCCATGTTTTTTTGAAGCAAATCTCAGACGTTGAACCATTTTATCTGTAGATATTTTTAAAATAGGAGGATACTTCTTATATAGCTAATGATTTTCAACCATTATATGCCAATGACAATAGATTTATAAAAACACGAATGTTCCAGAACCGCTTTATAATTTCTCCTAAGTCAAACAATTGCAAACACATGTGGCTGATGAATTTGTTTAAAAGCTTTTTGGGGCTTTGCTCCAATTTTACTTTAAGATTTTGGACACAAGAACAACCAGTGAATACGTGCTTTTATTAGTTGCAATGAAAATCTTTTTTTCAAAGACCAGATTTCAAAAATGAGGAAAGATTTTTTTTTTCTTCTGTTGAAAGTACTTTTTTTTTTTTTTTTTTTTTTTCTTTTGAGACAGGGCCTTATTCTGTTTCCCATGCTGGAGTGCGGTGGTGCAACCATGGCTCACTACAACCTTGACCTCACCGGCTCAAGCGATCCTCCCACCTCAGCCTCCCAAGTGGTTGGGACCACAGGCATGTGCCACCATGCCTGGCTAATTTTTTATATTTTTTGTAGAGACGGGGTCTTGCTCTGTTGCCCAGGCTGGTCTCAATTTCCTGGGCTCAAGTAGTCCTCCTCCCTTGGCCTCCTAAAGTATTGGAATTACAGGCGTGAGAGCCACTTGAAAGTACTAAGTATTTCTTCATCTACATATTAACCAATTGTAGACCATTTTACTGTCTTATCAGTACAAATGTTTTTTCTGTCATGAATCTTATCCAGTCAAAAACAAGATCCAGGAAGAGAGAAGATCCAGTGCCTGTCTTATGCTATAGTTGTCAAAGTATGCAAAAATTACACATATCTCATGAATATAAAAAACTTAAAATCTTAAAAATTTAGAAAACCATGTAATCAGTAATTGTGCTCTCATATTATTTCCTTGTAAATAATGACTAAAACATATGTCTATTAAGTTTTTGGTATAAATTATATTACTTTTATCATTTTTTCTATCATTTTGAAGAATTCAAACTTCTTTGAGGATTTTTTTAAATTTGGCTTTTCAAAATGAAACCTGTTTGCCATCTCAACCCTGGTACACACATCTTGGATGGAAATACCAGCAGTTCACAAATCATATTTTATGTATTTGGAATTCAGTGGCTACTGAGTGTCGGCTGTGTGCAAGACACCACGTACCCAGGGCTGACAATGGACTGGCCTGCTGGTGACTCTGAAGGGGCTGGCACTTACCTAGGCTGGCAAGGGAGGCTGGCATGCACACAAAACATACATCATTTTTTTCATCTCCTATGATGTTGAATCACCATTCTAAAACAGTTATTTTTAGAATATCAACATGAAATTACATGCATGCATTTATTTTTCATAGGATTTTATAAAGGCCCAAGACTTAAGTAACTTAGAAAACACTGTCGCTGCCTTAAAGAGTGAGTTTCAGAAGACACTTAATGACAAGACAGAAAACCAGAAGTCACTGGAGGAGAATCTGGCGACAGCCAAGCACGATCTACTCAGGGTTCAGGAGCAGCTGCACATGGCTGAAAAGGTCAGAAGACCATGTTTAAGGGATTTGTCTGTTAATGCATGATTAATGCACACAGTATAGAGGAATACATGTGGCTAAGATAAACGTTGGACAACTGCAAATTCAGATTATTTTTTCTCAAGGTATTAGCCAATATGTTCTAAAGATTAATCATTTCCGGGCACTGATATTCTTCCATCTTTGGTACTAAAATATCTGTGATAATAAGACATCTCCTCTCCCTCTATGGTGTAGTGAAATGCTCCTCTGTAGGTGGCTTGAATCCTGCCCTACATCCCACCATGTTGCTCTTCTGCTCCTTCTTCCCACAGCCTGCAGAGGGATGAGGGACTGTTTTTTTTAAGGACTTCTATACTTTTGTCATAATTTATATAAAATATGTAGAGAGCTAGATTCTTCACTTTGGGGATTAGACTCTTAAGAATATGGGAGTTGAGGCCGGGTGCAGTGGCTTGTGCCTGTAATCCCAGCACTTTGGGAGGCCAAGATGGCAGGATTGCTTGAGCCCAGGAGTTCAAGACCAGCCTGGCCAACATAGCAAGACCCCCATCTCTATAAAAAAATTAAAAATTTTTTCATATAAAAAATGGGAAAAAAGAATATGGGAGCTAAAATTTAACTAAATTAAAAATCATTTTGCTAAAATACACTACTATGGGACTTGGGAAAAAAGTGTGCTTATTTTACAGGAAAATTAGTTTAATATTTCAAATAGATTTATCATATCCAGGGCTTGAGTTATTTACCAACACTGTACTTGGGAAAATGTTACTATTTTATGGCTTCTCATTTGAAAGAATATATTTTTAAAGTTTGGATAGTCTTAGTTTTATATAAATGTGTCCTTTAAGGAAATTAGAAAATCATTAGCAAAATACTAGTAAAATTCAAGCAAAAAAAACTACATATTTTTATCGCATTTGTTATCTCTTTCCTTAACTATTTTTTTAGTAATGGGCTGACATTTTTTACTAAGCAGGAATTAGAAAAGAAATTTCAGCAAACAGCAGCTTATCGAAACATGAAAGAGATTCTTACCAAGAAGAATGACCAAATCAAAGATCTGAGGAAAAGACTGGCACAGTAAGCCACACTGATCCCGCCTTTGGATTTCTCTCTCTGGATTGATGTTTGTTCTCTGTTAAATCTAAGCTTGTTCCAGAGAGGTCAAGCCGGTGGTAGTTGCTGGATCATTTAGTCCAGAAGCCTTCATTTGAGGAAAGTGGAGGAGCTCTGGCCTGACCTTATCTATAATGCCCACCAGGGCTTCTTTTTAGGTTCATCTAGGCCTTTAGACTCACACAGGCCTACAGTAAGCTGCTCTTGGCAATGGATTCACTTAGCAGGATGTCAGACAGGAAACACAGCAAGCTCGCAGGGCAGCATTAGGTAGTTCTCTTCTCCTTGGTGGTATACTCTAAGCAGTCCAAGAACTGGTCTTACTGTTCCCCTAAATGACAGTTTAAGTTGGAGAGAATGAGATTCATGCAGATGGGTGTCATAGCCAGCTTGGCTTAGAAGTCCGTGTTCTACATAGGATTAGTATCTCTCTTAGCAGTCACATGATACCCAGTTAAGGGTATGTCCAGTTAAAAGAACTCATCGCACAGGGGGAAACCTAAAGTGGTGGCTCCCACCATGTATTTATAGTTCATTCATAGTCCTCCAGGTCCAGATGTGGTCATCAGATGTTTTGCCTGGAAACTGAGTTGACATTTTACCTTTATCAGAGTTCCAGGGGAGCAGAGCTAGAAAGGGAATTCAAGGTGAGATTTGTCCTTAGAGAAGTAGATTTGCTAGCCCTTTACTCATATAGTCGTATCAACTGTTCTTGTCAACATGATGATTGAGGTAATTATATGAAGTTATCACAGGTCTAAATGCCAAATATACAGACTTGGAGCCTTAGCAGTGATCTGGCCTATCCTCCTACCTGATGTAAAAATCCCCTCTGAGTCACCATCAAAACAAAGTTGAATGTGTCCAACTTCTACCGTAACAGTAATTTGAAGTGAGAAATATAGTGCCACTGCTTCAAGTAAACTTATTTGGTAATAACAACAACAAAAGGTATCCTGACATTGTGTTCTTAATTTATATCTCCAGATATGAACCTGAAGATTAAAACTGAAGATTTCCTCTGGAAGCTACCACATGCAAACATACAAGCAGTCTCACCTCAGGCATGTATTTTGAAAAGCATTTTGTCATATCCCCTCTCCTTATTTTTCTAATATTTAGACTTTGAATATTTAGAACTAGAGTTCCTATTTTCAGCTAGTTGAAAACAGAGAAAACCTAGTGATTCTGTCTGGTCATCCCACACACCTCTCTACTGAGTGCTCCAGAGTCTTAGCTCACATGCACTGAGAATTCTTTACAGCAAAGAAGAGATTTTTAGAGTGGGAAGAAGAGGCTTATCCTTCTGCATTAGTATAAAGAGTCTGTATTTTTAATAAATGTTAAATAAGCTAACAATGTTTGTACTTATGCATTCCCCATGGGTAAAAATAAATAATAGCATTGTTAAAGATAGTTATTACCAAAAAAAGAGAGTTATTACAAATAAATATGTCTCTTTATTTTTAAAAATGAAATCTTAATTCATTTACTCTATTTGATGATAAACTATAAATTCATTGAAAATGTGAATTCTATTATGGGTAGCCTTTTTACCAATTATAAGGAAAATTTACAGCAGTGAACATGAACATTCACTTAGCTTCCTCAGTCTCTCCATCTTAAAGATCATTTATCAGAGGAGGTTCAGCATTTTTTGCAGCATAACTTTTCATGAGTCTGTATTACTAATGGATAAGTCAAATCCATCCTGCACTTCTACAGTTTAGAAAGTATCTGGACTCAGAATAAATGTAATATTTATACTTGTTTCCAGAATGTTATTTTACATTTTATGTTCAATAAGAACACTTTTTAAAAGACGTATATTCAACATAAAATCAGCTATCAGACTTCAGATTAGACTTTATTTATGTGGGTCTATAATAATTGTATTTTCAAGAGGTTTTCACTATATTTGTATTGGCCTGGTTTTCTCAGACGATTTTGGACAAATCATTAGAAACTGGGCATCATATCCACAGTTATGTAAGGCAGTGATATACTATAAGGATAAACAAAGTCAAGTCCATAAAGCAATAATCCCTCAGAAGGAAAGTCCTTACTTTTCACATATTAATATTTAGTAATTTTTCCTGCTTCTAAAAGTGAGAGTATCACACCCTAAATGAACACTGTCTACTAAGAGACATCATTCCATTTCCACAAATGAAGATTTTATTCCAAGAAACGAGTTTACTGATTGGAGCATAGGGCTTGTTGTTATTTTTATTCAAGCTTTTAGTAATAGCCTTGAATTTATTATTTTTCTTATAGGCTTTTTGTTAAAATAGTGAAGGAACAAATGTTAAAGGGTAAGATAATTTCCCTGCAAAAGGACACAGAAGGCAGTCTTAAGAAGATGAATGGATGAGAGAAGGGAGAGAATAAAATGCAATAACGAGCCAGCATTTACTATGTATTTTCTCCTCACCTGTCTCTCCATATTTAGGTCACTTACCAGTTTCTGTGCCCTTTTGGAGCTTTTGTTGAGGGCTTCATTCTCACCCTGTATTTCTTTAGCCCTAAATTGACACTCTCTCCAAAAATCCATTCCATTGTCTGTGGACCAAGATGTTCTATGTAATTCAGAAGCAGAACTCTTGGCTAAAGGGCTAGTGTGGCCTTCAGAAACCATTCAATTATTTTCTCCCTACACCTTTGTCAGTTTGAAACCAGTGAGGAAAAAAGGTATGTTGATAAGAAACCTATATTGCTAGGTAGAATTTGTACTTGTTTTCTTGGTAGCAGTTTTGAAATATTCTGTACAGTACGTTCCTATTGTTTAATAATAAATTCAAAAATATTTCTAAAACCTTAAAACCAACTATGCCAAGCATTAAGATAAACAAATATGATGTTCTTTGACGTAAATCAACGTGATGATTCTTTCACATGTAAACACATTTTAGTGTTTCTGGTTTGTCATTTTTGTTGTTGTTGTTGTTGTTGTTATTTACTCTATACCCTTTAGCAAAATACAGTTTTAAATTTTTATTGTTTTTAGTAGTTTCCCAACTTTAAGACTTATCTAATTTAACTGAGAAAGAAAGCCTTTTTCATATATATATATATTGGATTTCTAAGGATGGTGGTTTGAGCCTTGATTAGACTTTTGATGTGCTAAGCCAGACAGGCAGTCTGTACATTGATGGCCATCACAATGCAGCTTTGGTTTAATTTAATTCAGGCCTGCTGCTGAGTTATGCACAGACTTTTTGTTGACCAAAATAAAATATAAAGGGTTTTCTTCTGTTTGACATTTGTGTTCATTTTTTCTCTTTATGTATTACATTTTAACCTATATTAAATAAATGTTTAAATGATAATTTGCTTATGTCTTATAAAACTCAGCATAAGAAAAATACTGCCCTACCTTGACTGTGTAATCTTATTTGATAAAGCCTTTGCTATTCATTATTTCCATTCTGATTAACTGAAAGAGATTTATAGAGATGCTCAAATTTTAAGCCCTTGGTGCTTTTAGATATATATTGGTTGCAAAAGTTTGGCATTAATGATTTCCCTCTGCTTATGTGTAAATGCCTATGTTCCAAAGCTTTGCCACTAGATATTCAAATCATAAATTGTCATGTAAGCCAGTCTTCCAGAAAGAAAAGCTATTTCAGCAAAATGATATTTCACATTTAGACAAAACAGTAGTATTTAGACAATAATATTTTGACAAAACCATTTTCAAAACTGCTTAGGAAAAAGGGGAAATATTATACTTAAAGGTAATGACCTCTGTCTTGAATAGAGGTGAGTGGGTTGGTGACAACTGGTTTGGAGGCTTTTGTGGGGGACTGTGGTGTCTTTTGGATTGTGTCATCAGCTCCTTCATCAAGTAAGCGTGTAGCTGTTATTGCCTATTGTAAAACATGAATTGATGTGAACAGTACTCAATCTCTTACATTATATGAAGTATAACTTCCTCTCTTTTTTGCCTATAATACATCCTTTAACTTTTACAGATTAAAAAACCACTGTTAGACAAAGCAAAATGGAACTTGGAAAATCCTTTATAGTTTTGTAAAATAACAATGGGCTTACTGTCAAATTAACTAACAGCTTATTAAATGGATTT
This sequence comes from Homo sapiens, assembly GCF_000001405.40. NCBI lineage: Eukaryota > Metazoa > Chordata > Mammalia > Primates > Hominidae > Homo > Homo sapiens. The sequence goes on along the minus strand of NC_000003.12, from coordinate 45,823,232 downwards.
TCATGAGCACTTGGAAAAGAAACATAACCACCAGGAGCCAGCATGGATCTCCCTAGTAAGAAATCAGGTATGGCAGGGCCAGTCGCGGTGTCTCATGACTGTAATTACAACGCTTTGGGAGTTCCAGGCAGGGGGATCGCTTGAGGCCAGTAAGTCAAAACGAGCCTGGCCAATATCGCAAGACCCCATCTCTACAAAAAATTTAAAAATTAGCTGCACATAGTGGCATGTGATCACATGATACGGCAGACTAAACTCGTTTGTCTTTTTTTTTTTTTTTTGAGACAAGAGTCTCACTCTGTTGCTCAGGCTTGAGTGCAGTGGCGTGATCTCAGCTCACTGCAAGCTTCACCTCCCAGGTTCAAGCCATTCTCCTGCCTCAGCTTCCCGAGTAGCTGGGACTACAGGCACCTGCCACCATGCCTGGCTAATTTTTTTGTATTTTTAGTAGAGACGGGGTTTCACCATATTAGCCAGGATGGTCTCGATCTCCTGACCTCATGATCCGCCCACCTTGGCCTCCCAAAGTGCTGGGATGACAGGCGTGAGCCACTGCGCCCGGCCTCATTTGTCTTTTTAAAAGCATGAGAGGTATAGTATGTCAGAATTTCAGCAAGGTGCTTGACAAAGACCTCATGATAGTCTTGTTGAAAAGAATCGTAGGTGGGTTTTCCCAAATGTAGACTATAGGATAAGGATTTGGGTGCAGGTAGTTTATTTGGGAAGTGATTTCAGGAAATCCCGCGGAAGACTGAGGAACTGAGACAGATCGAAAGAGTCACCACTATGGGCAACTGGGACCCAATCCTGCTGGGGACCCTCTGAGACATGGTACAGAAAACATCTCTGAATTATTACACTGAAGGACAAGGTAGCTGGGAATATTATCCACCACTTTCCATCCCTCACTGGTTGAGGTTAGAAATCTGAGGTATTAATTCCTTGCCATGTCCAGCCTGCCTGGATGTAGACCAAATTCCAGAGAATGCTCTCAGGCAAAGAGACTCCTCCAGAAGCCAAGCATGGGAACTGTCTGCTTGCAAACTCAGGAGTAGATGGGGAGTGACTGTTAATGGGTCCTGCATTTCATTTTGAGGGTATGAAATGTTCTGGAATTAGATAGTTGTAATAGTTGTACAACTTTGTGACTATACTAAAAATCACTGAATTGTATACTTTAAAATGATAAATTTTATACGTAAGTTATATCTCAATTAAAAGAAAAGAAAACCTCTGGGAATAGATGAAGGGGATATGTTGAAGTAATCACCAGCATCTCCAGCCATCCACTCCGCTCTACTGTACCACCTGGTGTCCCATGTTAAGTTCACTTTCTCTCGAGGATAATGGTTGGTCACAATATTTTTAAAACAATGAATACAAAAAGGAAAACATCAACGAAAAGCTTAGTGGGACAGGCTGTAGTCCTCTCTGTTGCATATTGGTCCTGAAGCCATAATTAACATTTATCATCTCCCTCTTCTACTTATTCTAGATTCCCCTCACCCTCAACCAGCACTTTTGCTGGTCAGCATGGCTGGCCTCATGAGATGACCTAGACTTTCCTTTCTTAGATGTCTGAGCCCCTGATCATTTTGCCCCTGTCCTGCTGTATTTGTGAAATTTCCCATTTATTGTTACCCCCACATATCACCAAGAGGTACCCCTACACTACAGCCTGAACCATAGAGAGGTACAAAGCCCTCCTAACTGTGTACTCAAAACTTGCAGCCTTCTGAGTGACCCAAGAAATGGTCAGAGCAATATTCCTAAGTGTTGTACATGCTGACTTCAGAATCCAGATAATACTACCTAGTGCTTACCTCTCTTAGTAGTAGAAGGTACAAAATGCAATAACTGGCTCTTGACTTGGCAGGATGTCCCAGTATTCCCTAGATTGTTGGACCTCTGACCTCTGAATCTTTGTAGGAATTACCTCCTTCTCTCTGGTGCATGTGTCATAAGGAACACTCAGATTATTTGCCAGTTCATTCCTGTTCACTAGGTCCAGTTAACATTTTGTCATCAAAGTATTGGACCAGGATGATGTTCTACAGAATGTCACGATGATCAAGGACTTCTTTGGACAGTTTTGTAACAGAGCAGGAGGGTTTATATGCTCCTGGAGCAAAACTTTGAGTGTACACTGTGTTATCTGACCCAGGTGAATTCAACCTGTTCTTGATTCTCTTTTCTGAAGGGGATTTAAAAGAATTCATTAACCAAATCTCCAGCCTCATATCAAGTGCTGACTCGAAGGGATGCTACATCCAGCACAGCAGCTGCTATTGGAGCTACTTCTTGGTTTATGTTAGTCCACTGTCATCTTCCACTTTTGCTCTGTTTTGCTTTGCAGGAACCATTCAATGGGATATTGTGGGGATCACTGTCAATACTCCTGGGATGTTGCCCCTGATTTTGACCAGGAGTGGGGAGGGGGTGGGATGGAGAGAGCATTTTGGAGCATTAAATAAGCCTTTTCTACCATTATGGCTCTTATCCCTCAGGTCAAGAAACCAATTTTGGGGTCTCTCAGTTAAGTGCACTCATCCCATTTATCCTCTCAGAAACAAGGGAGATCAGGGGATTGACCCACAGGCCTACTGGATCTGCCCTGAGATAGCCTTGGGTCAGAACTTTATAGATTGCCTATCTTATATGTCCCACTCTAACAAGAGGGCTGTGGTGGTGCTTTAGATCCCCTGGGTATGTCACTCAGGCCCTATGTTGAGTAGCTCTTGAAAGATGTGTATATTCTGCTTTCTCAGCATACAGTTACTCTGAAAAATGGCCATGGGGCTCTTTGGGAAAGATTTGAGACAGTGTGTATTATTTAAGATTGCTATAGTGCTGCAGGGCTCCTCCTCAGGAGACCCAGACTCTCCTTCAATCCATGGGCTCTGGAACTGAGAACTGACTAGGTCTGGTAACTATGAGAGATCAGGATTTTCCACTGTGGTGGCTGACATCAGTCTTTTACTCATCAGCTGTTTGGTTGGTTGGCTTGGTTTTATAACAGTAACTTCATTGACTGCCCATTCACCTCACCTCTAGGAGCGCCGTAATCTATTAGCCACTGGTCCTTGGCTCCCTGGTTGTTCTTCTGGCCTTACGGCCCATTAGGTTACTGTATTCATTTTATTCCTCTAATGTCTGAGTGCAGCCATTAGTTTTTTGTTCTGGAATCCTTCCTATCATAGGAGGCCCAGTTATGTGCCAGCATCTTCTGTTGTCAGTTCTAGCCAACAGAAGACAGCCACCACTGAGCTTCTCAACAATGTTAATGTCCCCTTACCAATGCAGTCTTTATTGTTTCAGTGAAGGAAATACCCCTGCCCATGGGTGGGCTCTCTCGCCTTATATCCATTCTAGCATGTCATCCCTCTGAGCCTTCTGAACCCTCCTCAGCACTCTTGTTAAGCAGTTGTGGAATCTCCACCTCGTTTTTGGCATACCATCATCCTCAAGCACCAAGGCCCATTGCAGCAGTGTATTAGGACTGGCTCCATGTGTTCTTACAAACATGCCAAATCCTGAGTCACAGAAGACAGTCTATGTCAATAAACTCTTCCTTATCCAACTTCTTTTCTACTTCCCACTAGGCCAGCATCCTCAAGATCCATAACCATACATGTTCTTCCAGTTTCTGCCAGTCCAGGTTCTGTTCTTTTGGGGGACTAATCCATTTCTTCTCAAAGCAGGATAATATTTCTCTGCATAGGGCATGCTGATATTCAGCCCTATTTATTGGTTTAGAAGTAATGAGTGGAAGTAGGGACCGATCCTGAGGAAGACCAAGGTTATCTTGCCAGTCTCCTTTCAAGAGAGGCCTTGGAATGGCTTCCAGGTGATAGGAGGCTACCCTCCTCTAGCAAGGGGGAGTGAGCCACTTCTTCTAGACCCAAGGGTTCAGAAGAATCTGGGATATCAAGGTCGTTGAGGGCATTTGCCCAAATGGGCCCCTCATATCTCAGAGTCACATTCCTTCCCAATCAGGGCCCTGACTTAAGCAAAGGAGACTTTCCGGGCATGTGAATTTGGTCTCCTTTGAATCTGCATCACTGCTGTAATCCAATCATGGGCCGGATTCTCAGTACATTCTGGCTTCTGCACATAGGAGATGTGGGTTCTTTTAAATAGAGACCTGGGGGCTTTCTAGTTGTCAGGGCATCTCTTCAGGTAATAGTTGGCTAATCAGAGACTGTCTTCTCTTCTTTCATTCCAATCCATACCCAGGTGAGAGTGTTGGTAACTAACCCAGTAGTGTGACAGGGTTTATCACCACTACACTTACTACTAGCAGTGGGATCCTGTTGTCATCTGGCTGGCATCAAGTCCAGTGTCTCATCCTGAGGCCACTTTCTAGGGCCATTTCTGGCACCAGATGTTTTATTTCAGCTCCCCCAAAAGCAAAACCCTGAGGCAGGGATCTTGGTTGAAGTGGGGAGGGGATCCCAGAAAGTGGGGTGAGGGTACGGAGGCATGAGGTAGGAAAGGGAAGAAAGGAGATAAAATGTGTGTTAATGAGCAGGTTAGCACTGTGGACCACCACGCTCAATCCCACTGAGACGTGAGGAAGCTGGGAATGTATCCACCAGGCCTTAATTTATCAAGATGAGGATTACTCCTGAGATGTTAACTCCTTGTTGTTGGACCTAGGCTGAACATGCTTCCGTAGCCAAGAAAGGGCTTCAGGTGAAGAGACACAGAGAACCTTCTGCAGGCCACATTCCAGGCTGGGATAAGGGGAATTGGGTGTGACATCAATAGCATCTCATCCCACAGTGAACTAAGAAGATAGAAGAGCAAATGCAAGGAATATTTGCATGCTTTCAATACTTACTCATCAAAGGGTCGACTCGACTTAGAAGAAATTACAAATCCTGCTTACCATTTTCAGCCCAGTATGCTCACGTGGCCAAGCCACAGCTGCCTTTAAATAGTAACAACTCTGAAAAAAAAAAGAACATCCCTGGACTGAGTGCCTGGAGCAGAGCCCGTCATTATGACTCAAGTATCACAGGTGCTCAATCCAAACACTTGTGAAATTGACTTCTGTTTCCTGGCCAAGTACTGCTTAAGCCATGAAAAACCTTAGTGGTTAGGTTGTAAAAGAAATCAGATATTACCTATAAAGTAATTTCCTAACACTAAAATTTCTCCATATAAATAACCCAAACTTCTTTAAAATCAGACATTAAAAACCTTTAATACAAAATATAATTTCCTGCCTTCTTAAGCAGTGAGTCATAAGCATAATCTTATCTTTTCCTGATGACTCAAAGTCATTATTACAAGTGTCAATTATTGTCCTGCACTGCAGTGCCCTCAGGGCTGCTGAGGTGTGGAGCTGTTTGCCCTTTTAATAAGTGATTTATAAGCACTGTTTTTTTAAACTGCTGCATCTACGTTTTATGGTTTATGCGTGTTCTTTCCTTTTAGGCTGGTAGCTAACATTGGTTTTGTTTGGTTTGCCAATCTCTTGCCATTTTCCAAGGTGGGCTTGGAAAATAAATGGAGCCATTTATTAGGATTGTACGTAGCTTCAGGATGAGGGCTTAAGGGACTCTGTGTGTGAAGAGCATAGGCTTTGTGGCATCTTTGCTGCTCCAAGACCTTTTTAGATTGCTTTATAAGAGAATGTTAGTCTTCCAGATTACCAGCTTTGTTTCAAATAGTTGGGGTTTCCAGGTAAATAATTTTGAATAAATGAGATTGTGAGCCTTTTATTTATTTCTCTTGCCTTATTGCACTGGCTAGGACCTCTAGTACAATGTTGAATAGAAAAGATAGCATCTTTGCTTCATGCCCAGTCTCAGGGAGAACACTTTAAATATTTCACCAATAAGAATAATGCTTGCAGGCTGGGCACAGTAGCTCACGCCTGTAATCCCAGCACTTTGGGAGGCCAAGATGGGCAAATTACCTGAAGTCAGGAGTTCAAGACCAGCCTGGTCAACATGGTAAAACTCCATCTCTACTAAAAATACAAAAAATTAGCCAGGCGTGGTGGTGCACGCCTGTAGTCCCAGCTACTCAGGACGCTGAGCAGGAGAATAGCTTGAACCTGGGAGGCAGACGTTGCAGTGAGCCGAGATCGCACCACTGCACTCCAGCCTGGGCAACAGAGCAAGACTGTTCTCAGAAAAAAAAAAAAAAAAAAAAAAGAATAATGCTTGCTATATTCGGTGTCAAATTAAGGAAGTTCTTTTTTATTCCTAGTTTGCTAGAAAAGCTTAAACTATAAATGGGTGTTGAATTTTGCCAAATGCCTTTTCTGCATCTGTTGAGATGATATAATTTTTCTCTTTTTTCTGTTAATGTTGTGAATGATATTTAATTTCTTACTGTTAAACTATCCTTAGAGGCCTGAAACATACTCCACTTGGTTGTTGCATCAGGTGCTGTAGAGAACGGTTCCATCCTGGCCCAGATGCTGTACAGGCAAGGGTTGAGCCACAGTTATTAATAGTCTAGGTCTTGGCAAAATGCCTCATGATTCTCCCAGAACAGGGAGGATGGGAAGCTTGTGAGGAGTTGCCCCGAGGCCAGCTCCTCTTGCCTCCCTGTCTTTCCTGCGAGGGTTTTGATGAGATTCTGAAGAGCTCAGAATAGACCTGCAGAATGCAAAACCACTTAGCTGCAGTCTAGGCTTGGCTCCCCAGCAACAAAGTATCCCACAACTCCTGTTGCAGTCATCCTGCCCCTTTTGAGTAGGTGTTGTCCTTTTTGGAGTGTGAGAGAAGGACCGAGGAACCTAGCACCTTTGGCTGACCCACTTCCTTTCCCTGTCTATGTAAGTAATCAACTGCCTGAAATTAAAAGCAGCTCATATCATTACCATCTGACTTGGCCTTGCCTTTGCTGCCACTGTGTGCAGATTATTCCTAATCTCCATTCAGGAATAAAGGGACTATGGCCCCAGCCACTGGAAGACCTGCTAGCAGCTGGCCCTTCATTGTCTGCCATTTGAGCACTGCCCAGCTGAAGAGAACCACCTTGCCCAAGTTTATGCTCCCTTTCAAGGTGGCTGCCTCCAGTAACAATCAATGGAGACATAACTCTCTCGCCTCAGTGTGGGACAGTGTCAAAGTGTGTCTCATCCTCAGAGCTCCCCACAGGGCTGACAGCCATGCCACTGGGCCTGCCCAGTCCTGCTGCCTTGACTTCCTTTACACCTGTTGGCCCCAAGGCTCCCTCCTGATCGACATCCTGCACACAATCTTGGCCTCAGAGTCTACTCCCCCTTATTTTGAGGTATAATTTACAAGGGTCCTGTTCTAAGACAGTGATGATATACTATCCTTTTCATATCTTGCTAGTTCCAGTTAGCCGATAAATTATTGAAGGTTTTTCCTGACTTTTTAATGATCGCCATTCTAACTGGTGTGAGATGGTATCTCATTGTGGTTTCGATTTGCATTTCTCTGATGGCCAGTGATGATGAGCATTTTTTTCATGTGTCTGTTGGCTGCATGAATGTCTTCTTTTGAAAAGTGTCTGTTCATATCCTTCACCCACTTTTTGATGGGGTTGTTTGTTTTTTCTTGCAAATTTGTTTGAGTTCTTTGTAGATTCTGGATATTAGCCCTTTGTCAGATGAGTAGATTACAAAAATTTTCTCCCATTTTGTAGGTTGCCAGTTCACTCTGATGGTAGTTTCTTTTGCTGTGCAGAAGCTCTTTAGTTTAATTAGATCCCATTTGTCAATTTTGGCTTTTGTTGCCATTGCTTTTGGTGTTTTAGTCATGAAGTCCTTGCCCATGCCTATGTCCTGAATGGTATTGCCTAGGTTTTCTTCTAGAGTTTTTATGGTTTTAGGTCTAACATTTAAGTCTTTAATCCATCTTGAATTAATTTTTGTATAAGGTGTAAGGAAGGGATCCAGTTTCAGTTTTCTACATATGGCTAGCCAGTTTTCCCAGCACCATTTATTAAATAGGGACTCCTTTCCCCATTTCTTGTTTTTGTCAGGTTTGTCAAAGATCAGATGGATGTAGATGTGTGGTATTATTTCTGAGGGCTCTGTTCTGTTCCATTGGTCTATATCTCTGTTTTGGTACCAGTACCATGCTGTTCTGGTTACTATAGCCTTGTAGTGTAGTTTGAAGTCAGGTAGTGTGATGCGCTCAGCTTTGTTCTTTTGGCTTAGGATTGTCTTGGCAATGCAGGCCCTTTTCCATCAATCTTCACAAGAGAGACTAGTCTGGAATTTCTCTTTCTTATAAAACATGTTATTTGAAAGCCACCAGCAGTGTTTCTGAACCAATAACTGATTAACTTTTTTAAAGAGCTTGATCCTGATCATATTCAGTGAAACCTTTGAATACTTTAAGCAGTGTTTACTCCACTTCATAAATGAAATCAGTGATCTGTCGTCAGAATTAAGGCCATCTTGAAGGAAAGAACAGGGAGATAGTGAGGTGGGTGGGGATAACAAACAACTACCAGCATCCCCCAGAACAGCTGCTCTATTTACCCCACAGAGATTTTCTTTCTTTCCTTCTTTTTCCTTTTTGTGGAGAATGGGATCTCACTGTATTGCCCAGGCAGGTATCAAAGTCCTGGGCTCAAGCTATCCTCCTGCCTCTCCAGCAGCGGTTTTCTTTCATGACAGAGGCTGCTGGTTTGTGTTCCAGGGGCTTGATGCAGCAAGGGAGATGTCACTGCACGGTCCGCAGTGTGGGCTCTGCTAATGGTGTCTTCTCATGCGTACATCCTTGGGAGAGCTCTCAATAATCAGCAGCTGTCTCTTTTCTGTTGTTGGGGTTTTATATCTTTTGCTTCCTTCTACTGTACCTTCTTGCCATATATTTTTTGACTCTGACACCTTTAGGCCTGCTCCAGAGTCTATACTTGGTATTTGCTTTAGACAATTATTACATTATTCTAAATAAATGAACCACCTTATTTTATCACCTTTTTGAGGTATAATTTACAATAACATGTACCCCTTTTAAAGGTACAGTTTGAAGAGTTTTGGCAAATATAGATAGCCCTGGAACCACCACCACAATCAGAATAGAGGACACTTTCATCACTTCACCAAGTCCCTTCATGTCCCTTTGCAGCCAGGCTCCCTGAGCCTGGTTGGTCCCTGAGCAAGCACCGAACTGCTTTTTCTCTTGACAGCTTTGATTTGCCTTTTCTAGAATTCACATAATGAAATCATATAGTATATTCTCTTTAATATCTGGCTTCCTTCACTTAGCAAAATGTATTTAAGATTCATCTATATTGGTGTGTATATAATAATTCATTCCTTTTATTGTTGAGTAGTACCTTCTAGTGTATAGATATGTCACAATTCATTTATCCAACGAAATCTTAGATTACTTTAATCAATATTTATTAACTTTATCAATAGAATCAATTATTTTTAAGTTTGAGTGCCTACTGTGTGTCAAGCACTGGTATTTGAAATAGATTGTGAACAGAATCATAATTTGTACCCTCAAGGAGCTTACAGTGACAGCATACGGAAAATAATAAATAGTAAATAAATTATGCAGTATGTGTATTAGTTTCCTAGGACTACTGTAACAAATTACCATAAACTGCATAGCTTAAAACAACAGAAATTTACTCTCTCGCAGGACTTCTGGAGGCCAGAAGTCCTAAATGCAGGTGCTGGTGGAGCTGGTTCCTTCTGGAGGCTCTGAGGGAGATGCAGTGCATGCCTCTCGTATCTTCTGGTGGCTGCTGGCCGTTCTCGCCATTCCTTGGCTTATAGACACATCACTTCAGTCTCTGCCTCTGTCGTCAGATCACCTTCCCTTTTATCTTCTCCTCTTCTCTTCAAGACACTTGTCATTGGATTTAGTGCCCATCCTAATCCAGGATAATCTCATCTCAAGGCCCCAACTTAATGACATCTGCAAAGACCCTTTTTCCAAATGAAGTCACGCTCATAGGTTCTGGGTAGATGTATCTTTTGGGGGGCTACCTTTCAAACCCCTATAATATGTTACAAGAAGAAAGTGCTATGGTAATAATAATAATAGAGTAGAACAAGGAGGATCAAGAGTGCTGGAGGGATGCTGGATGCAGCTTCAGCAGGGTGGTCAGGATAGACCTCATTGAGGAGACACTGAGCAAAGGATATGAGGAGCCATTGCAGGGTTATAAGCCTTGGAATGATAAAACCTGATGCTATTTAAAAAGGACGACTCTGTGGTTGCATTAAGAATAGACTGTTGGCCGGGTACAGTGGTGCATGCCTGTAATCTTAGCACTTTGGGAGGCCCAGGTGAGCAGATCACTTGAGTCCAGTTTGAGACCAGCCTAGGCAACATGGCAAAACCTCATCTCTACAAAAAATTTAAAAATTAGGTAGGTGGTACATGCTTGTAGTCCCAGCTACTCAGGAGGCTGAGGTGGGAGGATCTCGCTTGAGCCAGGGAGGTGGGAGGCTGCAGTGAGCCATGATCATGCCACTGCACTCCAGCCTGCGTGACAAATTGAGACCTTGTCAAAAAAAAAAAAAAAGAATAGACTGTCCTTGGGCTAGATTGTGAGCAGGGGTGAAGAGGTGACTGAATATTAGTAGTCAGCTGGGTGTGGTGGCTCACACCTGTAATCCCAGCACTTTGGGAGGCCCAGGCAGGCGAATCACAAGGTCAAGAGATTGAGACCATCCTGGCCAACATGGTGAAACCCCGTCTCTACTAAAGATACAAAAATTAGCTGGATGTGGTGGCGCACACCTGTAGTCCCAGCTACTCAGGAGGCTGAGGCAGGAGAATTGCTGGAACCTGGGAGGCAGAGGTTGCAGTGAGCTGAGATCGTGCCACTGCACTCCAGCCTGGCAACAGAGTGAGACTCCGTCTCAAAAAAAAAAAAAAAAAATTAGTAGTCATCCAGGTGAAAGATGGTAGTGGCCTAGACTGAGGTAGGAATATAGAAGTAATAAGGGTAAGCCAGGCATGGTGGCTCATGCCTGTAATCCCAGCACTTTGGGAGGCCAAGGGGGGAGCGGATCACCTGAGATCGGGAGTTCAGGACCAGCCTGACCAACATGGTGAAACCCTGTCTCTACTAAAAATACAAAATTAGCCAGGCATGGTGGCGCATACCTGTAATCCCAGCTACTCGGGAGGCTGAGGCAGGAGAATCGCTTGAACCCGGGAAGCGGAGGTTGCAGTGAGCCAAGAGGGTGCCATTGCACTCCAGCCTGGGCAACAAGAGCAAAGCTCTGTCAAAAAAAAAAAAAAGAAGTGATAAGGGTGGTTGAAGCTGGATTTCTTTTTCAATTTAAGTAAAACTTATGTACGCAAAGTGCACACATCATAAGCATACAGCTCAAAGAATTTGCACAAAGCACTAAGGTACCCAGATGAAGAATCACTCATTATCTGCACCCCTAGAGGCCTCCTGTGCTGGCCCCCAGGCACCATCTCCTTCCAAAGGTAACCACTCTCCTGACTTCCTTTTTGAACTTTATGTACGTGAAATCATACAGCATAGACTCTGTTGTGTCCAGCTTCTTTCAACACTGTGCTTGTGAGTGTCATCCCTATTGTTGCATGTAGCAATTTTTTTTTGTTCTCATTGCTGTATAGTGGCAATATTCCATAATTTATCCATCATACTGTTGCTGGACATTTGGAGTTTTGCTAGTCTGTGGCTAATACAGAGAATGCTAATATAAACGTCTAGTGTGGATCTTTTGGTGTAGGTATGTACATCTAGGAGTGTCATTGCTGGATCACAGCATATATGAATGTTCAATATTAGTAGACACTGCCCCCCAAATTTTCCAGGTGTCCAATTTACACTCCCATCAGCAGTGTCAGAGAGTTAGGTTCTGGATATATTTTGAAGGGAAAACTAATAGACTATCAGCACAGATTGAAAGGAGATGAGAGATAGGACTCAGGATGACTTCAAGGGTTTGGGGCTGAGCAACTGCTAGGCTAGGCTTGGTGTCAACAGAGATAGGGAGCTGGCTTTAGGAAGGGAAGTGGGCAAAGATAAGAAATTCTCTTTCTTTTTTTTTTTTTTTTTTTTTTTTGAGACAGAGTCTTGCTCTGTCGCCCAGGCTGGAGCGCAGTGGCACGATTTTGGCTCACTGCAACCTTCTTCTCCTGGGTTCAAGTGATTATCCTGCCTCAACCTCCCTAGTAGCTGGGATTACAGGTGCCTTCCACCATGCCCAGCTAATTTTTACAGGTGCCCGCCACCATGCCCAGCTAATTTTTGTATTTTTAGTAGCGACGGGGTTTTGCCATGTTGGCCAGGCTGGTCTCAAACTCCTGACCTCAGGTGATCCACCTGCCTCGGCCTCCCAAAGTGCTGGGATTACAGGCATGAGCCACTACGTCTGGCCAGAAATCCTCTTTTAGACAACCATGAAATGCCTCTCAGACACCCAAATGGGGATGTTGGGAGGCACCAGACATACAAGTCTAGACCTCTGAAGTGTGGTCTGGACTAGAGATACAACATTGGGAGTTATCGGTGGAGAGGGCTTTTAAACCATTAAAGAGGTAGGCACACCAAGGAGGTGAGTGTCAGTGAGAAGCCCTAGGTGCTCCAACCCCAAGGAATCAGGGAAGAGGAGACATCAGCAAAAGAGATGGAACAGCAGGGGCCAGTGAGAGGAAGACCAAGAGAGCGTCTCCCTGGATGCTGGCTGGGCAAATCACATCAGCAGGAAAGAATCATTACCTGGGTGGCATGCAGCTGGCAGGTCCAGGAAAGGGACAGCTGACTGTTGGATTTAGCTATGTGGGGGGTCACTGGTGTCCTTGACAAGATAGTTTTGTTGGACTGCTGAGGGGCCTAGCTGAGGTGACTGTGAGAAGTAACAAGAGAAACTTGGAGACAAAGTAAGCATCGACATCTCTTGATTGGCTGGGCTATAAAACAGTAAAGCGAAAAAAAAAAGGGGGGGCATAAGGTAGGTAGAAAGGAAAGTAGAATCAAGAGAAGGGATGTTTTTCTTAAAATATGGTGGTCAAGACAGGCCTTACTGAAGTAGAAGCATGGTGTTTGTCTATTTTCTGCCTCGCCACCAGAATGTATCCTCCGAGGGGGCTGAGATCTGTGGTTGTCTTGTTTATTGCTGCATCCCCCATATCCAGAACAGGGTCTGGCACATAGACTCGATACCTCTCTTAAATAAATGAGCAAATCGGGCTTGATAAACAAGAAACACATATAACATGCCAAATAGTGCCCAAGGGATACAATGAAGAAGGAAAGAGAGAAACAATGTTGGGGTGGTAGTTGACATTTTACATAGGGCTGTCACTAAGGCTTCAATGACAGGGAGACTTTGGAGCAATGACAGATACATATAGTGGTGGAGGCCTAAACCAAAGCATGAGGCCAGAAAAAAAACTCATTCACAGATGATATAATTGTGTATGCAGAAAACACACAACAATCTGAATTATCCAAATAGAGAATTTAACACTGCTAGAGATAGAGTCATTCCATATGATTAAAATTTTAACCCTCCAAGAAGATATAACAATTTAAAGTTTGTCCTTAATGGCTTCAGATTCTATAAAGTAAAAATTGACACAATTAAAAGAAAATAGAAAAATTCACAATCATAATGGAAGATTTTAACACTTCTCTCAGTGATTGATGGAATGCACAGACACAAAATCATCATAAGGATATAGAAGATAGGAACAATACAATAGCAGATTTGGCCTAATAAATAAAACAAACTGCAGCATCCAATTTTTTTTCTCTTTGTGCAAATACAGAATATTTATGAAAACTGGCCACACACTATACCAAGTCTCAACCACCTGGGTGATGGCTACAAGAGCACTTGTCTTATAATTATTATTTATACATGTATTTATTTTCCATAGTATGCTGTATGCCATATATGCTGTATTATAACACAAAAAGTACGGCATAGGCCAGGCGCGGTGGCTCACACCTGTAATCCAAGCACTTTGGGAGACTGAGGCAGATGGAACACCTGGGGTCAGGAGTTCGAGACCAGCCTTGCCAACATGGTGAAGCCCTGTCTCTACTAAAAAATACAAAAAATTAGCCAGTCGTGGTGGCATGTGCTTGTAATCCCAGCTCCTCAGGAGACTGAGGCAGGAAAATTGCTTGAACCCAGGAGGTGGAGGTTGCAGTGAGCTGAGATCACACCAGTGCACTCCAGCCTGGGTGACAGAGTGAGACTCCATCTGCCCCGTCCCCACCCCCCAAAAAAAAAGTACAGCATAAATGAAACAAAACATGGCAGACAATGATAACACGTCATTCTGGGTAGGCTGTATATTGGGAAATGGAAACAAAGTCAGAAGGGAAGTTTTGGGAGCACTTAATTCCCTATAATACAGTAGGGAATCGATTTCACAAAACCATTCCCAGGCAGTTGAGCTATTTTCAGACAATATAGCACCTTGGCAAGCAGGGAAAAGATTTTGGGCTCCTCAAGTTCATGAGAAGAAATTGTTGTTGCATCTGTGATAAATTATCTTTAAGACCTTTTCCTGTTGACTCTGAATGTATTTTAGAAGAGAAATTTTAACAGTGGGAAAGAGCAGGCAGAGGTGGACCTTAAACAAGGGACATTGGGGATATGGAAACTGGAGGGGAGCCAGTGGGGAGAAGATCTAGAAATGTTAATAATGAGTGGCACGGCAGTGTTGGTAGGGATCTTCCTCTTCTGGAGAAGGGTATCCCACATCAGCCACCATGGAAGCTTCTAGAAGCCAAACATTCAAGAGACTCCTCTGCCAAGCTCAGTTTTTCAGGGAGTCTCGTGCATCTGTATTTTAAAGCTCCATAGATAGGATCCTGATGTGCAGCCAGGGTTAAAAACCCTGTGTGCTCCTGAGACATTAACCTGCCTGCAAATCCCTTGGGGGGGTCTTTTTAAAAATAGGTTCTGATTCTAGAGGTCTGGGAGGGGCCTGAGAGTCTGCATTTCCCACAGGCGCCCTGGCGATGCCGACGCTGCCCATCGCTAGGCCACATTTGGAGTATGGAGCAGGGAAAGAAATCAAATATAATTTGAACCACCGAGCTTGTGAAATAAAGCATGTGTGTTTTCTGGCAGAGTAAGATTCACAGGGCTTCTCCTGTTATGAAATGAAAAGAGCAAGTACAAAACAGTACAGCAGGACACAGTGAAATTCCTTAGGGGGTCACTAATTGAGACAGCATGGCCCCAGGTGTACCCTGACCCTTGAAAATATTTTCACAGTGCTCCATCTGTTTTTCTCCACCAGATTATGCCTTCTAGTTGGTATTGATTGCTTGTTCCCAGCAAAAATATTTGAGGTGAAGGAATAAATTCAGCCAAGACCAACAAAAAGGAAGGAAGGATTCCACACTGCTCTCTGAGTCCCTTGTTTTCACAGCACGTGGCTGAATCTTCCTTAATGCAAGGGATCAGCTGAGTGATCGTGGTGAGAAGCCACAATGTTTTCTAAACAAGCTCATTTCTGCATCTGTTCTCTCTGACCTGAAAAATGCCTCTTTGTTCCATTCCTCTTGTTCCTTTAGAAAGGACGCCCACTTTGTGTTGTTTACTCAAATTAGTTACTTCAGACAACAATAGGCATCAATTCACAGAAAATCCACTCAGGTTACTCAGTTGACACAGTTGTCCTTTGGATGTAGGCATACAGGCAAAAGGATATAGAATATTAAAATCATTGTGTAACCTTACTCAGAGGCTCAGGAAGCCCTGAGTTTTTACCAGTATATACTGGTGAAGTACAAGTTCAAACATTTATTTTAGTATTTCCCTATATTATTTTAAGTTAGGCTTTCTTTGCTTTCAAGTCTTAGATGTCTTTTCATTTTCCTTTATTTTTAAGGCTGCCATTCAAGTCATCTGTGTCCCATTAGTTGTTATCATATCTCACAGAAGTGTAGCCAGAAACAGAGCCACAGCAACACAGAGCTGTAGCCTGCAGCTGCCAACCCAGTGCCAGTTCTGTGCAGCCATGTTGCCTTCAGCTCTGGCCAGCAGTTCCTCCGATCCTGGAGGCTCTCTGCGTCTTGTTATATTTGCCAAATATTCTAAATTGCTTGGAATAGCTCAGTGAAGAAGGTCAGCACTACGCCCCATTTGGTGAATGTAAACTCAGGAAGGTTGTACACTTTTTATTTTATTATTTATTTGTTTGTTTATTTGATGGGGTCTTACTGTGTCACCCAGGCTGGAGTGCAGTGGCGCATTCATAGCTCATTACAGCCTCCAACTCCTGGGCTCAAGTGATCCTCCCACCTCAACCTCCCAAGTAGCTAGGACTACAGGTGTGTACCACCACGCCTAGCTAATTTTTTAAAAATTAATTTTCTGCAAAGACAGGGTCTCACTGTGTTGCCCAGGCTGGTCTCAAATTCCTGGCCTCAAGCGATCTTCCCACCTCGGCCTCCCAAAGTGCTGGATTATAGGCGTGAGTCACTGCACCTAGCCTATACACTTTTTAAATTCAAAATTCCATCAATAATAAATACAGTTAATTGCCTAAGTGCCTATATGATGTTATAATGTGTGTGTGTGTGTGTGTATGTGCGTGCATGCATGTGCCATATAAAGACTAAATTAACACATTCTCTGCAAGTTACAGGGGGAAAAGGCCATATTAAATGACCCCACAATGAAATAATCAGTCAAATCCTGAATGTAAGACATTATACAATTCAAACAGTTAGCCTGGTCTCTTTAGAAAGTCAATGTCATGAAAATAAAAAGGTGGGAAAACTGTCCTAAAAGCAACTGTATTCATAACAACCAAATGCAGTGTATGAATTCTTTCTATCCTGGAAAGCTATAAAAGAAATCTGGGGACAACTTGAA
This sequence comes from Homo sapiens, assembly GCF_000001405.40. Classification (NCBI taxonomy): domain Eukaryota; kingdom Metazoa; phylum Chordata; class Mammalia; order Primates; family Hominidae; genus Homo; species Homo sapiens. The sequence goes on along the minus strand of NC_000003.12, from coordinate 45,806,437 downwards.
ATGTTTGCTTTGCATACTTTCACAAAGTCTAAAGTTGTTCACCTCCTTAGAACATTTCCGCTCTTACCACTCATCTGTCATATGCTATTTTACCTGTCCAAGATTTAAGTTCTACCTTTTAATTTTTTTCAAAATGCCACAAATTAAACACTCCTCTGCGGTGAGACCTTTGATGTGGGTTAAGGGCCTCACCCTGATGTTCTGGAGCATGATCATGAGGCATCTTGATGGGCATTACATTTTTTTATCCTACGTAGGATTCACTGGGCTTCATGAATCTGTGGTGGGAAATGTTGAGCTGTTGTACTTTAAGTGTTTCTCTGTTCCAGTCTCTCTTCTCCTTCCAGAATTCTAGGTAAGCATATATTAGACTTCATTGTCCTACATAGCTTATTTATATATCTTAAATTTTTTCTTGGTTTTTGTTTCTTATCTCTCTGTGCAATGTGCCACATAATTTTTTCTGACATATCTTTGCGTTCATCAAATCTCTCCTTAGCTGTGTCTCATCCACTTTTAAATCCATCCACTTAATTTTTAATTTCTATTATTGCTATTTGTAGAAGTTCCATTTTAGATTATTCTAATAATCTGTATTAATCAATTTTCACTCCCTGTTCTTTTTATTTTCTGCTTTATCTATCAAAAATGGAGAAATGAGTACAGATATCTCCATCATGATGGTAGATATGTCAATTTATCCATGTAATCCATGAAGAAATCAATTTGTTGTTTTTTGAAGCTATTTTATGAACTGTAATTTTTTTAAATGTTATAGCTTTCTAGTGATAGATGTCCTTTCTATCACTAATGATATTTTTTTGGCTTTCTTTTGGATAGCATTTTCCTAATATATTCTTTTCATCCTAATGTATTCTTTTCCTAATATATTCATGTAAATGTTGCTGTGAGCTTATGTTTGGTATATCTCTTGTCAATAGCATGTAACTGTATGTGTGAATTTTTTATTCCAGTCATTACAGTCTCTGTCTTTCATATGGCCCATTGAATCCATTTACATTTATTGTAATTACTGATACATTTGAACTGATATTGCTCCTGTCTTACTTTGTGCTTTATATTTGTCCTGAATTTTTAATAACTCATTTCTCCTTTTTTTTGCTTTCATCAAACTATGCAGGAATATATTGCAGTTAGAATTCTCTGACCGTATTGTATGAATACATACATATAAATGAATTGAAACACTTTTGGAATTATCTATCAAAGCTTAAAATACATACACACTATGTTTCAGCCTTTCTACACATAGACATGCTTGCTCATGTGTACCAGAACACATGTACCAGAATGTTCCAAGCAGCATTTTTCATAATATCCAAAAGCTAAATAATCCAAATATCTATCAATAGTAAAGTGGTTAAATAATTTGTAGTTACATAAGAAATACAATAGACTGGCCAAGTAAAAACTATAGCTGCAATATCAACTTAGATGAAACAACAACAAAGAAAACATAATGTAAGGCAAAAGAAGTCAGACATCAAAGAATAGCCACTCTATTTTTTCACAATATGAAGTTCAAACACAGACAAAAGTAAGTATAGCGTTTAGGGATTCATGCTTAAGTGGTAAGACCACACAAAAAAGCCAAGAAAGGACTGTCGGCATAGTGGATACTTTTTCAGGGAGAAAGCTGGCATCTGAAAGACACAAGGAGATGATAATTTGTTGAGGTATAGTTTTTTTATGTGTAATTTTCTCTATGTGTATTTCATTATGAAAAGTAAAAAAGAAAAAAATTGAATATAGTTAATATCTTTTTGAGTACTCATTAACTTCATTTTCCAAATTTCTCTATTCTCTAACAATATTAATATCCTTAAGTCATCTAGTCTTTATTTAGAAATTACTGTATACCTATTATCAGCCTGGGTGTGTGAAGACACAGAGGAAGTTGAAGGCACACATAGTCCTGGCATGGGAAGGGGCTTAGCCAGGAAGAAGGGTCCTCCCTTAACCCCTCCATTATAACAGAAGGAAAAAAGGATGGGTCATGTTTCTGGGTATATTTGACAGAATGGATTTGTTATAACTTAGGTCTGAGTGCCACACTACTACCTTGTAAGAGGTAAAGGAATGAATGGTGTGATGAGGAACCAAGGTAAGGAATGTGGACCACACAGTTGTCTAAAGATTGATGGTAAGCAGATCTAGAAGTTTTTAAAGATGCTTCTAGTGGAACCTGAGAATGTCTTTATGCGAACAGCAAGAGAGAGAGAGGAAGAAGGGAAGGGAAAGGAAAGGAAAAGAAAAGCCATCAGCAATGCTAGGGAGAGAGGAATGACTGACGGGAGGGATGCTGAAGGCCCAGGAGGGAGTGGGAGCCCACACTCAAGGTGACTGGACAGCAGGGAGAATCTCAGGTAGAGGCCCAGCCTAGGGGTAGTTCCCTTAGCCATCTGGGGGATTCCCAAGACCTTTATTATGTCATCAGCGGGATGAGGAGTATGGAAAGAAAAGTTTGAGGCATATGGAGAAGATCGGGAACCCTGCCCCAGGGCCACAAGAACGAACCACAGCCAGACGTGGATCACAAAGAAGTGAGCAACAGCAAGGCCCTGCCGAGGCCTCACAATCTATGCTTGCGGAAGATACAGTCATAGCTTTGTGAGACTTTCCAGAAGTCCCTAGCAGCAGTCTGGGGAGCCCAGAAATCCTCAAGTTTGGGTGGCACAGGGCTGAGAAACAGCAAAAGGAAGAGAGGGCAAAGATGAGTGAGAGGGAGATATGTGGACTTGACCAACCATGAAGGCCAGGCCAGAGAGGGAGGCACTGGGAAAACAGGGAGGGCCAGAGACAGGGGACCAGTGGGGCAAAGAGCACATTCTGGGGCCCAGGAGACTGAAAGGCAGCAGGAGAGGTAGGGACTGGGGTCCAAAAGATGGTATTAGAGTTTCCCATCTTGCAGCTGAAGTAGCTTGTAGGGATGGAGCCACTTTCAGCACAGCTGGCCTCCTGCCAGGAGATGATGCCCTGGTCAGCATCTTGAGAGGCAGAGGAGAGGAGAGAAGGAAGGTCCCATCTTTCCTTCTCTGAGAACAAAGGGACAGTGTGAGGGACATTACTTTATCCCAAGCAGCTGCCCACAGTCCAGGCCCAGAATGCAAGAGACTGTGGCAAGCATTATCACCAAATTCTTCTCCCAGCTTCCACAAGTCAGGACTGTCCAATGGAACTTTCTGCAGTGATGGAAATGTTCTATGTAAGTGCTGTCCCGACAGTAGCCACTAACCACATGTGGCTATTGTGCTCTTGAAATGTGACTGAGGAACTGAATTTTTAATTGTACTTCATTTTAATTGAAGTTAAGTAAAGATATGTGGCTAGTGGCTACCATATCGGACAGCAAACTCCAGGGCTTCTCTAAAACAAATGTATGGGCTCAGCAGTGGGTTTCTGATAGTTTTGGACCTTAACTTTTTGTCAAATAAAATTCCACACAGAAACACAATACAGGATATCAAGATATGGTGGTGGGGCTACTCTGGTTGGATTCCCACCAACCTGTCCAAGCCCTGGGCACAGTCCTACAGGCACATTCATGAAATTCTAGGGCTCTGTGGCACAGTTCGTGGGCAAGGTCTGTGGTGCCCAATATGGGACATCTGCCGCTGGGAGTACGTAAGGTGTTTTGAGGCAGCACCAGACATAGACATTTAAACTTTTTAAATTTTCTTCAATTTATCTTAAATGAATTTTAAAAACACTAGCTTTACGTGTATGGTAGTGATGTAAAATTTTGTTTTTAAATGTATTGAAGTGAAAAGTGAATTAATTTAAAGAAAAATGATAAATAAATAACAGTCCACATGGTTCACAAACATGATAAATATGGCTATTGGCAAAAATGGCAAACATGGTTGGAGAACGGGAGTATCGATGGGTCTGATTTGGAATGAGGGCCTTGGACCAACAGCACCACCATTCCTTGGGGGCTTGTGGGAAATGCAGAATCGCAGGTGCCGTCCCGGACCTACTGAGCCAGCATCTGCATTGGACCAAGACCCCCAGGGGATTCGCTGATGTTTGAGGAGCATTGCTCCAAGGAGCTTGGCAGCTCTGAGACACCGGGGCTCTGAGGTCAGAAGCTCCACTTGCAGCCAAGAGAGTCCCAGGGTTCAGGGAAAAGTTGGGGCATTCCCACCTCCTTGGCACCACATACACATACATACACGCACACATGTGTGCACGTGCACACACAGGTTCTCCTTCACCACCTGAGCTAGGCAAGTCCCCACAGCAGCCCCAGCATTTCCTTTGCAGAATCTCCTCCTGCTGGCTTCTACACTCCTATTTGTACTGTGTGAGTCTTTGTGCTCCCTGAGGGATAGCGAGCAAGTGCTTTGGGCAGCAGGGAGAACAGTCATGTCAAGAACTTGAATGTGCTGAAGAAATGTTCTAAAATGCAGACATCTGACTGTTGCCGAAGCTGTGAACAACAGAAATGAACTTGTACTTAAATGCTTCGAATCTGCAGCAGGTTTTTCCTTTACCAGCTGACTTTTATTGAGATTCAACCATGTACCTGGCACTAGGGAGAAAAGGATGAGTAAGGCATGATGCGAGCCATAGTCCAGAGGGGACACATACGATGCACTCTTCATGACAGCACAGCACTGGCAGGCATTACAAGTCAGCTATGGGCCAGGCGTGGTGGCTCGCACCTGTAATCCCAGCACTTTGGGAGGCCAAGGCGGGTGGATCACGAGGTCAGGAGTTTGAGACCAGCCTGGCCAACACAATGAAACCCTGTGTTTACTAAAAATACAAAAATTAGCCAGGTGTGGTGGCACGCACCTGTAATCCCAGCTACTCAGGAGGCTGAGGCAGGAGAATTGCTTGAAACCAGAAGGCAGAGGTTGCAGTGAGCCATTGCACTCCAGGTTGGGCAACAAGAGCAAAACTCCGTCTCAAAAAGAAAAGTCAGGTATGTACCCAGGGCCCGGGGGCAGGGAAGAGCAAGCAATATATTCCAGCTGCAGATGGGGTTCTGGGGCTTCTTAAAAAGGGTAAAAGGCCAAGCATAGTGGCTCATGCCTGTAATCCCAGCACTTTAAGAGGCTGAGGCTGGAGCATTGCTTGAGCCCAGGAGTTCAAGACCAGCATGGACAACATAGTGAGACCTCATCTCTAAAAAAATTAATGTGTTAAAATTTAAATTTTAAAAAGAGGTAATAAATCATCTGGGTCAAGAGAAAGGACAGGATTTTTCTGGGTTGAGAAAGCAGAGGTGCTCTTGGCTGAGAGACATCCCAGAAGTATAAAAATGCACATTCCGGAAAGTGAAAAGTTTAGCTTCTCCTGGAGCCTAGGTGTGCAAGAGTTAAATTCCTCAGGGCCCAATTTTAAAAATCCTCAAAACTTTACAGACCAGGCTAAGGAGTTTGGACTTTATCTTGTGGTGACTGGGAGCCACTGAGGGTGGTTAAGTAACAATGGCATCACTAGGATGAGCAAATTATTGAAAGTGGCATGAACTTCATGGTCGGCAGGGTAATCAGGAACCCTGGCACGGGCCCAGGAGCCCACACCCATACAACTGAGTCAGGGCCCTCCCCAGTGTCTCCACCCCTTCCGGAAATCAGATAACTAAGGCATGCTAGCCTTCTATCCTGCAGGTAAGTCTGTCCTGAGTGACATGGGGCACAGTGAGACCGGTCCACAGGCAGTGTCTTGCATACTAGCAGTGGAGGCCCCAAGGAGCACTCAGAGTGGGGCTCAGCTAAGCTGAAAACCCCATTGCCATGGGGCACCAGACACCACTGAGCTGAACTCACTCCCCTTGTCCCTGCCATGCAGAAGTGATTTCCCTAGCCCCAATCCCCCTGCTGAATGCCAAAGCCAGCTGCCACACACTCTTGAGAGCCAACTGGTAAATTTTCTAGAATTCTGTGGGCTGGTTGTTAAACATGGCCACTAAGAATTAAACTACATAAGCTAGCAATTGAATAAGTTATTTAAAACAGAGGTAATAAATACACAAAACTTGGCACTTCCTAATTATTGACTGTACTATTATCTATGCCTGTTGGATCTGGATAGTGGAGACTCAGTACAATGGTGTGCTACTGCATGTCTCCACGTTTAGTGACATCACTTTGGTAGCTTAGAATCAGTCATAGTAAGGCCAGGTGAGGTGGCTCATGCCTGTAATCCCAGCACTTTGGGAGGCCAAGGCGGGTGGATCACGTGAGGTCAGGAGTTCAAGACCAGGCTGGCCAACATGGTGAAACCCCATCTCTACCAAAAATACAAAAATTAGCCGGGCGTGGTGGTGGGCACCTGTAATCTCAGCTACTCAGGAGGCCGAGGCAGGAGAATTGCTTGAACACGGGAGGCGGAGGTTGCAGTGAGCCAAGATTGTGACACTGCACTCCAGCCTGGGCATTGCAGCAAAACACTGTCAAAAAAAAAAAAAAAAAAAAAAAAAGTCATAGTAAAAGTGTTTACACCACAGAAATTGGCAAATGTGACAAATCAGAGCTTTTTCTGCAGAGAGCCAGTGGTTACATACCTGCCAGCCTACCACTCCTCTCCACCCTCTGTCTTGCTGGCTCTCTGCGGAAGCCCCCCAACCCTTCCAGGCCTGTCCTCTCCACTCTATGAGTCCCAGCAGCACAACTGGCCTTGTCAGATGAGAGCTGTCACATAGGCTTCAGAAAGTCATGGGGACCCTACCAGGAGCCCTGATTATCTGCCCCATTGCATTTACTTACTGCTCTTTGGGGTTATCTGGGTGATTCTTCGTGCTGCCCAAAGCTACCACACAGGGTCTCACATACTGGATGGGCTCCCAGGGAGTATAGCAGTATGAATGGAAGGAGGTGCTGGCCTGATCTCAGAGGTAGGGAATTAAAGAGAGGCCTTGCCTCCATCAAACCAACAAGGTCCCAGCAGCCTCATGGTCCAGGTGAGGCATCTCTCCAAAGTGCCCAGTTCCTGAAGGTCACTGCATAGCCAGGTACCCTCTAGGAATAACTCATATATGAGAACAAGAACATGCAAGCAGATAGCTGGAGGCAGCAACAAGCCTTCTGCCTAAACAATGCAAAACCACTTTAAAAAGGCAGCCCCGTCGAATTGGAGCCCAGGGAACCAGCACAAGAAAATGCTGGCACTCCGTCTGCTGCCATTGCTGTGAGGAGTCCTTTGTAGGGGGAGGGCGGGTAGCCCTATCTATGGATGGCTGAGACTCATTTTGCCTGAGTCTTATATATTCTCAGGAATATCTTCACAGCCTTGGAGTTGATAAAGGAGTGCTTTCTTAAACAGGACATAAGAAAAACCACCAAAGGAGGACACTAAAGGAAAAGATTGGGAAATTGGACTTTGTTAAAGTTAAAAATATCTCTTCATTAGAAGACACCACTGACAGAATAAAAGGCAACACAGACTGAGAAAAGCAATTTGTAATACACTAAACTGGCATAGGACCCAAATCCAGAATACATAAAGAACTACAAATCGGTAGGAAAAAATCAGACAACCCAATTAAAAACTGACAAAAAATTTGAACAGGCACTTCATGAAAAAAGATACCTAGATGGCCCAATTAGCCTATGGAATGGTATGCAGCCTTACTGGTCATGAGGGAAGTTAAAATAAGGCACAATGGGCCAGGCGTGGTGGCTCACGCCTGTAATCCCAGTACTTTGGGAGGCTGAGGCGGGCAGATCACAAGGTCAGGAGATTGAGACCATCCTGGCTAACACGGTGAAACCCCGTCTCTAATAAAAATACAAAAACAAAATTAGCTGGGCATAGTGATGGGTGCCTGTAGTCCCAGCTACTCGGGAGGCTGAGGCAGGAGAATGGCGCGAACCCCAGAGGTGGCACTTGCAGTGAGCCGAGATCGCGCCACTGTGCTCCAGCCTGGGCGACACAGTGAGACGCCGTCTCAAAAAAAAAAAAAAAGGCACAATGAACTATCACTATACACCTACAAGACTGGGCAGACCTTTAGAAATAGAATGACAAGTGTTAGGATGCAAAGCAAAAGCAACTGAAACCCAAAGGGAGTGTCAGCTTGTACTACCACACTCTGGAAAACAGTCTGACAATATCTGCTAAAGCCAAACACACCTATCCTAAGGCCAAGAAGTTCCCAGCAGTGAGTGCATTCATCTACGGAAGAACGTGCACTAGAATGTGCATTGCAGCCCTATTCATGACAGCCCCAAACTGGAGACAACACAGACATCTGTCAGTAGTAGACTGGAGCATACTCACACCACCGACAAGTATACTGCAGTGAGAGAGAATGACCCACAGCTACACAACACACTAGAACATGAATGAACCCCACAAACAACGGAAAGCAAATGAAGCCAGGCACAGAAAAAGTACATCCCATTTAATTCCATTTTCATCAAGGTCAAAACTAACCCATGGGGTTAGACACCAGGATGGTAGGTTCCTTTGGGGAGGAGGCAATGGGTAGGAAAAAACATTTATCTAGAATCTGAAGTTTAAAAAAATTAAAGTAGTTTCTCCTGCTGTGCTGCCTTTTTTTTCTGCTTTGCTTTTTCGAGGTAGGAAGTTCCAGGACAGGTAATATGTCTGAGGAAGCCTCCACCTCCCTCACCCTACTCACCCTTCTCCTCTGGGACCAGACAGGCAGGAACTCCAGGGAAAGCCCAACAAGGAGCTGTCCTAGAGCACTGATTTCATTTTGGCTTCAAGTAAGATTTTCACTAGCAACTCTGCTTTTCATCTCTTTTAAATTTTATTATTATTATTTAGCATTTTCTTATCTGTTACAATGTATTAGGCACTGTTCAAAGCGTGGCATTAGTATTAATATGTTACCCATTCATTCATTCAGCCTGCTGGAGACTTGGTAATGGCCTCTTTATTGAGAACTTACTCTGTGCCAGGTAGTAAGCTAAGTTCCCAATTAATCCTCACATGAGCTCTTCCTTGCCAGGCAGGAGAGAGGGGAAGATATCTGTTAGCATTACAGAGGAGTACACAGAGACTCAGAGAAGTCAAGTGCCTTGTCCAAGGTCACACAGCTAAGTCAGTAGCAGAGTTGGTATACAAACCCAGATTCCACATTACTGCAAAGCACCAAGCTCTGTCTTATCTAGTGACCACCCTCAAGCAAATCACGTTGTAAGACTGGCAGAAATACGAGGTTTCTTAGTTCCCTACCCTGGCCTAATGAATCAAAATTTCTGGCCCCTAGGCTGGCCTGAGCAGTAGAGTCCCCCACAGCAGTTCAAAACCTGATTCCGTCCCCGGACCCAGTAGGCACGCAGGGCCAAGCTGTTGGGTGGACGGAGGGGACGGGACTGCCGGGAAGGTCCCTCACTTCTTTCTGGCCCCTGGCAAATGTTATGTTCTCTCCTCTGAGAAGCCCTCCCTAACCATCCCTGGCCACCCCCCGCAACTGCTTACCCCTTTACTTTGCCTTAGGTGTCTTCCTCGCGTCTCTCAGTCTTATACGTGGGCTAGGTTGAACCATATGACATTGTCCTTTCTATAAATTAAAAAATGGTTGAAAATGGGGCATTTCATGCAGTCCAATTCAAGTGTTTCCCTCTACCAGAATGTCAGCTCCAAGACGGAGCTGGGAAGTGGTTCACAGCCGTGTCCCCAGACAACGCCTGGCACACAGTAGGCGCTCGATAAATGACAGGTGAGTGGCCGAGGGAAGGCGCCCACTTCGAGGAGTTCCGCAGCCTGAAGAAAGGCCCCGCCGAGCCGGAGGACCCCAGGGGACTCCGCCCTGTCCTCTGCAATCTCGGGTGCCTTCCCGGCCGCGACGATCGGGCGGGGTGGGGCTCGCCGTCATCCATTTACCAGCCTCGCCTCTCGGACGGGCGCGCCGTTAATGAGATTAGCAATTTAAAAACCAGCTAGCTGCGTCGGCGGCGGAGGCGCGGGGCCACCCCCAAGCCGAGCCGGGGTGGGACGGCGCGCCTGGCGACCGCGCACTGAGACTGCCGTGCCGGACCCCCGAGCCGGAGCCGAGCGCGCCGAGGCCGGGGCCATGGAGAAAGCGCGGCCGCTGTGGGCCAACTCGCTACAGTTCGTGTTCGCCTGCATCTCGTACGCCGTGGGCCTGGGCAACGTGTGGCGATTCCCGTACCTGTGCCAGATGTACGGCGGAGGTGAGTGCCCACCGCGCCCCGGCCCCAGCCCAACTCTGTGCGCGTCCCCGCCGTGTGTGCGAGCCGGGGTTAGACCCAAGTTACAGAACGGCACACTGAGGCCGGGAAAGCGAGCGTGATTTGTCCGAAGTTACAGACCCGGGAGTGTTCCCAGGACACCTCGTTCCGGAGCCGGAGCTCTCTCCCAAGCCGCCCTCCCAAGCCCTCGGGAACCCCTCGCCCCATCCCGGGGGCGGCCAAGCCCCCAACCCTCACCCTTGTTGGCCAGGCTGCGGCTCTGAGAGCGCAGGGGACGCGGTCTCCTTCTTCGAGAGAAGTGTCAATGGTCTGACGTCTTAGTGAGTAAACCTTACGTTTAGGTGTAAAAAGTGAGTAGGAAATTGTCTTATTCAACAGAAACTCGTTATACAACTTTCAGATCCGAAACTTAAATCAACGGTTTGAAACTCAGGTTAAGAGAATCTTGAGCCATTTCTTTAAATTTTTTATAAGGAGATTGGTTTGAGTTTGGAACGACAGAAAGCAGGAAATGCAAATCATTCTGTTTTGTTTTGTTTTTCTTAAATAAATGTTTCCTCCGAAGCATCATGCACGCTCCGGGGACAGCCAGCCAGCCACGCGCTCTTACCGCACTCCCCTAGCGTTGCGGAAAGCTGGGAACACCTTCTACACATGTCTATAACCTCGTGAAGCCCAAGTACCTTTTTGGAAGGCAATGTGGCAAGAGGGATTTAAGTCTCAGCATCTAAAACACTTTTTTTCTCGGTTGTCTCGTTTCTAGAATTGTATCTAAAGGAAATTGTCAGAGTTCTGACAGAGGTAGAAGGATGGTCACCATCATTTAATAAGAGCAAAACATTGGCAACTTCCTAAGCCCTCAAATAAAGGGGATTGGTTCAGTAAATTATAGAGCATCCATTCAAGGTTGCTCTTCGCAGCCTTTAAGGCGGCATTTTCAAAAAAAAAATTGTATTTTCTCGTATCCTGTATTAAGTGGAGGGAGGAGAAATCAGATTCAAAGCTATATAAAATGGATTTGACATTTTAAAACAATTACTTAAAAATATGCAGAGAAAAGAATGGGGAAAAGACATCAAATTGTTAACAAAATTTCTGGGTGATTTTTGTTTACCTTGTCGTGTGTGTGTGTTTTTGTGTGTGTATGTGTGTGTTTGTGTATTAGGACTTCTATAATTAGCATGTTTTTTTCACCATAAAAGATCATGGAAGATGTTAGACCAAAGTATTTACGAAAATGAACCCATTTGAGAAGACCAAGAGCTAAACACTGCTCCCTCCTCCCCTTACCCCAAATCAACAAAAGGTTAATTCATAGAGTTTTTAAAACAGTGCATTCTTAATTTCCTGATTCCTTTTTAAAATTTGAAGTGCATAAATACACCATAATGATGTGAAGGGCATATGTTGCCATATGCTCTAACAGCATTACCATGTGCTCTAACAGCTCTATAACTGACTCTTAAAAAGAATTATTTGTCAGAATGAGATTTCCACATCATTCTGTGCTCAGTAGACCTACCCATGATACCTTTATCCTGGGTACATGTTTCCCAGTCATCAGTCCAGGTGAGCCTCACTGTCACATGACTACTTAATTCCTTGTTTATAATACCACCATCACCTGAATAGTCTGCAGAGGGATGCATGTGGGGCTGATAGTTCTGGAGTTGAATATGTATCAAGGGGTTGCTAGGGAAACCTCAAGACCCTCAGGTTCCAAGAAAAAGAAACAAGAAGTAATCCTGTGCCTGGTGCAGAGGATGCTTCGGCTGGATGGGTGGATAGATAGATGAGTGGAAGCCGGACGGAGCATGGATTGGTGGCTGGGTGTATGCATGGATTAGTGGGTGCACAGACAAAAGGAGGGTGTGGGTCTGGTGGATGGCACCCTGTCAGCCACATGTCTACAGAATAAAGACCGAACAGTCCACTTGGCACCGTAGGCACTTGACCACCTAACTTGACCACTTGTCCAATATTTCCACCTCATTTCCTGCCACACAGCTTCAAACCTCCTCCTGCCTTCCAAACACTTCCATGAGCACCTCCTTCTGTGCCTCAACCCTTCACACAAGATATTTCCTCCACCTGAGAGGCTGTTGTTGCTGGGAGAACTCCCACCATTCCCTCCAGGTGGGACCAAATATTGCTTTCTCTCCGTTGTGCTCTCTGACTCTCCTCACTACTTCACAGGCCACATAAGCACTTGGTCAGAAGAACTGCACATTGTTCTTCAGTTTCTCTGTCTCCGCCCGGCCCAACCTCTGTGATGTGATGGAGTCACAGGAGCCATCCAATAAATATTTGTTGAGTGAATGAGCAAGGTATTAGGAAAAGCCACAGAATAAATGACGCTAGAGGATGCTAGAGGCTTTCCCAAGCCTTTCACTGCACAGTAAAGTCACCTTTAAGAAGTGATTTGTGTTGCCCCAAACCCAGGCAGTTTACAACCCATCCCTTACCGGAAGGTAAAAATCAGCCACATTATGAAAGGCTGCAGAGGGGTGTATAACTTCCTTGTAAGCAGAGCTGCAAATACCCCCAGCAAACAAAGAATTTGTTTATAAACCACAGAGCCAGGCTGTGCCAAAATACTTCCCAGAATAAGACGGATTAGGGATCTGTGCCCCTCTCCATGGGACTCTGCCCGTGACTGGAGAGGCTTGTTTCCTTCCTGCTCCCCAGGCCAGGCCCGGCCCGGCATGAGGAATGTTAATTCTGAAGATTACATTCCAGGTACCAATCATCTCTGTACAGCCCTGGCTGCCTGCTCTAGAAAAATAAAAAATAAAAGGCAGCTCAAAGAACTTCACAAAATCTCTTTTTGAAAAAGTCAGCAGGTCTTGGGCAACCATGTCAAAATCTAAGGCAGTAGTTGTTCAGGAAGAAATCGGGGATGCAAGTGTGTGTGCACTAAGGTGTAAAAAGCAAATACTGCACTAACTATTTTACATAAACCTGTGCACGGAAGAAACATGGAGAGATGAGAACAGTTGTGTGACTGGTGGAAATATGGATTTTTTTCTCTTAAATTTTCTCTCTGCAATATTGAGGGGGAAATCAGAGGACACCTGACTATGCAGTGGGACAGTATCACTCTCAGACTGGAATGCTCCACATCCCTGCAAAGCCCTTGCTGTCTGGGACAGGAAGCCAGCTCTTTCAGCTGCCTGTACTGCTTACCCCAAATTGCTTAGAGAATTGCATGTCAAACTGTAGCCTACCTGAGCATCTTCATAAACTGCAGGTTGCTAGACCCCACTTCCAGGGATTCTGATCCAGACGCCTGTGGGGGAGGACAGGATTCTTCATTTCTAGAAAGCTCCCTAGCAAGGCTAAGGCTTGGTCCATGGACCACACTTCAGGGAAGGGTCAGGGTTGCTTCTGTGGCCCCAGGCCCGGCAGTAGGGTCCCAGTAAATGTTTAACAACTGGCTCTTGGTGGAACAGCAAGACCCAATTCCAAGAATTTGCAGATTACCTTGATGTAAATCCTCCCACCATGGCCAGTTTCAGACTGCCAACGTATTGTGCCGGAGTGTGGGGTTGGGGAGAGGTGGGGCCGGTTGGCTCTTGTGAGCCGGCCTGGAGCTGCGGTGGCCACAGCTCTTCAGGCCAGCACCCAGCCTGGGACTGATTCACAGCAGGTCAGTCCATGGATGGATCAGGGAACAGTGCTGCAGCTGTTTACCTGTAAAGTGGGTGAGGGCCCCCAGTAGTTGGGAAATACCATGATCAGGGGCCCCTGCTGCTCACCCAAGTTTTCCAGACTCAATCCTGGTAACATCTGCCCTGTTGGGCTCCTAGCATGTGCCAGGCATCATGTGAGGCATTTTCTGAAGGAATTCAATTTGGTCTTCACAACATGCCCACAGTTGGTCCTGTCACCCCCATTTACAGATAGGAAACAAGTCAGAGAGAACAAGACTTCTGGAGAAATAGCTGGGGCTCAAGTCACTTCTGTGACAAGCCAGGGCTCTCTCCCCAGCACCCTGCACTCATCTGCTACAGGCAGGACAGGACTCCTCAGGTGTCCAGGCCTTTCTAGGACCCCCAAATAAGAATTGCCGTGGCTCAGGGTACTTCTTCCTGTGGTTCTCCTGTGACACTCACCCATGGCTCACCTTGACATTGGAGGAGGGCCTGGCCAGGAGCCTGTGCGATGTCCACCTGCAAGGATCCCTTGTCCCTTCTGTTCTAACCTCCTCTCCACCTCTGCCCTTCCCTGAATATACCTCAAAATGTTTGGCATCTTCCCAGTGTGCTCTTCATCCTCTCCAGGAAACCTCCTCCCTAAATTAAAGGTGACTTCTTCCACAAAGCCCTCCTTTGATCCCCGGGCTAAATCCATCTGATATGAGTTTGGTCCCCACCCAAATCTCATGTCAAATTGTAATCCCAATGTTGGAGGTGGGGTCTGGTGGGAGGTGATTGGATCATGAGGTAAATTTCCCCTTTGGTGCTGTTCTCGTGATAGTGAGTTATCAGTGAGATCTGGTTATTTAAAAGTATGTAGCAGCTTCCTACTCTCTCTCTTCCTCCTGCTCCAGTCATGTAAGACGTGCCTACTTCCCCTTCACCTTCTTCCAAAATTGCAAGTTTCCTGAGGCCTCCCCAGCCATGCTTCCTGTACAGCCTGTGGAACTGTGAGCCAATTAAACTTCTTTCCTTTATAAATTACCCAGTTTGAGGTATTTCTTTACAGCAGTGTGAGAACAGACTGATACACCATCCCTCCTGTGCCTGTTGCATTGTGGGGTCTGACATGTCTCACTCCCACTTGGTAGGGAGGAAAAGTGACCAGTCAGGAACATAGAGTCTGCCTACTGGTGGAGAAGCCTCTATTTGTCTGTGTGTTGGAATCAGCCCATAGCTTTAAAAAATACTGATGCTTCTGTCCTATCCCCAGAAATCCTGATTGGATTGGTCTCAGATGTGGCCTAAACAGGAGTTTTACACTCCCCAGAGGGCTCTACTGTGCAACCCAGGTTGAGAATCACTACCTTACAAACAATATATAATATAAACCTTCTAGGCAATTTAAGTCATTCAGTAAATATTCACTGAGTATCTTCTGCAAGCCAGGGACTACGCTGACGGAAGTTTACAAATATGGTGATTATAGGGTACAGGGGTTGGGGGTGGACCAAGCAGGAAAAGCTTTAACAAAGCACTGTTCAGAGGCTTCGCTGAAATAACTCAAGAAGGACTAACTGCTCAAGAGGATCTAGAAAGCCTTCCAGCAATGGCAACATTTAATAGCAGCTGTGAAAGAGAAGTCAAAGCTCATCATGTAGAATTAGGGGTGAAAATATTCCAGGCAGAAGAAACTGTATGCAAAAGGCACAGAAAAGCACACATTTGAGGGAAATGGCCAGAAACCCCAGGTGGCTGTGAGAAGTGAGGCGGGGACTAGGGCAATGGCAGGAGAGGAAACTGGAGATGAAAAAGGAGTCAGCATGTCCCTAAGGGCCCCAAATAACAGGCTAAGAAGGTGGAGCTTAGCTCTGACAGCAAAGCCAGATTTTAAGCAGGGAAGTGGCACAGTCAGAGCTGTGGTTTACAGAGATTGCCAGCATGGAGGCCAAGGATGCACTGGGTAGCTGGAGAAGGGGTGATGCTGCCCGAGGGGATGAGCAAGGAGAGCAGAGAACAGATGGGAGGGAATTCTAGGAGGTTTAAACCAGTGACAGTCAGGAAGAGTAAAGACGGCTTTAATTTTTCTCACCTGTGCCCTTGTTCTTGGTTTTCAAAAGGTTGACTGGGTTTGACTCCAAATGGGAAACTTTTGGGGGAAGACCAAGATGGAGGCGAGTGAATGAAGAGAAGGAAGGCGCTGGGGTGGAGAGTCTCACAGAATAGAGCAGTGGTTCCCAAAGTGGAACCCCCAGGCCAGCAGCTTCAGCATCCCCTGGTGTGCTCGGTGTTCCTTACATTAAACATTACATTAAACATTGTGTATATGCACACACATACACAAGCACACACATGCCCCAGAAAGAAAAAAAAAAGGTTTACAAAAAATCCCTGCTGTGTTTTTTGTTTGTTTGTTTGTTTTTGTTGTTGTTGTTTTTGGAAAAAAAGATATGTAAGTGGAGGGAGAGAAAGAGTTTGGACACCTGAGTAAGCTTTCCCATGAAAGGCACTGACTCGGGCGGGCATCTCTGTGGCCCTCAAAGGAGACAGATTATGATGTGAGGGCTTGCAGTGATACATTTCATACAGAAAGGAATGTCTCTTCTAGTGAGATTCTTAGGTTTAGCAAATAGACAACGTACTGGCTATGATAATTAGAAAAATAAGCAACAACATGCTCTAGAATAACATATGGTGTGAGTTTGGGGGTTATAAATGTAATGAGTGTTCATCGTAGAAATTGTGTAAAAGGGCCGGGTGTGGAGGCTCATGCCTGTAATCCCAGCACTTTGGGAGGCCGAGGCAGGAGGATCACTTGAGCTCAGGAGTTCAAGATCAGCCTGAGCAATATAGTGAGACCTCATCTCTACTAAAAATATAAAAGTTAGGAAAAAATTCTGTAAAATGCAGAAATATACAAATAATAAAATACGAAATCACCAGAAATTCCACCACCCAGAGGTAATGACTGTTAACATTTTTGCTGTAAAAAATTAGAACCATATTTTTATATGTGACTTGGTATTTTGCTTTTTCAAAATTAACTTATTTTAATCCTTTCCAAAATCATGTAATATTTTTTGAAAATATAAGCTTAAATAGCTCCATAATATTCCATTTACAGAGGTAACATAACTTACTTAACCATTCTCCAGTTGTGGAAGTTTAAGTCACGTAAAGTTTTATGCTGTTATAATCCAGTGGTCCTCATGTTTTAGTGGAGGAATTTGATCCGTTTATATTTATTATCAGGTTATGTTTGCTGTTATTTTTCATCACATTTCGTACTGCCTTACTTTTCCTTTTTGTTAGTTATTATTGTTGGATTTTGTTTTGATCTTTTACATTATGAAGTATATATTCTTCACTTTTTTTCTCAAGTGATTTAGAAGGTATAATTCCTATTTTTTCTATTAGCAGTTAATTTAAATTTGAGGGGAAAGTATACTTATTTTCTCTAGTTATCACTGTCAAGAATGAAATGTCATCTGTTGATATCACCCTATGAAAGAAAAAAATTTTAGCACACTTGTACTTCTTGCTTCTTTCCTCACCCCCATTCCAGTTAACAACTTTTGTTGATATAATCTAGGATTTCAGACACATTATGATGATTATTTTACTCTTTATATTTTGTTTCTTCTCATTCAGAAATTACATTTTCCATTTGTATAACTTTACAATGATATTAACAGTATGATTTTCAGACTTGATTCTGTTTTGTTGGTTTATTTACCACTAGTTAGTTCTACTATAACACAACCCCATATCTGAGTTCCTTATTTTGATCCAACACTGGTTGGATGCAGTTCATGAGCACTTAAGTTTTTCAGGAATAGTAAATAGGTGGTTCGCTTTCTCAGCATGTCTGAGAACATCTGTCCTTTGTAGCCACATGAGTTAGCTACAATGTTTTTTACTCAAAAATCTATAGATGCTTTTCTGTTGTTTTCAGATTTTCATTTCTGCAAAGGAGAACTCTGCAGCCAATTTTATTTTTTATTAGTTATTAGGTATCATGGACCTAGAATATTACATAAATTTATATGGTATTATGTGAATCTTATAATTTCTGAAAGATCACAGGCTATATGTCTAAGTATTAAATGTTTTCATCAAGTTAACCTAGGACTAGTGAGTGCTTTCAATGTACACAACTGGGAAAATGACTTGTAGAATTTGTGATTGTACTTTTCTACCAGTTGTGTCTGCAGTGTTCTTTCTGCAGGCACAACTGCTGAAACTGAGTAACGCTTATTAGACATAGAGTAGCGCTTGGGTTTGCTGTCCATGTCTCTTCTCTTCTTGTAATCTCCATCTCTTTATCCTTTTCTTCTGAGCTGTGGGATAGCTTTCTTTTTCTTTTTTATCATTTTTTTTTTTTTTTGGAAACAGGGTATCACCAAGAGCCAGTATGGATCTCCCCTAGCAAAAAATATGGCAGGACCAGGTGCAGTGGTTCACTGGTTCACCCTGTAATGTCAGCTTAGGCAACATAGTGAGACCCCATCTCTACAAAAAATTGAAAATTAGTCAGGCACAGTGATGCATGCCTTTGGGCCCAGCCACTCACGGGGGCTGAGGCAGCAGGATTGCTTGAGCCTGGGAGGTCGAGGCTGCAGTGAGCCGTGATCGCACCACTGCACTCCAGCCTGGGCAACAGAGCGAGACCCTATCCAAAGTTATTCCACAGTTCAGAAGAACAGGATAAAGAGATGGAGATTACAAGAAGAGAAAACACATGGACAGCAAGCCCAAGCATTACGCTATACACCACAGTAGAGCCAGTTACTCAACAAACATTTACTGAGCACCTACTCTGTGCCAGGTCCTTCCTTAGGAGCTAGAGATCAACTATGAGCCATGCAGATCCCATCTCTACCCTCAAGGAGCTGACTGTTTAGGAGTTGGAGGTGTGGACAGAGCAGTAGACATTCAGTGTAGCGGCAGGTGCCTCAACAACAGGGGCTTGCAAGACAAGAGGGTGGGTCTTAGTTTTGAGTGATCTGGTGACACTTGGAGGAAGTGATGCATCTGGAAGATCCAGTGAGACCCTAAGGATTCTTTCCTGCATTCAACAAATATTCAATGGACTCTGGCTCTCTGCCCAGTGCTGTTCTAAGCAGAGCAGAGAACAAGAGGAGAGCTTCCTTGCTAGTAGAGAGGCAGACACCAAGTAAACAAAGAAAATTATAGCATTATTCACATAGGGAAATGTTCAGAAGGTAAATCAAGCAGGGTAAGGAGTCCAAGATGGCAAGAAGGCTGTTCTAGTGAGGGTGGACAGAGAAGGCGGCTCTGGGGAAGCCAAGTCTGGGCAGAGCACTGAAAGAAGAGAGAAAGCATCCTGGGCAGGAGGAACAGCAAGAACCAAGGTGCTGAGGCCAGACCAGCAGGAAGGCCAGTGTGACTGCAGTGGATGGAGAGAGGCCAGCGGCAGGGAAGGGAAGGTGGGAGCCCTGTTCCCCAAGCCTCAGAGGTCAAGGGAGGGAGTATGGGTTTGATTCCAGGTGGAAGGAGGAGCCAAGGAAGATTTGACCAGGTGAGAAGCTAGGGATGGAAAAGGCAGGTGTGTCACAATCTGAGAACAAACTGCAGGGAGGGGACTGGAGGGTGGAATCACAAAGACCTGCCTGGAGGGCGGTGCAGTGGAGATGTGACAGTGGGTGCCAGGGAGGTGGTGATGAGTAAGGATTCACCAGGCTGAGCTGAGTCTACATCTTCCAATAATTCTGTGACTGTAAGCGTCCCACTCATCTGGGGTAATATGGACTCACAGTGGCAGAGACATTACCACAGGGCTCAATGTGTGCCTCAGTTACCTATTTATTCATAACAAACCACTTGAAAACTCCAGGACTTAGAAGGAATGATGGAATTAGGAAATCGCCATCTGGCAACCAGTGTGGCAATAATCGTTTTGGGCAAAAATCTTCACTGGATGCCAAAACTACTGGGCAAAAGTATGAGAAATAGGATAGTTACTGAGGCTCAGAATATCTCCAAGAAGATAATTATTTCTAAGGGGAGAATAGTAACTCTCAGCAGAGAAATCCAGCAGACACCACCTCAACCAAGTGAGCAAAATCTACATCACCGTGAATGGAACACATTGACATCTTGTGCCTCTGGACAAGGACACAGGATAACTTTAGTGTTTCTGCCAAAACTCCAAATGAGGGACATTCCACAAAGTAACTGGCCAGTGCTCCTCTAAAGCACTGTGAAAGGTCATGAAAGACAAAGAAAGGCAAAAATGTCTAAGGAGGTGTCCCAGATTAAAGGAGACTAAAGAAACCTGACAGCTAGAGGCCTTGTGGGCTTGTGAGCTAGAGTCTGGATGCCTAGAGGACATCAGTGGGACAGTCAAGAAAATTGCAAAAGGGCTGCAGATAAAATAATAGTTTGATGTTGGTGTTAATTCCCTGATTTTACTCATTGCACTGGGATTATATAAGATAATGTTCTTGTTTTTGGAAATACACACTGAAAATATTGAGAGGTAAAAAGAAAAAAAATTAGTGACTTAAAGCAACAATAATTAATCATTTCTCACAGTTCTGTGGGTGCCTGAGCTGTTCCTTTACTGTTTGTGTCTGGCCTTGCTCATGCAGCCAGAAGGTCCCTCACACACCTGGTAGTGGGTGCTGAGCTGGCTGGTCTCCCTCGGTTCTCCTCCTCGTGGCCTCTCATCCTCTGGAGCCTGGTCTGGTATCTGTACATGGCTGTCTCAGGCACACTCCAAGAGAAGGAAGGTGAAGCTGCAAGGCATCCTGAGGCCTGGGCTCTGGTACCAACATGGACACCACATTCTACTGGACAAAGCCAGCCCCAAGGCCAGCCCAGCCTCACAGTGTGGGGAATAGACTCCACCTCTTCAGGGGAGGAGCGCTGAAGAATGTGTGGCTGTATTTAATCTCCACACATGCCTTTAAGGCATGTAGTTGTATTACTACTGTATTAGGGTTCCCTAGAGGGACAGAACTAATAGGGGGAAGAGAGAGAGAGAGAGAGAGAGAGAGAGAGAGAAAGGGGAGTTTATTAAGTATTAACTCACATGATTACAAGGTCCCACAATAGGCTGTCTGCAAGCTGAGGATCAAGGAAAGCCAGTCTGAGTCCCAAAACTGAAGAACTTGCAGTCCGATGTTCAACGGCAGGAAGCATCCAGCACGGGAGAAAGATGTAGGCTGAGAGGCTAAGCCAGGCTCACCTTTTCACTTTTTTCTGCCTGCTTTATATTCACTGTCAGCTGATCAGATTGGGTCCACCAGATTAAGGGTGGGTCTGCCTTTCCCAGCCCACTAACTCAAATGTTAATCTCCTTTGGCAACACCCTCACAGACACACCCAGGATCAATACTTTGCATCCCTTTATCCAATCAATTTGACACTCAGTATTAGCCATCACAACTACCACCAAAATCATGCCCCTTGTAGTCAACCCCTTCCTACTCCCCTACTCCTGGCCACCACCAACCTGTTTTCTGTCCCTATAGTTTTGCCTTTTCCAGAATGTCATATAAATGGAATCATCCTACTATGGTTTGAATATGTCCTCCAAAGCTCATGTGTTGAAAACTTAGTTTCCAATGCAATAGGGTTGAGAAGTGGGACCATTAAGAGGTGATTAGGTCATGAGGACTCTGGCCTTGTCAATGGATTGGTATCATTATCCCAGGAGTGTTTTTGTTATTGAGAGAGTGGGTTTGTTATAAAAGAGAGTTCAGCCCCCTCTTGCTCCCTCTTGCTCCCTTTGCTCCCTCTTGCCCTCCCACCTCCTGCCATGGGATGATGCAGTAAGAAGGCCCTCTCCAGATACTAGCACCATGCTCTTGGACTTCCCAGCCTCCAGAACCATGAGCCAATAAATTTCTGTTCTTTGTAAATTATCCAGTCTCTGGTATTCTGTTATAGCAGCACAGACTAAGACAGGCATTCTTTGGTGAAATGCCTGTTCACATTTTTTTTTTACATTTTTTGAAAGGGTTATTTTTCTTATTGAGTTTTGAGAATCCTTTATATATTCTTGGCACAAAGTTTTTCTCAAGATGCGTGTTTTGCAAGTATTTTCTCCCAGTCTATAGTTTTTGTTTTTATTCTCTTAACAGTGTCTTTCACAAAGAAGTAACGAAATCCAATTTCTCAATCTTTTCTTCCATAGATAGTGCTTTTAACATTGTATTTAAGAAATCTTTGCCTCAAACTCAAGTTCATAAAGGTTTTCTCCTGTATTCTTATATAAGTTTTATAGCTTTTAGTTGTTCATATAGGCCTGTAATCCATTCTGAGATTTGTTTGTTATAAAATTTGAGATATGGGTTGAGTTTCATTTTTCTGCATATGAATGTTCAATTGTTCTAGCATCATTTCTTGAAAAATTTATTGCAGAGCAAATTCACCCAGATTATGTGTTTATTTGATAGGTTGGGTCAGGAGTGACAGAAATGATTAATGCCTAGGGCCAAACAGCCCCCATGTTCCCACTTGGCATCAGGTTTTAGATTTCCACCCTACCCATGGGCACTGGGCAGTCAGACCCTGTCAGAGAGACAGTCGTCCCTGGACCTTGCCAGGCCTTACATAGTTACTGTTTAACACCCCGCGTAAAAACAGGATTATCTTATAACCACTGAGGGTTTGAATGTGGCTTCAAAGTCTCAGTGTGTGAACCCAATCTTTATTGTCAGATATTTCATGATTGAGAGCCACCAATGACCTCTTGGACTCCTTTGATATTGAGAGAAAACTCACAAGGTGCTGAAACAAGGTTCTGAAGGAAAGGAAGGGAGCCTGGCCTAGAGGAGTTATAGCAGTGTCTGGACATGAGAGGGCAGGATTTGTTCTAGGCCCCCACATGAGCAGGATGAAGCTAGGAACTCCAAGCCTGGTGGTGTGGGCACTCATCCACCCATGCAAGCGGCTCATGCCTTTCTTTCTGTGGTGTGGCCATGGGGGCTCTGCCTGGTCTTTGCCCCAGCCATTCCACTTCTGGGATTTGTATCCCAAGGAAATACACAAACAAGTGGACCAGGCTTCATTTCACAGCTTTGTTTAGGATGGCAGAAAGCTGGAAACAGCCTGAGTGTCTAACAATTGATTAAATGCATTCTGGGCTCATTTTCAGAGCAGAACATCATGCAGCTCTTTAAGGGGTGATGCAAAGGTCTGTGATTGGGAGAGTGCCTGGGGAATGCCATAGGGTGAGAAGAGTGGGTTACAGCACAGCACGTGTGTACAATGGAGACATTTTTGGTAAATATTAGATGTTCATGTAAGCATAGTTATTTTGTTGTTTACCTTAACAACTGAGGATCCAGTTTGCTCTGTAATCAGCCCTTAATCTTTGCAGTTGTAGTGTCTGGGTTTTATTTGATCAGAAGTCCTGCCCTCTTTTCCCACTGGACATTTTGTTAGGCTCACCCTGACAAAATTCACACTCCCTGGCTCCCCACCATCACCAACAGCAGGGAACCTCAAGGGCAGGGAGCAGAGTTGCTACTCTCCCATTCC
Organism: Homo sapiens; assembly: GCF_000001405.40. Lineage (NCBI taxonomy): Eukaryota > Metazoa > Chordata > Mammalia > Primates > Hominidae > Homo > Homo sapiens. Next base: position 45,783,129 of record NC_000003.12, on the reverse strand, counting down.
ACACCAGCCAGGGGCTGGCCCAGAGTAAGTGCTTAGTAAGTGTCTGTTTCATACACTACCTCATGTGGAGCACCATCAGGGCTGTGCACAAAGCCCAAAGGAAGTGCATAGAGGTGGACAGCTGAATGCATGGATCCAGGCATGATGTCTGACATATTTAACAACACAATTGTCTTGGCCCTGATCAACTATTAGTTGCTGAAATAGAAGATGGAATGTGGGGTTTGGCAGAAGGGCTGGGACAGTGGAGGCATTGAGAAAGGCATTCAAGCAGCTTGGGACAGTGGCAGTTTGCCTCCCAGCGAGGATGAATTTAAAGAGTTCAACAACTGACATGGCTGCATGTCATCCACAGATGGATGGACGAACAGACAGGTGGCTGAGTAGGAAGATAAAAAGATGAAAGGATGGATGTAAGGATGCATGGAAGGATGGACAGATGAATGGATGGAAGGATGGATGGATGGTTGGATGGATGGATGGATGGATGGATGGATGGATGGATGGAAATATGGAAATACGGATGGATGAATGGAAGGTTGGAAATATAGATGGATGGAAGGAAGGAAGGATGGATGGATGTAGGGTGGATAGATGGAAGGATGGAAAGATAGACAGAAGAACGGATGGATGAATGGATGGTTGGATGGAAGGATGGATAGAAAGTGGGTGAATGAATAGTAGATAGATAGATGAGAGGAATGGCAGCAAGAGGGATGGATGAAAATGTGGAATGAAAGAAGGATGAAGGATGAGTAGAAAGAGGAGGATGGATGATGGAAAGGTAGGAGAATGCATGGACAAGTAGAAAGACAGGAGGATGGAAGGATGTTTGCACAGAGGTTGAGTGGTCGTGGAGAAAAGCCTTTTGGTGGTGGCCTGGCTCTCAGCTCTGGACATCCACAGGTAGTTTCCTGGTCCCCTACATCATCATGCTTATCGTGGAGGGAATGCCGCTCTTGTACCTGGAACTGGCTGTGGGGCAGCGCATGCGGCAGGGCAGCATCGGCGCCTGGAGGACCATCAGCCCGTACCTCAGTGGTGTCGGTACGTGGGGCCCCTCCAGTCCTCTCCCACCCAGAGACCCGGGCAGCATGGGGGTGTGGGTGGGATCCCATCAGCAAAGCTGCTGGATCAAGGGGCGAGCACAAGGCCCAAGAGAGAGCTCTTGCCTGGGGTGAACAAATGGCCTGGTGGGGATGACATAGAATGTGGGCTGAGAGGAGCTGGGTTTCCTACCCACAGGGCGGTAAGACAGGGAGGATGCATGCCCCTTGGGGAACAGATGCCACCCTCCTTCTCTTCTCTGGACCTCAGCTTGGTCACCTGTAAAAGGGAAACAGCTGTAACTCCAAGTCCTAGCTAACAACCATTCTGGAAACTCACCAACTTCTCCCTGCTAAATAACAGCTCTCTTTTAGCAAGCACCTACTACATGCTGGGAGCCAGCCTATAGGATATATGTGCATGAGCTCATTTAATCTTCTTTACACCGCTGAGGTGTTGTGGAGTGCCATTAATGTCTCTGGGGTGCGGAAGCTGAGGCCCGCACGGACAGCAGGAGAGGACTGTTTCATCTCATGCTTCTCCTGAGTGACCTTGAGCCAGAGCCCCAGGCACTTCCAGGACAACCTCCACCTGCCCTGCACATTGCTTATGACCCAGGGCTGCCTCTGCATGCAGAAGGAACCCTGACCAGAAGTAGCCATAGCCTGTGATGCTCACCCCTCCCACCCCAGAAAGGAAGGCAGGCAGGAAAGCAGAGTGACGTTTCAGGAGCAAAGAGGGTGGAAGCTTATATGTGACCTGGTTGCAGATGCAGAAGAAATGTGTCCAGTGTTCTCACAAATCATCTCCAAACCCAGACTGCCTCCTTGTCTTGAATGGCTATTAATTTTTTTTTTTTTTTGAGGCGGAGTTTCGCTCTTATTGCCCAGGCTGGAGTGCAATGGCACAATCTCGGCTCACTGCAACCTCCACTCCCGGATTCAACCGTTTCTCCTGCCTCAGCCTCCTGATGAGCTGGAATTACAGGCACCCGCCACCACACCTGGCTAATTTTTTGTATTTTTAGTAGAGATGGGGTTTCGCTAGGCTATTAATTTTTAACACAGAAGTGTGTAGTTTTACAATCTGCCTGAATAAGCAATCACAGAGGACTTCTCAGAGGCATCTTCTGCATCATAGGAAAGATACCAGATATTTGTGCCAACCAGGGGATGCTGGTGAATATTTAACAACCAGTGCTCAGAGTGGAGTGGGGGTGGGGAGGGGAAGCCCTGGTTTATAGCATTTGCGGATGCCTATGGGGTAAATACAGGCACCATGGCCGGTTTCTACTACCGAGTGTCCCAGCACTTGCGGCTGGGGAGAGGAGGGGACGCTGGTTCTCAAGGGCTGGTGTGGGCCAGCCCCAGAGCCCTGCTGCCTCCCACCCCTCTCTGTGCTCTCAGGCCGCACCCTGGGTTTTGTGCAGGCCTGACCGAATTACGGGCAGCCCCCTCCCCACCGCCTCCTCACACCCCCTCTCCTGGCTACCAGGTGACTCAACCGCTGGTGAGCCAAGGAGGGAGCATAACTGTACATCTGGACAAGGTAGCACTTCACAGCAACAGTGCTTCTCACAGCATGAGGTTGTGAACCCAGTTCTGCCACTTAACAGCCGGGTAGTCTTGGGCAGGCTCCAGGCCTCAGTTTTCTCTTCTGCGATATGAAGATAATACTGTTGTAAGGACCAAAGGTAAATAAAGTACTTATTTAGCACAGTGCCTGGCAGTTAGATCTCAAAAACATGTCATCAGCCTCCTGTCCCAGAAGGTGAGGAGGGAGGTTGGAGAAAAAGAAATCACCCTTCCCAAGTGTTCACAGGTGCCTGGTCTCGCTTAATACTCACCACACAAACCTGGTGGAGGGAGGCCTCGCCCACCCCGGGGCGGTCGCCACAGGTGTGTCCTGGGAGCACACGCTGGGCCTGGCGGAGGGGGAAGGGCCATCCTCAGTCCTCAGCGCGGCCCTCTGCTTCCTCGCAGGGGTCGCCAGCGTGGTGGTCTCTTTCTTCCTCTCCATGTACTACAACGTCATCAACGCCTGGGCCTTCTGGTACCTCTTCCACTCCTTCCAGGTGAGCCGGGGGGCCCGTGCCAGAACAGGAGTAGGAGCGAGAAAGGGAGAGAAAAACAGGGCCACCCGCTCGGGGAAGGGGGTGTGGGGCAAGGTGAGCAGCCTCGGGGCGGGGAGCCGGTGGGTGGTGTGAGGTGGAGGGGAAGCCATGCACCCCAAACCACGTGAAGGGCTTCTGAACCCGGGCTCCACGGGCCCCTTACGCTGTAAGCAAGAGTCCACCGGTGAGAGTGTGCGTGTTCTTGGAGAGAAGGTCCATGGCTTTCAGTGGATTCTCTCTGATGGATGTGACCCCACACACACACTATTAAGAACTACTGCACAGTGTGCCTAGGAGGAAATCTGTGGAGAGGACTGGTGGGGAGGGATTCCCTCAATCCAGCAAGACAGCAACGGCCTGTCCTCTTCCTCCCCGTCCCCTTCTCCCGCTTTCCTCAGGGCCACTCGTGCTTCCAGGTTTCTGACTCCAGCCTGAGCCTCTTCTTTTCCCTGCAGACCCCTAAGTTCTCCTAGAAGGACCATTGTCACCCTGTAACACAATAGGGCCATTCCTAAACATTTTAAACCACACATTTCTGATGATAACTACAGCTGACACTCTGTAGAAAAGTGGAAGGGGCTAGAATTGTAGAGAAGCAAGAACTCCAATTCCACACAGAGAGCTGGTGTACATTCAGGACAAGAGGAATTTTCCTTTCCACTGCTCATGCTCATTTCTGTTACCTGGCTCCTACCGTTTCACTCTCAGGAACCCCATCCTCCACTGCCCCCACCTGCTTCCAGGAACCACCTTCACCTTGGCTTCTTCCCAGTTGGGAACAGTGGAGGAGGCAGGAGCTAACCAGGCCAATGCCTTACCCTTTGCCCCTGAGCCAGGCCTTCATGGGACATGCCTGTCCCCAAGGTCCGCAAGCAAGATAGGGCTGGCATGGACTATGGACTGAACTGGGTTTGCCTCTGGGGTGCTTGGGCATAGCCTTGACTCTGTGGGGGCGTGAGGAATGCTTGGGTGAATGACTTTAATAATCCTGATTTGGCATACCCCACTCTGGCTTCCCAATGAGCTCCACCAAGCTTGCCCCATTGCACGTATCTCTGGCAAGAAAGCTGTAACCTGAGCTTAGTTGCAGTCCCTCCTTCTTTCCCTGGTTCAACCTAGAGTTTCATGAACACTGGCCACAACTCTGCCTCTCCCCAGCCTTCTCAGTGGAAACAGGGCAACTCTTCTTACTCTATAGCCTGGTGACTGTTTCCTGTCCTCTGTGCAGGGCTCATGTATGGTTGGGCAGCTTGTGCACTGCACAACAGTACTGCCAACTAAGGGCTTGCCATACACATTGTAAGCATTATAGATTTGTATACTTATTAAGACAAGTTTCCAAAAGTGGAAGTAATGTGTCTTGTCCTAACAAAATCAGAATAATTTGCTCATCCCCCAAAAGCAAAAATAAAGTGCCTCAAGAAAGGGGCATCTTTTTCTAATAGTCAGAAGTATGGGGGCCAGCGATTCATGAAAATCACTTAAATATTCATTCATTCCATCCTTCATAGGTCTGTGGACTTATCCCTTAGTCCCTCTACTTTGAAGCCCTCCTCCATGGTCCCATAATAATGAGAGGAATAGTAGCTGCAGACATTCACTTACATGTGCTTTGGGCCAGACATAGGTCCCAGCACTTTAGAAGTGTTCACTCATGTAATCAAAACAGCCACCCCACGAGGCTGAGCACACTGAGCACCCGAGCAGAGGGGAGCCGAGTAGCTCATAGCTGGTGGGGTTGGACTCAGGGACCTGGCCCCGGAGTCTGTGCTCCTGTCTACTCACTCCCTGGCCAGGCTTTCCAGCCTTGTGTCCAGCCCTTCTCAGCAGGAGCACCTGGGCTGTTATGCACACAAATGCGGGGATCCTTGTCCTCACCTGCTGGTTCAGAGGTGAGTGAGGGAGGTCAGACTGGGAACTGGCCCATTTAACAAGTTCTCCTATACGCTAAACCTTCTTCAACCTGGCTGCACACTGGGGAGATGAAGTTGCGGGGTGCGGGGTGCAGGGTGGGGAGGTGTGAAAAATCCAATGACCAGGCCCTATCCCAAACAGATGAAATCAGAGTCACTGGGGGTGCAGCCTGGGCATCACCCCCGGGTGCCTTAGTCGTGTAGCCAAGCCTGGGAAGCAGGCCCGGTCTGGCATCAGCAGGTAGTCCAGGGAACAGACTCAGGTCAGTCCCACACAGGCTGTAAATGGCCCAAGGGGATGTCAGCCTAGGCAGCTCAACTGGGCTTCAGGTCTACCAGGACCCCTGTCACCTGCCTGGGACTTGGTGCTGGCTGCCACTGGGCACCTCAGTTCCCTCCACGTGCCTCCCTCTCCCTGCACCCGCATCATTCAGGAAGCTAGCCTGGATGTCCCACAGCTGGTCTCCAAGAGGGTGAGAGGCTAGCTACAGGGTTCTGAAGTCCTGGGCCGGGAAGTCACTCACACAGCATCTCTTCACCATATTCAGTTGGTCAGCTTGCATCGGAGGACAGCCCAGACTCACAGGCTGAGGCAAGAGACACCACTTCTGGATGGGAGAAATGTGCACATGGGAAGGGGAAGGACTGTTGGTGGCCAGCTTTGAACACGATATGGGTCAAAGCAAGAAACCAGCTCACACATTCCAATAGGCTAGGGTGGCCTGGGGAGGTATTGCAGGGGTGGGCGTGGAGGTCCTCACCAGGACAGTCCTGAGCACTGTCTGGGTGTGCAGACCTGGGCTCCAGCTGCCTACTGGCACAGTAGCCATGACCCATTAGGTGATACCCCGGGCCTTGGTTCTGTCTCCTGTGAAATATGGGATTGAGCCCAGTGGGGTGGTCAGACTTGCTTCCATTAATGATGCGTTTTTGTCTAATTAAATCTGGGCTTGTAGAACCCAGATATGTGCAAAACTGATCAATGTGGGGCTGGTCCTCAAAGAGCAGGGTTGGGGTCTCCTACCCCACAGTCAGAAGTAACTTTTCCTCCCCTCCCTCCCATCTCAGCACCACTGTTTACCACTTGGCCTCGGGTCATGGTCATGATGCATGCACCATTGAGGCTCCTTTGTTCATAAGTGACACGCCAGCAGCCTCCTATGGGGGCACACCTGGAGCCTTCTCTTTTCTCACTAACAAGCTTTCCCAATCCCCGCCTGCCTTGGAGCCCCGCCAAATGCAAGCGATGCTGCTATCGCCCTTGCTGTAGCAAGTCCTAAGTAAACAGCCTCTGCTTGTTCTCACTTGGGTGGTCTTTGCTGATTTCCTCAAGTCCTGAGATGCGTAAGTCTCAGGTTCTGTGCTCACTAAGTGCTGGTGGCGAATGGCATTTCCTGCAATGTACATTGGGTTTGGAAGCTAGCAGGAGATGAGGTTCAGGCCCCACAGCTGTCCTGCATGTCTGAGCCCGAGAGAACCTGGTGCTGGTGACTTCTTTGAGCTAGAGTCAAGCTATACCTGAAGCAGTTAGACTCCTGGACTTTGCAGGGTGGAGCCAGTAAGACTCTCATCTGCTTAAGCTACTCTGAACTGGGCTCTCTGTCACTTTCTCTGGTTGGTTCTGAGTTGGCCAAAAAATAGGGACTCTCTCAATCATTGACCAAGTCCTAAGCAATCTGGGCCAGTGCTGCAGAGGGTGTGGTTTAAGTGCCTGAGCTGATTGTGCACAGGCCGTGGGTCGGAGTTCCATCATCAGGGCTGGCCTGGCTGTGGTCCATTTGCTATTCAGTCTCTGGGACCCACCACAGAGTTCAGTAGTCCTCAAGGAACACCCGTAGAATTGCAACGAGAGTAGAGCCCCCTCCTCCAACCCCTTCCTGCCTCACCCGTGCCCCCTGACAAACTCTCCAACTCCCAGTCTGCCTTCAGGGGCTCCAGCCACCTGCCCTTCGGGGACCAGCACCCTTCTCTTCCAAGAGTCTCCGCTCAGGGCCACCTCCCTCACCCCTGCCACAGCCTTTGTCCTCAGCCTTCACCTCCCTGGATAACACTTGCTTTGGTCCCACAGGATCCCCTGCCGTGGTCTGTCTGCCCACTGAATGGTAACCACACGGGCTACGATGAGGAGTGTGAGAAGGCGTCCTCCACACAGTACTTCTGGTACAGGAAAACCCTCAATATCTCGCCGTCCCTCCAGGAGAACGGGGGTGTGCAGTGGGAGCCGGCGCTGTGCCTCCTCCTGGCCTGGCTGGTGGTGTACCTGTGCATCCTGCGTGGCACCGAGTCCACTGGCAAGGTGGGACAGTGAGGCACAGAAGCCCGGTGCTCCTGGTGGGTGGGAGGGTGCACCAAGGGGCAGCTGCCTCTGTCTCCAACCCTAGGCAATGCCAAGGGAGTGCCCTCTGCAGTGGAAAGGCAGCAGCTATGTTAGGGCAGAGGGCACAGATGGTGTTGCTGGGACAAGTCACCTACTAGATGACTATAGAGAGGGCCAGAGATGGTTAAAGTTGCAACCCTAAATCTCAAAACAAGGACTTTCTTAGAAAAAAAAAGTTTTTCTGTAGCAGTCAGCCCCAAATCCATACCACCCAGACAACCAGACAGTGAGTTTGCTTTTCTTTAAGATTGTATGTATCCTCGAGACACCCTAGCCACTGGCTCTCCAACTCAGCTGCACATTGGTATTTTCTGGAGAGTTTTCAAAAATCTCATGCCTTAGCCCCGCCCCCCAAAATTCTGCAGTAACCAGTCTGGGGTGTGTCCTGAGCACTGGGTGGGGAGGCAGGGGAGGTTTAAAAGCTCGCCAGGTGATTCTAATTTGCAGCTGAGTTTGAGACCCTTTGTTCTAAGCTGCTTCCAATCACCCTCCAGAGCTGTCGGGCTTGATCTCCATAATCCTTTCTTGGTGCATCCCAAGGCTCACACTTTCACTGGGGCTGACATGTTCCTTCATCTCTAGTCTGCTCCACGTAGAAGGTTTGCTTTCAGTGTTCCCATCACCCGCCACCTGCCTGAAGCTTCAGCAGATGTCTCGGAGCCTAGCACACCCTGTCTCATTCACTGTCACTTCTCACAGTAGACCCACCACGGCTTGAGCACCCACATTGTGTCATTCTGGCAACAGCCTTTCATGGTAGATTTCATGATCCCAGTTACCTGAAGCTTAGAGAGGTAAATTGACCTGCCCAAGGGCACAGCTAGTGAGGGCAAAGCCCAGCCTCACCCCAAGACTTCCCATTGTCTTGGTTTGGTAGCCACATAGCTCTCTCTATGCCTTAATGATGTCATCAATTCCAACTGTCACCTGCTGAGAGTCCTAGGAGCCCACCTGTCCTCACCCTCTGACTACCTGAGTTGTCTCCTCCAGCCACACCCCACCCCCCATGTATTTCTTGAGGCATTAGACCAGAGCTACCCATGGTATTCCAGGGCCCATGGGACAACTCCAGTATCATGCCTGGTAGGGCATTTTATTTTGGTTTCTAAGAGCCCCTGATGACCAGCCTCTTAGCCCCCAAAGTCCCCTGTGCCATGGCTGAGGAAAGGGACGAGTGAGCACAGGTGCTCTTTCCCCGAGAGAGCTTAGAACCTGCAGCAGCCCACTCAGTCCCATCGTAGAGCCTGGCCATACTGTCATGCTCATAAAAAATGTTTTTGTAATTTATGTTTGCCAGATTATTATGATCATGATCCAAGAGATCAGAGGGCAACATCTGCAGAGGTAGAGATTAGAGACCATTCCTTTTCCCAATCACTTTGAAATGTGTTGCATAAGACCATGTCATGCCATAAAAACTTATTTATTCTTATCATCTATTTCCTCTGCTTCAGCTACACCCTTCTCCCTGGGAAAAGTACCCCAACAGCTCTATGTAAATAGAGCTAATCTTGTCACAGACCATGTGCCATTTCCTGGCATCCTCTGTTGGAATCGACTTTGTTTCCTGCCAGAATCTCTGCAGAGTGGTCAGAATTGGTTTCTTCCAATAGATTAGGCTGGATCACGTGTCCAGCAATTCTGCCCACTTAGGGACTCCATGAGCCTCCAGGAAACTTGCTCACCTTGGGGGAAGGAGGGAAATTCTCGGGGCTGGCCCTAAGGGCCTGCTTAGTGCCCATTGTGATGGATGTTGGTCACGAGTGAGTGCTCTGTCTTTTCATCTCTCTTACCTGGTTTCTTATAATCTTGGGTGGATTTATTACTCTTCTCAAGTTACAACAACCTCAGCTAAGAAGCAGTGATAAAAGACACACCCCACATTCCACCTGCCGTCCCCTGGGTGACAGCGTACAGAGTGCCATTCTGGTGGCCTTGGAAATGGATGAGAAGATGATGCCACACCTCAATAGGAAGGGAGGGCCAAGTGTAATTCAAGCCCACCTGAACATAGGCCACCAGCCATATTTCTCACAGAGAGACTCAAACTTTAAGGGAACTCTTACACAAAAGACAATCTTGCAAAATATTTATTTCCTTTACAAATGAGGCTCTGGTACACATATGAGTTGATTTACAGAAAAAAATCCATTCCTGGATAGGCACACGTGCACTTGAAGGTCTGTATTCTATGGCTTTGTAACAGTTAGAATCACCCAGAGCATGACAGGTGACTACTAAAGCTACCATGAACACCAAAGATATTAACAAAACATCATTGAACTTACGATGCATGTCGGTGGAGAAAGAAGATCTGGTTGACAAAAATGTCCATTCAGGTGTAATGTTAAAGCCTAAGGAAGTAAACCCTTTCTGGAGGGTTGCCATAAAAATCAGATCTGAATTTCCTATTGTGTTTATTATGGGGACATTGTCCTCTACGCTACACCTCGCTGCTTTCCTGTATGAGCACTCGTGACCAATCTGCTCTCAGGCCCCAGTCCTGGGGAAATCTGTCCTCCTCCAAGCTGCAGATTTTTTTTTCCTTTTAATTGTGTTCCTGCTTTGTGTGTAGGCCACCAGGAAGCTCAGAGCTGAATCTGGCTCAGAAACTGGGTAGAGACTTATGCACAGATTCTATGGGCTGCTTTTTCCTGTGGGCTCATTACTGGATTGCCCATATATTTTTTTCATGCTGATTTCTTTAGCAATTTTGAAATGTTAACGTGACTGATGTGTTTTTGTGGGTAACCTCAAATCCTTTCCAGAATAAGGTCAGGTTGAAGGGAGGGTGGAAGGCAGAGGCTCGGTACCTGTTTGCCTCTTCTCTACTGAATAAGAAATGTCGTGCTGGTCACAGCTGTGAGCAACCACATCCCACCAGCCCACTTCCCCAGCCCTAACCCAGAGCCTGTGTGTGACCAAGAATCTCCATGCCTTTTCCAGCTGTCAGCAGCTGGGCGGTGCAGCCTGAATACCCCAGATGTGGTGTTCCATGGGGCATGGGTCTGTCCTGTGGACCCCACTGCTCCGGGAGGCCAACTCTGCCCTCTGATGCCCGCAGGTGGTGTATTTCACGGCGTCACTGCCCTATTGCGTGCTCATCATCTACCTCATCAGGGGCCTCACGCTCCACGGAGCCACCAATGGCCTCATGTACATGTTCACTCCCAAGGTACGGGCTGAAGCGGAAGGGCCCTACGGGCACCCCTCACTTATCCTGCCACCTTCCAGGATGGGTGGGAAGAGGGAAAGGTGGAGAGTGGGCCAACGCTGTACCTACGGAAGCTGATGTGAGCCCACCAGGGTGTGGCAGGAGTGTGGAGTACCTGCAGTCACTGGATCACCTCCTCAGCCAGGTCATCCCCACTCCCTGTTAATTCTGGAGCATTAAGTCTTTCTTTCAGCTTCTCCTCTTCATCCTCACTGTCCCCCAACTGCTGCACCCCTGCCACTGCCTCACCTCAAGCCCCTTTCAGACTGTGGACCAAGCTTTTTGCCATGAGCACCACTCTGGTCATCTTGCTTGCCTGCTTACATGGTTCCACGCACCCGTTTCCCTACAGAGTTTCCCAACCCACCCATTCTCCATGCACCCCACACCCAGGGTTCATCCATGGAGGGTGCACTCTTGCCTTTGGGATGGGGCAAGTTCTTCATTTGGCAAATGCAGTCCCTAGAAATAAAATGACTGTGTCATCCTTCCCCTTCCCCATTCCAGACGCCACCGATGTCAGTGCCGAGAGTCAACCCACACCTAGACCTCCCCTGCCAGGCCACACCCCCTCCATCTCTGAATGCCCAGACCTGTGCAGTAACTGCCTATGAATCAGGGCCCCATTTGTGTTTTAATTATTTTACCCTGCAGTATTCCATTGCACACCTCCGCACTGGCGTATAGTGGTGAGCATAGCTGCTTCTGGTTACACACCTCCTATGGCTGAGGTGCTATGGAGGATACGTAGCACCTTATGTCCTCCACATAGCACCTGTATTCTCCACAGCACCTTAGCCCTGGGAGGTGTGCAGCTTGAGGTGTGTGTTTCATCTGCCAGGGAGTGGATGGGGCCAGGAGAGCTGGTCTCCAGCCCTAGGGGTGCCCCTGATGGCTGCGTGCTGTAGGTGAGCTCCTTCCCCTCTCTGGGCTACTCTCCTGTTGCGGGTCTGAGCATTTGGGATTCCACCCAGGGATCATCAGCCCTGTCCCTGCTGGCCTTCCAGATAGAGCAGCTGGCCAACCCCAAGGCCTGGATCAATGCAGCCACCCAGATCTTCTTCTCACTTGGCCTGGGCTTCGGCAGCCTGATCGCCTTCGCCAGCTACAATGAGCCATCCAACAACTGCCAGAAGCACGCCATCATCGTGTCCCTCATCAACAGCTTCACCTCCATATTTGCCAGCATTGTCACCTTCTCCATCTATGGCTTCAAGGCCACCTTCAATTATGAAAACTGCTTGAAGAAGTAAGCCTGGGCTGTCCCACCGAGTCCCAGGCCTCCCTGAGCTCTGAGCTGAAGGGTCGCCTGGGCAAGGGCTGGGGCAAAGTGCACCAGTTTTGGAGTCCTCAATCCAGGGCTCACATTTGGACTCCCTACACCACCACCAGTTGCTGGAGGGCCTGGGGCATGTCAACATCTGCCTGGCAGGGATGAGGGCACGTTAGCGTGTTGTGAGCACTTAGCATAATAGGACATACAATGATCAAATTTTGTTTCTTCTACCCCATCTCCCCCACCTCAGAAGTAACCAAGAAGCCTCTAGCTGAGCCACAGAGATTGCAGGATTCACTTTCTGTGGCCCCTTGCCCAAAATACAAAGACATCATCCAGGAGGTATGCTGTCCAGTTGGGTAGTCACTAGCCACAAGTGGCTATTTACAAATTTACATTTAAATCAATGCAACTTAATTCACATTTAAATAACTTAATTCATATTTCAGTACATTCCCTTGTTACTTTCAATCAGTTGCTCAGTGTCCACCATTAAGTGCTCAGTTGCCATATGTGGCCAGTGAGTACCAAATTGGACAGCCCAGATAGAGAGCATTTTCATCAGCACAGAAACTTCTGCTGGACTATGTTGGTCCAGAGGTTAAAATAGCCTAGCTGTGTGAGTTTGGTGCCTGTTGTCATCACTGTTCATATCTGAGGCTTCTTCAGTGCCATTCAAAATTACCCTGCCCTTTAAAAGATCACCAAGCAACAGACTCCCTTTCCTCACCTAATCAGAAAAGAAGAGGCTGACGGGAGGCTTTGGTGACAGCTGCCTTTCTGATCAGTGAAGGTCGATCCGATGGTCTGCTCTGCAGGGTGAGTCTGCTGCTGACCAACACTTTTGACCTTGAAGATGGCTTTTTGACAGCCAGCAACCTGGAGCAGGTGAAGGGCTACCTCGCATCTGCCTACCCAAGCAAATACAGCGAGATGTTCCCGCAAATCAAAAACTGCAGCTTGGAATCGGAGCTAGACACGGTAAGATGCCCAGGCAAGGTCAAGGACTGGCTTCTCTCCACACACTCATGGGAACCTTGGTGAGCTGCTGACTTGGGAGATAGGCGAGGTCTGTAAAAATAAAGAAGGATCCTGAATTACTTTTCCTGCAACTCCAAGGGGAAGAGAGGCTTTAACACCACTCTCTTGAGGGCTGTTCGAGAATGCTAGTTATAATAAACTTCCTGGCGGACCTCTCTGTCCTTTCTCTCTTTTTCTTTTGTCTTTCTAAGCTTTTAAAATACAGAAAAGTAGAGAGAATAACAAACACCCATATATACCACTCAGAAAGATCAATTGTAAACATTTTGTCATTTTGGGCTCAGATTTTTTTATATAAAAGAACATTTCAGAGATGAAGTTAAAAAGTCCCCCTTTTTTTCCCTACTCACCAAAGGCAAGAACCTTCATTTTTATATTTCTATTACCCATCTATGTATTCTTAAATAATATCATTGTTTTGTTGGCAGTTTTTGTTTTATTTTTTCTTTTTTCAACAAGCCTTTTGCACTCCTATGTCAGCAGTTTTTAAATGGGCATAAATGGTCTGGAAAGATACTTCTCTCATTCAGCATTTTAATTTTGAGATCTGTCCATAATAATACATGTGGAACCTCATTTGTTCATTTAAATGCTGCATTTTATTCCATCACACAACAATACTGCAATTTATTTATCCATTCCCTTACTAATAGACATTTGGAGGGTTTTTTTTTTAATTTTTGCTACTGAAAGTCACCTTTATTTATATTTTACAGAATTATCTCTGCTGTGCTGGGACCTTTATTTTTTCACATTGTTTTGAGGATCAGTTTGATAAGTTTCATTGGAAAAAAAAAATCTAGGGAATTTTTACTAGACTTGCATTGATTTTATAGTGTAATTTGGGGAGAATTAATATCTTTTGAATTGTGATATTTGACTCAGGAACATACTTTCTCTTGTTCAGTCAAGTCTTTTAAAACATTCTTCAGCTAACTTTCTCTATGAATGTCTTGGCACATCTTTCATTAGATTTCTATTACCTTACTGTTTTATTGTATTGTGAATGGTGTTTTTTCCCCTCATTTCTATCATTTGTTTTTGTTGCAAAAGAAAGCTAAATATTTTATATGTTGACCTTGTATCTAGCAATCTTGATGAATTCTCTTATTAATTCTCATATTTATGTATAGATTTGCTTCAGTTTTCTATGTAAACTATCATATCTCCTGCAGATCAAATTTTGCATTTTTCTTTTCAATGCTTATATCTCATTCCCTTTTTCTTATTGTATTCACTAGGACTTCTAGCACATGGGAGTAGAAGTGATAGTGGGCATATTTGCCTAATTCTTATATTTAATGCAAATACTTCTAGAGATTATTCCTAGAGAGTGTTCCTAGGTAATGTTTTTCAAGGATAGGGAGTAGGGAGGGCCTGTGGCTCTGGTTGCTAGTAAGCTACTTTGGAGGTTGATATTTTTGGGGTGGTTGGTTGGTTGGGTTTGGTTTGTTTGGCACTTTGTTTCATGGGTACAACCACTGTAGGTCATTTCATGGGTGGGACAATGCTTTTTTCTCCTGGTTGTTCAGCCCTAGCTCCATGCCTGTTATTGGCCTGTGGCATGAGCCTGCTTCCCCAGGCAGGCATCAGACCCCAGCCCACAAACCCCAGCCCTCAAGGCCTAGGTCCTGTTCAGGTGACCCATGAGGTCCTTTGGCTTCAGCACTTGTTCAGTGCTCTCACTTCAACTTTCCTTTATGGATGGCACCTGGGAGTTTTCCTCACTTACTTTTGAGCTTGGCTCTACAGCCAAGAATTACATGGTTGGTTATTGATTTATCTAGACTTCATTTTTCCTGTTGCTTTGTTCTTTTTTTTTTCTTTCTTTTCTTTCCCCATTCCACTTTATTCCCTGCTGTTTGGAATTTGGTTGCTTGATTTCTCTTCTTGAAATTTTCCTTTCATATTTAACTTAATAAAGTCTAAAGTTAAACAGTATCTTGACCTCCTTCCCAAAATTCAAAAGGACTTTAGAGTACTTTCATTTTATCTCCCATTTTAAATGATTGTTTTCTAGTTCTGTCTCCTTAACCCCATACATTGGACATGACATTATGGTTATTTTATACAGCTCTTGTATTTACCTACATGTTTGCCATTTTATTTGTTCACCATTCTTTCTTGCATCCCAGCATCTCCAAAGGTTTTTCCTTAAAATACTTTCATTTAGAACAGTTTTCTTAAATTTTGTTCTATAATTGGCATCTATCTTTTAAAGACATTGTTCCTCGGAGTAGAAAATTCCAGGTTAACAATTATTTTCTCTCAACACTTTGAAGATGTTTGCCATGTGATTCAGGCTTCCATTGTTGCTCTTGATATTTTCTTTTATTCTTTGTAAGCAAGCAGCTTTTTCTCTTTCTCATGATCTTCTCTTCGTCTTTGGCCTCTGCAATCTAGACATGGCATGAATATATTTTTATTTATCCACTCTAGGCCTGGGTGAGGTTGGGCTTCCTGGATCTAAGGGTCCAATGTTTCTTATCAGTTTTGGAAAATTCATACCTATTATCTCATAATCGTTGTCTCTGATTCTCTCATTTTTCTCCTTTTGGAACTTCATTAGATGT